>NC_000008.11:2780565-3082850 GCF_000001405.40 Homo sapiens | reverse complement strand
TACCTCTGAGGCTTCTAGGCTTCAAGCACACTGTCCAAAATAAAAGTAGATACAAGGGCTATGTTTATGGAGAGGGTATCTTTTGTATAATTTCTTGACATGTTTCTTTTTGTATTCAAGAGTACAGGCAAAGCGATGTTAACTATGTGTCTGTTTTTGTACATTAAGGTTGTTGCTGTGGGTCTGAAGCCTCATACAAGTATTAAGGAAGTTATGGCTGTTTTCTTTTCAATTCAGACTTAGCTCTGAGTTACGCACTGCAGGCGGGTACCAAGGTGAATAAAAAATATTCCCAGCTCTTATGGCTCTGCTAGTCCGGAGGGAGAGAGTCTTAAAAACTGATAAGTACAAGTCAATATGATAGTCAGCAGGAATGGATAGTCATCCGGCGGGAGTAGCAGAGAAGGTCCAGGATATTGGGATGTCTGAGCTGGAATGTGAAGGGGACATGGTGGAGGACGATGGGTTGGAGAAGCTGGCAGGAGCAGCCCATAGGAAATCTCAGCTGCAAGTTTACGTGGCTTTCAGCTTTTGTCCTTGCTTGACGAGACTCCGTTAAAGAGCAAAAGAGATACAATCCCATCTGTGTTTTAGAAAGCTTGATCTTTCCGTGGCATAATGAATGATTGGCACGCATCCTGTCTGGAAGACACGAATTCTTAGTGGGTTATAGCAATGTGTGTTTGAGGGATATGAAGACTTCCAGAAATACAGTGAGAAACAAGTTTTGCATGAAAACAGGTATTGAAAATACTTAGGAAACAGAGTCCACAGTCTCTCGTGAAAGCAGGTAAAAAGGAAGAGATAAATCTGGGATGACATATGTTGGTGGGGGACATGATTGCTGGGAGTATTTGGTGCCACTCAGTGAAATAAGGACCATGTGAGGGAAAGGAAGCTTCATGAAATTGATTTTGACATTTGTGCTTCAGGTCCACGGGGCAAGCTGTCCCCAGTAGTGACTCTGAGGCTAAGAAAAGATGGAGTTTTAAAAATTACCAGTAATGAGGCAGTGGATTTTAAATTAGTTTAAGATACTGGATGCTTCATTTGCTTTATCATATTTGACTTTGTAACTTTTATAAGGACCAATCGAAATGAATAAAATTGTAATTAAAGAAAGACTATCTGCTGTAATAAATTTCAAACTAGGCAGCTCTACCACAAAATAAATAACAGTTTAGACTCTGACAGTATCTCACATTTGGTCAAAAGTGGTTATAAATCCTGCAATAAATCATAGAGAAGGTCATTGAGATAATTGGGAATGTAATTACTAATGCAAATGTTAAAATATTTTAAGACTTCCACGTCCAACTTAAAGGTCATCATAGTTATTTAATTATTTTATTTGAAAATTTTTATTTGAAAACTGTAAAAAAAGAAAAATAATTTTAAAAAATAGCAAATATCTCTTTGTGGCATTGGGAACTTAAAATCTATATTGATCTATTTTAATATTACATTCATCCTTGAGTTGACATTCTATTTTTTTCTCAATGATTTGAAAAGCAGTCCGTTTATTCTTACATAAAATAAATACAATTTATAAACTTCCTGAATGCATAAAGGACATTCGTTCTTCTCCTTTACAAAAATATCTAGAAGAATATATTCAAATAGTTACTAAAATGCAACAGGTACCTTTTAGTAAATGAGCAAGATCAAACCTGGCACGTTGAGCTCATTCTCTTTTAGGCCCTCCAGCTACCAATCTTATAAACCATGTGGATGCCACTGTGTCCCTCGGACCCGGGCAAAATACCCTGCCCCTTGTAGCCATTTGGTAAACATTTTAAATTTATAAAATCACTAATCCATCACTTTCTAAGATAAATATGGGAGAATATTTTTCCTTTTAAAGATTATTTAGAATTGGCTTTTGTTGTCTTCTATTTTAATTCACTTTTTTTTGCCAATGACATTGTAGACGCATCATATTTTTAGAGAAAAATTACTCGGATTTGAAATTGGAGGATACATTGTGAGGGCCATCCCCCTCCAAAGTAGCCCCCAAAAGGCCAGGGAGCCCTGATCTCCCTAAGCCTACTTTCTGCCATGTAAAATAGAGATTTTGATATCTACGTCCCAGAATTATTGAGAGGATTCAATAAATAATATAGGATAAGCCGTCAGATATTACATGCATGCCAATTATGATTGTTAGGTCTTGAAGGGGATTTGGGAGGCACCCACTCCAAACCCATCCCGAATTGTGGGGTTCAAAGTGGCAGGCCCCAGGCCACAACCCGGACAGAGATCTTCCCAAGACCCCTTGATGGCTCGCAATTAGCTTCTGGATTCAGCAAATAAAAGTTTCGCTACCAATTGTCTGTGAGTGAGAAGATGGAGCCGGCAAAATGTATTTTATTGGTTTCAGGGAACTCCAGGTTGTTTTTCTCACTTTGCTTGACCTTTTAAATTATTTCTCTCTGAAAATCTCTGTTGGTTCTTATCGACCTTGATAAAGCCAGGCAGATCTTCTGTCCTCAGGCTTCATTTCCTGCCTTAAAGCAAGAAACTCTGCCAAGCAGCTGTTTCCATTATCAGCACACTAATCTTATTCATCTTGAGGAGAAGCCTGAATTAGAACTGAAATTCTCTGTATTATCTCAAAGATCCAGTTAAACTGGCACATCAGAGTGCACTGCTTTCAAGTTCCCTGGTCAAAGAGAGAGCAACTCCCAGGCAGCTATTTACTTTCAAGGTCTGGTTCTCAGAGCCTTCTATCAGCTGTGGCTTTTGCTTGGAGTGGAGTTTGTCTATTGTTTATTTATGATTTGCTAGCATTTTGCAGGCAACAAAGAGTACAAAAAACAGTCTTTCTCACAAATTACATGATTAAGCTTCTGTTTTTAAAGTCAGGCCTTTTAGATAGAGATAGCTGCCTATATTCTGCTTCTACATAGCATGGCCAAGGACGGAACTGGTGCAAAGAGCTGGGTGGAGGGGACAGAGGATGCACGTGGATATGTCTGTGTGTATCTCTTCAATCGTCATAGATGCTGTTGCTCACAGATGATGTTACCAGAAAAAAAAAATGCCTCATTATCTCAGGTGGGATTTAAGCTCCAGTCTTTCAGATTCCAAAATCGAAGCCATTTCCATTATACCCTGCATTCACCCCCGAAACATGATGTTTGCCCACAGAGAGGGCATCTTTCAGAGGAAACTGTCCTTTTACTTTATACAAAATTTTTAAAACAACATCATTCTCAAATGTTAGGAGGATATGTTAGGAGACCTGGCATAAATGAATTAACTGAGATATTTTGTAAATCTTAAAATCCTTCACTTATGAACATAAAGAGCATAGGTATTTGAGACTTTTATCTTGATTTTTTTATATGCATATCTATTTGCTTCTATTTCATTATCAATCTTCTCCTCTGTTTTGTGATATTAATACAATATTTCCAGACATTTAGATTTCATTAGAAACTTACATTTAAATAGGAACTTCTGGGATTTTAAATGTCAAATCACATGCTATGATATGTATGTGTGAGTATGCTTGTGTCTCTCTTTATATATAGACACACACTTTTATATAGGTTGTAGGCATTATGTCAGCCAGATTGTAAATTATCAGAATGTGAATCCACACAGTCCATATAGCTCAAACTGGCCAACTCCCATCAAGTATATTGTAAAATGAGGTTTATCCCAGTTGCCCTTGCTTAAATCTACCTCACACAATCTTAGGGGATTTGAAAGGAGTGCTTGGGTACAGTACTGTGCAGTGCAGTTGCAGTCAGGCTCCCGCAATTGAGTGATGGATTCCTCCCATCCCCAGCATTTGCTGGCTCTGTGACCCTGGACAGGGCAAGTGACTTCACTGAAGTTCTTTATCTGCAAATGGGCATAAAGGTGCTCCCCCCCGTTTTGAAGGACTAAACGCAAATGTTGGCATGAAACCTTTATCATACTGCCAGCTAAGAACAGGAGCCCAACAAAAAAGGAACTCGCATGCAGTCAGACATGTCTGCACCCAGGAGTGTTTTTGGTGCAAACCTATTGGTTGGCTGTCAAGCAGAATGTTGTTGAATGTCAAGGCAGCAGTGTTTAGGTAACTAAGCTGGTAACATACTTCCCTTCTTGTTCATGGTAGCTGAAATCAGACACTGGCTCTCTTTTCCTGTAAAGGGCCACGTAGACCTTCAGTCTTTGGGGATCATATGCAGTCTCAGTGGCATATTCTTTGTCTTTAAGTTTTTCACAATTAAAAACGATGTAAAAGCCATTTTTAGCTTGTGTATAAAAACAGGCTGCAGGCTGGTTTCGACCCACAGGCCATAGTCTGCCAACCCAGGATCAAATTAATCTTCCAAGATCAGACTGAAACGCAGAGTCCAACGCCGTCAATATCAGTTACTTTCTGCAGTTTGCAAATTATATGTCAGGCATTTTACTGAAGACATGTAATTTTGCTCTACCATGTGCTAAAATCCAGCATGTTTATTCATTAAATTAAATAACGCATTTCCTCTGTCCATGCTTAGCACACATCGAGCATCCCAAAACTTCACCTATTCTAACTGTGTGAAATGTGGCTAATAATAAAAGCAGTATTGTAGTCAGTGGAAGTGTTCAAAAAGGGTAATTTTGTATAATAGTAGTAGTGATATGAAGACCTTGACCTTTCTGCACAAGGAACTGTACAAAATATGCAAAGTAATAATATTTTATAAAAGAATCAAGGGTCCTATGCATAAGAGTGGCTAATAGAGATCAACTATATATCTCACACATTTTAAAAATGCTATAATGGAGTTTAATGTGCTTCGCGTTGAGAAATAAACCTGACATGGAATACTCAAAATATTTCACAAAGCAAACAAAGGGATCGTGTGAGGATAAAGGAAACGGAGGCAAATGGAAGTGGAGATGAAAAAGTCAGCCCAGAACTTTCCACTTCAGCAGGAGGAACTTTGAAAATGACAGCTCCTAAATCAGTAAAAGGCAAAGAGGAGTAAAGACAGTGAAATGCCCTGTGTGCAGTTTAAGATACCAGCTGACACTGAAGGATAGGTTATGGTCTTTCATTGAAGAGGCACAGCGGCAGCCTCTACCTGTGAAAGTGACAGTTTGAAAATGTCAGTCCCTGGCAGAAAGAAGAGCAGCTCTGGGGGAAAATGTGTAGGCAAGCCGGGGTCGGGGCTGCAGTGGGTAAGGCCCCGATGGGCATGCAGGCATAAGCCTCAGGCTACTGGGGAAGTTGGCTTTCCAAAATTCTTAAGGTAGAGATAGCTGAGACAGGAAAAATAAGCAAACAATTCAAAGGAAGTGACTACTACGTTCTGGAGGTGGCTGGACCTGCCAGCCAGGATGAGGCTTCTGCCCAGAGACCATCACAGGGAGAATGAGTGCTTTGCTCTGAGGCTGGAAGGCAGGTGTTTATGTCCATGTAGACCACATCGATGCAGACAGTGTGTGCTTTGCCTGTTTTCCCACCTTTGATGCACTGTTGTTGAGGTGTGGAGTTGCTTCTCATCTTCTCATTTCAGGGCTCAGTCCCCAGGCAGTCTGCTGTGTCTTGGGGGGACCTAGGCACCCACTGTGGCCTTTTGTCCATGTCTTGGCATTTCTTACTTTGATTTCCTATTTGTGCAGCTGTTTAGTCCTCCATGACCAATGGTTCTCACCTTGCAAAGTTTAAAAAATGCATTCCTGACTCCCAGCCCTGCACGATTCTGATTTGGCAGGCTCCAGGAAGTCCGGAGTCTCTGCTTTCAAATACATACCAGACGTGCAGGCACCTAATGAGCATGGGTTTAACACACATACCTGGGCACACATGGATATAGGATGGAAAGAAGTGCACTTAGGACTCCAAAAACAGGGAGGAAGGAAGGACGGTGAGCAGGGGTGAGGGTTGCCTGTTGGATACAATGTTCGCTACTCAGGTGATGAGTATGCCAGAAGCCCAGTCTCCTTCATTATGTAGTATATCCAGGTAGCAAAATGC
Source organism: Homo sapiens (assembly GCF_000001405.40). NCBI lineage: Eukaryota > Metazoa > Chordata > Mammalia > Primates > Hominidae > Homo > Homo sapiens. The sequence continues at coordinate 3,076,882 of NC_000008.11, read as the reverse complement.
ACATGTACCCTCAATCTAAAAAATCATATACCCATATGAGACAACACACTTCTTAAAGAAAAGGCAGAGATTCTGCTGTACCTTCGAATCCCCAGCATTTTGCGCAAAGCCTGGGCCACAGTTGTCATCAATATGAATTTATGGAGAAATGAATTTGGCTCAACCATCTCACCAATCCTTTCTTTCATGAGGTTTCTAACATAAACAGTGTTGCTGGGAGGAAACAGCTTGAAATTAGGCCAGCGGTGGTGCAGTCTTCAACTTTTAAAAATAGTGAGAGCAGTTATGGGAATATCTTCCAGCAATCGGAGCATCTCCGGCATAGCAGAGCCACAGAGTCCTGTGACTGGGCAGTGGCACCAGAGATAGAAAGTCTGCAGGTTCTGCCTGCTACTTGGTGTCATGGGTTGAATTGAGTCCCCTCAAAAAAAGTACGTTAGAGTCCTAACTGCCAGTACCTTAGAATGGGACTGTATTTGGAGACAGGGTCTTTCTTTACAGAGGTGATGGAGTTAGTCATTAGGGTGAACCCTAATCCAATGTGGCTGGTGTCCTCATACAAAGAGGAAGTTAGCCTGCAGAGACAGAGGTGCACAGAGGGGCGACCATGCAGGGACACAGCAAGAAGATGATGTCTACACACAAAGGAGATAGGGTCAGGCAGAACCAGCCCCGCCGACACCTGCGGTGGGACTTCCGGCCTCCAGGACTGTGAGAAAATCCATTTCTGTTGTTCTGTGGTGTGTTGTTATGGCAGCCCTGGCAAAAGAATACAGACACAAACTTTTAAAAATAAACAGTGACAACGTCTTTTTTTTTTTTTCTTTTTTTTGAGACGGAGTCTCGCTCTGTCGCCCAGGCTAGAGTGCAGTGGCGCGATCTCGGCTCACTGCAAGCTGCGCCTCCCAGGTTCATGCCATTCTCCTGCCTCAGCGTCCCTAGGAGCTGGGACTACAGGCGCCCGCCACCACGCCCGGCTAATTTTTTTTTTTTTTTTGTATTTTTAGTAGAGACAGTGTTTCCCCATGTTACCCAGGATGGTCTCGATCTCCTGACCTTGTGATCCACCCGCCTTGGCCTCCCAAAGTGCTGAGATTACAGGCATGAGCCACCGCGCCCAGCCAATGTATTTCTTACTTAATGTGTCTGCAGATAAAAATACATTTACATAGTCCAGAAATATAAAAGGAAGGGACAAAAAAATAAGCTGCAACCCACAAAACTGATATAAAGCTATTAGGTTTTTGTCATACCTCTATAAATGTATTAGGCTGTTCTTACTGTAAAGAAATACATGAGGCTAGCCTGGCATGGTGGTCCATGCCTGTCATCCCAGCACTTTGGGAGGCCTAGGTGGACAGAACAGCTGAGGTTGGGAGTTCGAGACCAGCCTGACCAACGTGGAAAAACCCTGTCTCTACTAAAAATACAAAATTAGCCAGGCATGGTGGTGCATGCCTGTAATCCCAGCTACTTGGGAGGCTGAGGCAGGAAAATCACTTGAATCCAGGAGGTGGAGGTTGTGGTGAGCCGAGATCACACCGTTGCACTCCACTGCAGCCTGGATGACAGGGCGAAACTCCATCTAAAAAAAAAAAAAAAGAAAGAAAGAAAAGAAAAGAAAAAGAAATACCTGAGGCTGGGTAATTTATAAAGAAAAGAGGTTTAATTAGCTCACAGTTTCTCCGGCTGGACAGGAAGTATGGCAGCATCTGCTTCTGGGGAGGCCTCAGGAAACTTCTAATCATGGCAGAAGGTGAAGGGGGATCAGGCACATCGCCTAGCAAAAGTAGGAGCAAGAGAGAGTGAGAGGGGAGGTGTTACATGCTTTTAAACAGCTGGATCTTGCAAGAACTCACTCACTATCATGAGGACAGCACCAAAAGGAAGGTGCTAAGCCATTCATGAGAAATCCGGCCCCATCATCCAATCACCTCCCTCCAGGCCCCACCTCCAACACTGAGAATTACAATTAAACATGAGATTTGAGTGGGGACATAGATACAAACCACATCAGTAAACATATCTATTATATCTATAATCTATGTCTTTATATCAATTGAATGATATCACACTTTCCATGATATGGCATACACATTATTTTATATCCAAAAATTATAATAAAATGCCAAAAATTCTATTCTAAAATATATGTTTGTATATTTATTGCAATTTCAATGACCAGTTATGTCGTTTCTAACTATTAGATAAAATGCAGACATGCATACTCATTCAGAAACATCTTTGCACTTTCTTCCACTCATTGCCACAGGATACAATTTCTTGAAAGTGAAATACAGGCAATGAACAGATGACATATTGGGTTATCTTGTCAAACTGATCTTCGGGTAATCCAAATAGGCTGCTCCACTACAGGTGTGACGGCTTGCTTCTGGAAGCTTCTATGTTTGAGGAGCCTGGTGAAGGTAGAATCCTAAGAGGAGGTGGGGTGACCGACGCCCTGGGTAGACAGCTCCCTATGGACCTGGGGGTGCGGTGGACCCTCCTCCCGTGATTGCGTTATGTTGTTGGCACAGACACACTTCAGGAAGGGAGAATGTGCTCAGATTGTAGGACCTCACCAGACGGGCTCTTCTAGGGGCAGAGTTCTTACTGGTCAGAGATTGAAGGCCTGAGAAAGACTGGATGTGAGGGAGAGCCTTTGTAGCTGTCTTGGAAGATGAAGAAAGACACAGAACATGGAACACAGGGCCTCTGGACGCTGAGAGCCCACAGCCAGTCAGGAAACATTCAGCTGCGCAAATGCAAGAAACGTATTTCTGCCACCACTTGAGTGATCTTCCAAGTGGATTCTTCCCGCGCCTCCAGGTGAGAAAGCAGCCCGCTGCCACCCTCAGGGTGAGGCCACGCCCGTACCTGAACTGCAGAAATCGTGTTGGAATAAATGTGTGCTGTTTTGGGCCTCTATGTGTGGAATAATTTATGTTGCAATAAAAAGAAATCATTATAATTGCCAATCTTCTTAATTCTTGCACATCTAACAGTCAAAATGAAACAAAAAAAATCACTCATTGTTTCCATTTTCATTCATTTGATCATTACTCAGTAGAGAATACTTTTTTTTTTTGGTAATTTTTTGACCATTATATTTTATATTTTTTTAAAGTTCATGTTCTCATTTTTCTTTGGTTTTATTCAATTTTATTGAAAGTTCTTTGTACAATAATTTATTAGCCACTTGTCAGTCATATGTATTTCAAATGTCTTTTATAGTCTATGAATTGAAACATCTTAATCTTTATGAACTGTGGCCTAGAAAAGTCCTCTCTATTTTCTGTTAAAATTGATTTATTTTTCTAAAGTTTGAATGATTTCATTTATACATAGAGCTACTAATTTTCTAATCTGTAGCTTTGCTTCATTTATACATGTAAGTATTTGCTTCCTATTCTAGAGTGAATCTGTGTTGATCTCAGTGTGATCCTGTTTTAAGATGTCACCCTCTCAGATGGCTACCCAGTTTTCTGAGTGTCATTTATTAAATACTTTGCTGGGTAATTATTTTCATTATTTTCTCCACTAATTTTTTTTTGCTGATTTAAAATTCCAACTACTTTCTATGTTAAATCATCTGGTAGGTGGGTATCTATTTCTGGACATGCTGTTCTTTCTGTTTACATGCATGATTTCCTATGCCAAGTCCATAGTGCTTTAATTGAAATAACAATAATATGTTTTCATATCAAATGCATTCAAGTCATTTTCCTCACTCTATTTGCAAAGTTTTCATCAGAGACAATAGGACTTTTGTATTTATTTAAGAACTTTAGCATCATTTTAACTAACTTTAAGAAATAGCACTGGGAATTTGGGAGGGTTGCATTTCATTTTTACAAAAAAGAGTGGAAAAAATTAATTTTATGATTTTATTTTTCATTAGGAGAAGAGTTGACTGGGGAGATTTTTCCAAGCCAATTTTGTCTATTCTTAATATTATCTGACACTTGAAGGCAAATACTGGGTTTTGCATTACTCTGAATTAACATGATATTTATGTTCCCATTAATACTGAAAAGTGGGCACCACACACACACCTATATATATACATCGACCAGTATTCAGATATTCGGCAAGCTGTGCTAACCAATACGATGCTATGCACTGAAATGGAAGAACCTCATGCCTTCACTCCAAGTGGAGATGAAAAGTTCAGATTCTTGGCATCGTTTCTCTGCCACATCTGCTTCCCTAGTGCTAATTAAAATTGGGATACTATTAAAAGGAGGCCCACAAATGAAACATCTGAGGGTGTTCCAACAGCTCTTTAATTTGGGCTGGAAACCCAGGCACACATGCACATAAACACCTACGCCAAGAACTGTGCTCTTCCAAGTATTTTGACCATGACATGACAAGCTTGGTGGAACATTTTCTGGTTCATATTAACATAATATTCTTTAAAATAATACCTCCTTGGCATATTGATTTATTCTATGACTGGTTTAAAAAAATTCTGAAGCTTGTTCTTAGCTATGCTTTTTTAGAGGGTGATAATTAATTGTTAAAATCTTCATTGTTGATTCTAATTCAGAGCATTTGTTTTGTGGATTGGTTTGATATATTCTTCGGTTCCATACTCCTAGTTTGGTCAGCTTAATAGAGAAAATCATTAATTGGACTCTTCCATGTAAAAGTTTGTAAACAAAACTTTCGACCTCTAATTGTAATAGTTTGAATCTGTGCAGACATAGACTCCGGAAGAATTGATCTCAGATGCCCTGAGACTCGAGACTTTCTGCCATTCACTCTTACTCTTGAACCTTTCTGAGGTACTATTGATTTTCTTCTAAAAAATAACTTAGACGAGCATTGTATGGAATGCATTATCCAGAAAATCATTTACCATGCTTGTTTTCTGTTAATAGACCAGTGGATTATACATGCGCATTTCTTTTACTGGAAGGGTTGCTTCCAGGTGTCATGAGGAGTAAAACAGTAGAGATCAACTGAGGGGCACAGGAGTTTCAATTATGTGCACATGGTGCAGTGTTCTGTGATAGATGCTGCCTTCATAACTGGACAGGTTTGGTGACCAAATTATAAATATATGAAATGACGTATTTGCAATGAATCCATGGAGTAGAGTTCAGATGGACTGTCTGCATTTAGGCTGTTTTGATGTCAGGTGAATTAGTGGCTGTAATGGTGTTGATGAATGGTAGTTTTTTTGCTCACATTTTCCAAAAAGCCTTATGCATTCAAATGGAATGAATATTGCATTTATTTTTAAATTTGAAAATCATGTGAGAAATAATCCACTTGAGGTTGAAAATTACTTTGGGGCATATGGCTTGAGTTTCTATTTTTAAAAATGTATGTTAGACATACATTTTATCATTTTATTTTTTATTTTAAGTTCTGGGATACATGTGCAGAATGTGCAGGTTTGTTACATAGGCATACATGTGCCATGGTGGTTTGCTGCATCTGTCAACTCACCATCTTGGTTTTAAGCCCTGCATTCATTAGGTATTTGTCCTAATGCTCTCCCTCCTCTTGCTCCCCACCCCGTGATGGGCCCCGGTGTGTGATGTTCCCTTCCCTGTGTCCATGTGTTCTCATTGTTCATCTCCCACTTACATTTTAATGATCCTTTCAGCATGAAATTATATACATACTAATATATTTTGGATATTTGTCCCTGGCCAAATCTCATGTTGAATTGTAATGCCCAATGCTGGAGGTGGGCCTGGAAAGAGGTGTTTGGATCAAGCGGGTGGATCCTTCATGGCTTGGTGCTATCTTCATGATAATAAGTGTTTTTGAGACCTGGGTGTGTGGCATCCCCACCCACCTCTTGCTCCTGTTCTGGCCCTGTGACAGTGTGACATGGTTATTCCCCCTTGGCCTTCTGCCATGATTAAAATCTCCCTCAGGTCTCCCCAGGAGCTGAACAGATGCCAGCACCATGCTTCCTATAAAGCCCACAGAACCATGAGCCAATCAAACCTCTTTTTCTTATAAATTACCCAGTCTCAGGTATTGCTTTATAGCAATGTAAGAATTGCCTAATACAGAAAATTGGTACCAAGGAGTGGGACATTGCTATAAAGATACCTGGAAATGTTGAAGCAGCTTTGGAACTGGGTAACAGGCAGAGGTTGGGAAGGTTTGGAAACCTCAGAATAAGAAAGGGAGATAAAGGAAAGTTTGTAAATTCTTAGAGACTGGGTAAATAGTTGTGACAAAAATGCTAATGGTGATATAAACAATGAAGACCAGGCTGATGGGGTCTCAGATGGAAATGAGAAACTTCTTGGGAATTGGAGCAAAGGTCATGTGTGTTATGCCTTAGTGAAGAGCTTGGCTGCATCTTTCCCCTTCCCTAGGGATCTGTGGAACTTTGAACTTCAGAATAATGAGTTGGGTATCTGGTTAAAGAAATTTCAAAGCAGCAAAACATTCAAGATGTGGCCTGGCTGCTTTATACAGCCTATGTTCAAATACAGGAGCAAATAAATGACTTAAAGTTGAAATTTACATTTAAGCAGGAAGCAATGCATAAAAGTTTAAAAAATTTGCAGGCTGGCCGTGTGGCAGAGGAAGAAAAAAGCTTTTTCAGAAGAGGAGTTCAAGAAGGCTGTGGAGCAGCTACTTGTTAGAGAAATTTACATGACTAAAAGGGAGCTAAGTGCTAATATTCCAAAACAATGGGGAAAAGGCCTTGAAGGTATTTCAGAGACCTTTATGGCAGACCCTCCCATCAGAGACCTAGAATCCTGGGAGGAGAAGATGATTTTGTGGGCCAGGCCCAGGGCCCTACGGCCCTGTGAATCCTCAGGATGCTGCTTTCCGCATACTGGCTGTTCTGGCTCCATCTTTGAATCACAAGTGCCCAGGTGCAGCTCAGACCCCGTTCCGAAGGGTGCAAGCCATACACCTTGACAGCTTCCGTGTGGCGTTAAGCCTGTAGGTGCGCAGAATGCAAGAATGAAGAGTACCTGATAGCCTCTACCTAGATTTTGGAGTATGTATGAAAAACCCTGGGTATCCAGGCAGAAGCCTGTTGCAGGTGCAGAGCCCTCACAGAGAACCTCTACTAGGGCAGTGCCAAGGGAAATGTGGGGTTGAAACCCCATGCAGAGTCTCCAATGGGGCACTGCTTAGTGGAGCTGTGAGAAGGGATCACTGCCCTCCAGACCCTGAGAATGGTAGATCTACAAGCAGTTTGCCCCCTCAGCATGAAAAAGCCACAGGCACTCAACTCCAGCTGCTGAGATCAGCCTTGGGGGCTGCTCCCTGCAAAACCACAGAAGCAAAGCTGCCCAAGGCCTTGCGAAACCACCCCTTGTAGTGGTGTGCCCTGGATGTAAGACAGAGTCAAAGGAAGTTATTTGGGAGGTTTAAGATTTACTGACTGCCCTGCTGGGTGTCAAACTTGAATGGGGCATGTAATCCCTTTCTTTTTCTTTTTCTTTTTTTTTTTTCAGACAGAGTCTCACTCTGTCACCCATGCTGGTGTGCAGTGGTGTGATCTTGGCTCACTGCAACCTCCACCTTCCAGTTTCAAGTGAGTCTCCTGCCTTAGCCTCCCGAGTAGCTGGGATTACAGATGCCTGCCACCACACCCAGCTAATTTTTGTATTTTTAGTAGCGACAGGGTGTTCACCATGTTGGCCAGGCTGGTCTCAAGCTCCTGATCTCGTGATCCACCTGCCTCAGCCTACCAAAGTGCTGAGATTACAGGTGTGAGTCACTGCGCCCGGCCCAGCCCCTTTCTCTTGGCCAATTTCTCCCTATTGGAATGGGAAAGTTTGCCCAATACCTATATCTCCATTGTATCTTGGAAGCTACAAACTTATTTTTGATTTTCCAAGTTCATAAATGGAAGGGATTTGCCTTGTCTCTCCTTGTCTCAGATGAGGCTTAATACTGGAATGAGTTATGAACTTTTGGCTTCTGTTGGGAAGACATGATTTTATTTTGCAATATGAGAAGGATATGAGAATTGGGAGGGGTCAGGGGAGAAATAATATAGTTTGGATATTTGTCCCTGCCCAAATCTCGTGTTGAATTGTAATCCCCAATGCTGGAGGTAATGTCTGGTGGGAGATGTTTGGATCATGGGGGTGGATCCCTCACGACTTATTGCTGTCTTCATGATAGTGAGTTCTCACGAGATCTGTTCAGTTAAAAGTGTGTGGCACTTCCCCCTCAACTCTGTCTTGCTCCTCTTCTGGCCGTGTGAGAAGCCTGCTCCCCCTTGGCCTTCTGCCATGTTTGAAAGATTCCTAAGGCCTCCCCAGAAGCCAAGCAGATGCCAGCACCTTGTTTCCCGTACAGCCTGCAGAAACATGAGCCAACTAAATGTCTTTATAAATTACCCAGTCTCAGGTATTTCTTTATAGCAATGCGAGAATGGCCTAATACACATGTGCATATGTATTTATTTATTAATATTATGTCATTAATGGAATTTAGAATGCAACAGACTTTTCCTTAGTTTCCATGATGTGAAGTGTGGGGATTTTTTGTTAGAAGTCCTGAGTCTTGGAGAGTCTAAAAAAGTCATGGTTTTCTACACAAAGTGAGTGGTAAATTATGTTAGGTGAAAAAGTGACATATTCTTTGAAGCCTGTGGGATTCAACATACTGCAAAAAGAAAAAAGAAAAAAGAACATGAGCAAATCTATGAAGAAAGTTTTCACATTTTTTAGAAATGACAAGAAGAAAATTACCACAGAGAGAAATGGTGAAAACTACCTGAGACAGTGTTTGAACCTCTGTTCAAGCCATTTTGAAAAATCTGAAATAATTGAGGCATTAGTGACACATGCAGTGAGATTTCCCTTTTGGATAGAAATATAAGGGAAAAGGCAAACCATAAAATATTTTTTATTTTATTTATTACAACAAAAAGCCATTCTGTTATTGGGAAGGAACACACACTTCAGAGCTGGACATTTGGATTAGAGTCTGGCTTTACCCCTTACTAGATGAACTCTGGATAAATCATCTAATATTTCTGGACAACAGTGACCCCTGAAAATGGAGGGTAATAATATTGACTCATATTGTTAGTATGAGAATTCAGTAAGATAAATTAGGTAATTACAGCACATGGAACCAAGGATAGAAACCATAAAGTTGTAAAATTATTATTATTAAACATTAATATTTGATATAAACTATAATTGTTAAAACCACTCGTTTATTGTATATTTCATATACAATCTAGTTAGTGAATATAAATTTTTATTATATGTTAATTGAAGAATGTTGATCAATGTTATTATATATTTATATATTATATACTATATATTATACATTAATATGGTGAGAAGGATGGTGACATTAGAGTTGAGCTCACTTTAGATCAGGAGTACTGGGGTTTAAATTCTGATTCTCAGTTTACTGTTAAATGTCTGTGTGGACCTGGAGAAAATCATTCAATGTTTCTGCTTCTGAAATGGGACTTGCTTCAGTAAACCAATATAATCTCCTCCAACTTGAAAGAAGCATGAGCCTGCAAGGAAGCTACAGTGGACTATGATGAGATGGCTATGCTTGGAGTGCGGGGAGGCATCGAGGTCAAAAGATGGGCATTTGAGGCACAAAGGAAGTGAGAGCGTCTGGTAATGATTTGTACATGGTGGAAATGGTGGAAAAACGTCACGATAAGAGACAGAGTATCATGGTATCTCCTGTCTCACGCATGGGGCCTGGGAATAACATTGCCACGCACCTTGTTGGCTGACACTCTCAGACAGGTCGAGAGGTGCATACGTGGGGTCCATTCATTCCGTAGACTGATTGTATTGACCTCTTGTTCTGTGCCAGGCCCCAGGCTTAGCACCTGGCACAGGCTGAGCGAAAGAGATGAGGTTGAAGGAGGGGTGGTAAATCAGTTAACCTCTGAAAGCCTTTGTGGATTTTCGTCAGTCTGTACCTCTTTATTAGCAATTTAATTACACCCATCAACTTCTCTTAACTAGAAGCTCCTACTTAGCCTGATCAAAGACACTACAAGTAATAATTTCATATTAACTGTTAATAACTCTGACACTTCATTCCATGCATTTTTGAGGCCAGAGGAATTGTGGAGAAATGAGCTTAAATAAGAGTTTCCAATTTTCTGTGTAGCTCAGTTTTCTGTTCTCCGTGGAGTTTCCATTACCATGCAATTATCAGAATTGGTAATCTCCCTTATGACCAGCCTTCAGTCTGTTTGGAATCTACAGAGCCATTTGACAAATACGATTGTGTCCTGTGTTTTTAAAACAGGTGATTATTGTTTTACTAAAGCTATTACTCTCTTGTCTGTCTGTATTTGAAATTCCTCAGAAATTAAGACAAAATATCACAAGGAAGCCATGATTACTCAAGAATTAAAGGACCCCCAGAGTCCACTTCAAAATACATGTCGTCAGTTCATTTTACCTGCATGCGTAATGAATTCTTGTTGGCTGCAGGGTCTGTTCAAATGCGTAATGGAAAAGTCAGCAAGAAGGGAGTTCTCATTTGAGTTCTGTCACTGATTCTCTGTATCTTCATATGTGTGACTTATTCTCTGACCATGTTGAGCTTCAAATAGAGCTAAAACTATGAGATTTTCATGGAGTCATTTATTTGAATGAATCTAAATCTGTTTTAAATAATTACTGGAGTTTGGATATTGAAATGCTTCATTTCATTAGCTGTTGTAGTAGAAAAGTTAATGAAGCGGAGTTTAAGTGCCAAGAGAATTGTACACGATGCTAGAACCAGCAGCCCTTGGAAGCAGGGACAGACCTCAATAGGCCCGCACTCCTTTGAATTGTCCTTTGGCAATTTCTCTAATTGCCAATAGACAATTTTTCTGTAACCTTTGGAAATATGGTTGGAAAGTTGGCCCATTATTATGAATTTTTCATTTAAATGACTGAACAGTCATTTGCCATTGTGCTTATAGTTTATTTAGTGCTCGGAGAAAGACTCTGGCTGGCTTAGTGGGTGATAACCTCAAAGCTGTAGAAACTACGCTCTTCACTCATTTTCATTTATAATGAGCCAGATTTTATGGTTTCTGCTACTTGCCTTTTATCACTAGGGAATCTAGTTTCTCAGCTTTGTTAATACTTTTGATTTATCCATGCATTTTAGTTTATGCCTAATTTTCCTTTTATATTTTGAGAAAATACTTATCAGATGCTTTGTAGGCTATCTCCTATCTATCATCTTTCTTTCTCTGTCTTCCTGCCAATCAACCTAGCGATTGATCAATCAATCTGTCATTTTTTATCTATCAATCTATCTTCCTATCATCTTCCTATCTTTCTATCTTCCTATCGATCTGTGTATCTATGTATCTATCATCTATCATTTTCCTTTCTATATAACTATCCATCTGTGTATCCATCTTCCTATCATCTTCCTATCTCTTTATATATATCTATCTTCCTATTGTCTATCATTTTTCTATCTATATCTCTCTGTATGTATCTATCTTCCTATCATCTCTCTACTGATTTAGCAATCTATCCATCTACCTTTCTATCTTTCTTTTGACCTATTTATCTATCCACTTATCTATGTATCTATCTTTCTATCTGTTGTCTGTCTGTCTATCTATCTATCTACCTATCTATCTATCTATCTATGTATCATATTCCAGTCTTCCTCTCTGTGTATGTTCCTATCTTTCTATCTACTCTATCATCTGTCATTTATCTATCACTATATATCTTTCTTTTTATATATTTTTCTTTTTGAAATTTAATGATAGACACATTATTTGCTTATTTATGAAATGAGGATTTCCAGGTTTATTTCTTCTTTAGATGTGCCTGTGAAGATTCTAGTCCAGGTACATCTGTTTGTTTACTTTTTCCATTAAGTAAAAAGTTAGCCTGACCCACTGGAGAAGGAAGCATGGGCAAACTCCTCCAGCCATGTTTCCCAGTGCACATGGAATAGACTCGTTTTCAAAGTTTTGTTCTCTAATTTTCTCCCTTCCACATTGCTTATACCCTGGGAATAAAAGGAAAAAAAAAGATTTTTGGTCCTTGATTCTGAAACTAAGCCCCTAACTTGTCTTTAATGCCTACTTTATTGAGATTTTAAGTTGGAATTTGCTTAACCTCATGCTGGTTATTTCTAAATAATCAGAATCACATTTTCGGAAAGAACCCATAAAGCATTTCTTGCAAAACCATGTAAGGATTTGTAATGGCCAACTTTGAGAAAATGCGGGGATGTTTTTATTCTCAGCAGCTGGTTTGCTTACTGTAGTCAACATTCTTATCAACCTTCCACGTTTGGATCATATGTTTATTTCTTCTTTATTTTCTGTGTTTACTATTCTTATTAATTGTATTAATCCATTCTCACACTACTAGAAATAACTACCTGAGACTGGGTAATTTATGAAGAAAAGAGGCCTAATTGACTCACAGTTCTGTAGGCTGTACAGGAAACGTGGCTGGGAGGCCTCAGGAAACTTACAATCATGGCAGAAAGCGAAGGGGAAGCAAGTCCCTTCTTCACATGGCAGCAGGAGGGAGAGAGCTAGGGGCGAAATGCCACAGGCTTTCAAACCATCAGATCTCCTGAGAACTCACTCACCATCATGAGAACAGCTGCCTTCATGATCCAGTCACCTCCCACCAGGCCCCGCCAATTCAACATGAGATTTGGGCAGGTACACAAATCCAAATCATATCTTTAATATGTAGCCAAACTTCAGATCAATGTTTTGAGAATTTATCAGGCCTTGAAAGTTCATTTTGTTGAAAACGTATTCAGTAACCTGTGTCCTCTAAGAGGCAGCTTGAGCTGTGCTTGCTGCTTCATTTCTTCACCTGTAAATGAAAGAGAATGAAAATTGAAAAGTACTGATTGGCTATTGTGCAGCAAGACTTAATGTTCCCTATCTAACTTTATCCTAATGACCGTGCATCTGTGGCATATAGTTATTATTTTTCATTTTTAAGTGTACAGTTCAGTGGTGTTAAGTACATTAACAAGGTTGTATAATCATCACCACTGTCCATCTCTGGTGGACTATTCTAACTTGCAAAACTGAAACTCTGCACATATTAAACAAGTTCCCATTCCTCCTCCTCCAGCCCCTACAAGCCATCATTTTACTTTGTCTCTCTGAATTCAACTACTCTAGGCACCTCACATAAGTAGAATCACATAGTATTTGTCTTTTTATGGCTTCACTTCGCATAGTGTCTTCAAGATCATCATGTTGTAGCATGTGGTGTGTCAGAATTCCCTTCCTTTTTAAGACTGAGTAATAACCCACTGTGTGTAGAGGCTACATTTGGTTTAGCCATTCATCTCTTGGCAGACACTTCGATTGCTTTCATATTTTAGCTATTGTGAATAATGCTACTAGGGACATAACTGTACAAGTTTTTAATCCTTTTGGGTATTTAGCCAGAAGTGCAATTTCTGCATCATATGGTAATTCTATTTTTAATTTTTTGAGGAACCACCATAGGTCATCAACAGTGGCTGTATTGTTTAACAGTCCTATTGACAGTACACAAGGGTTTCAATTTTATCACATCTTTGTCAGCACTCATTATTTCCTAGTTTTTGCTATCGTTTTTATTCTTATTTTGCAGAAGGTAAAACTGAAGCTGAAATAGGTTAAGTCACTTGTTCATTATCAGAGACAACATGTGCTTCTGGGCTTGACTAGTTTACCAGAGTATGCCCAACAAGCCCACTTATCAGGGAGGATGAGGATAGGCTCCAAAATGCAGATTCCCTTTGAAATCGGCCACAAAGAGCGTGCATAAAATCCTTCTGTAAGTTTTTATGATACGAGATTGATTAAATGCTTAGTGAGCCTGGGACTCTTGGGTTCCATAGGACATTGGTGGTTGGCATCCGAATCAGAGTTTTTTATGACACACAGCAGTGTCACTTTACGTTCCTCCAGCTTTTTTTCTCTAGGAATTTTCTTTTTATTGAATAAATCTTTGTTTTATATTCCGAAAAAAAGACAGTTTAAAAATGTTTGTACCTGTCTCTTTTGAACAACACTCTAAAAGTAGATGGGTAAAAGTCAGTTACTTGCACAGCTTTGGCTGAGCAGCCAATTTACCCCTGAGTAAACATTCTAGAGGCTTTATTTGCCAAGCCAGAGCCTTTCACTGTAATAATTAGCTGTTTATTTGCCAACCCTATTCTGCTGCCTTCTTTTTCATAGCTTTTTTGTCTGTTTCAAATTCATAAATGCTTTTTTTTCTTCCTTGGGTTATGAAGTGCTAGATATTTTCAAGAGGATTAGAACATCTAAAGATACTTCTCGCTCAATCCTATTATCCTCAATTTTGCATTTCATAGCTGCTGGGCTTTTTTTTTTTTAATGTGTTTTGTTTTGTTGTTGTTTTTAAGTTTGCTTTAGTGTCTGCAAAAGCCAAGTCATTAGTTCCCTCTATGGACATTCATTTTCAGACACACTTTTCTTTATCCTTTCAAACAAACGGAAGAATATTTCTGTTGCTGGTGTTTACTCCTTGGAAACACCCGACATCGCACCACCTACACATAGTAAAGAAAAGCAGTGTGACCAGTTCTATCCCCGTGGGTGGAGAGGTGGCTCCGTACTGCACCTCCTCTCTTGCTGTTATTTTCTATCTCAGCCTTCAGCATGGTATTAATGGTATATTGGATGATGGCTACATGTCAAATAAGATGTTTCTTGGTGCCTAATTATTCCAAGAAAATATTTTGGAAATCAAAGATAAGGGAGGAAAATAGAAAAAAAAGAAAGGACCCAGAAATATTCCCATTAATGCTCAAATTCAATGTGGCCTTTGTATTTTCAGAATCATATTTGAAAATGTATTTCTAAGTGATTGATTGAATGTTGATAGGTGGACATTGAAAATAACAGTAAATATACATATGGTGAAATAAGTCAGGTGTAGCCCAGAGACAGCACAGGAGAGTAACTGAAAGGCAGGCTTCGTCATCAGCTACTCTGATATCTGACCCCTCACAGAGCCGTTTACTAGTCATAAGAATGTGGGTGATTTGCATAATGTTCTAATGCCCACTTTTCTTACAAGTAATAAAAAAAATAGAGTCTATCTTGTAGGGTGTTACCAAGATTAAATGAAGTAATGCAATTAGAAAAACTTTTCACAATGGCAGGGAATTTGTATTTGATCAATGATGTCAGATATTATACTGATAAAGGCAGTAATGTTGAAACATAGAGATTTCGCTATAACTTTGTCATTTCTACCACCTGTGTATATGACTTTCTGAGTCATGGGGTCAGTGCTTTATTGTATATGGATCGGTGCTGGTTCGTGTAAGCTCAAGATGTCATATGATTGAGGAGACACTGTCAACCCCTGGCCAACTGTGGATTAAGCTTCACGTCTCCCAGTGTTTGCTCGAGTGCATCCTAAATTCCATTGACAGTGGCATAAGGGGATATCCACGGTGCAGAGAAAACATTTGATGGTAAATGTCCCGAACATTCTGATGAAAAGTAAAAATATTCTTTCATATTTATTTAGGTTTTAGCTGACCTTCATTTAAAAACCAGAAAAATGCTTTCTTTTACATTAAATCTGAAGGAAAATTATTATTTCTCATGACAAAATAATAAATGTGACTATTTGCTGCTGGCCTAGTAGGGTCCAGATGTTTTGCTTTGTAAACTGTACATCTGTCAAAGAACCCCTGCTGAGGAGGTATGGGTGATTTGTGTTTTGCAGGTGAGGAAGCAAAGGTTTGGATACTTTATATACATTGTCCGAGTCATAAACAAACAGACAAATACCAAACTCAGACTTTGCTATGTCTAAATCTATGTTCTTTCAAGCATCCTATTCTGTTTCTATAACATATTATAAACATTAGTATAAAATAACTATACAAATCTTTAGTTCCTACACATATATGTGCATATTTGATCATGGTTTCACACCATTGTTCACTTTGAGGTAACAAACATGAAGCTGAAATTGACAGACACTTCACAGCATACCCACAGCATCTCTCCTCCGGAGAGAGGAATGCCGTGTCATCACATGGCAGGAGGCAGGAGGACAAAATGGCATGACTCTGCTCCATAAAGCCCTTTTATAGGGACACCTAATCCCATTCACAAAGAAAGAGCTCTCATGACCTGATCACCTTTTAAATGCCCCACCTCTTAATACTATCATATTGAAAACTGAATTTTGGAGGAGATGCATTCAAAGCATGATGGGGGCTATCACCTGTATCAGATTTGAAATACCTGATTGTTTCCATAGCACAAGTTGATGGAGAAAGTGAAACATGAATTTAAGTCTCTGAAATCAAATTTCAAGTGCTTGTAAACCAACTTACAACAATCATGCCTGTGAGCAAGTCTAACTTCCTAGCCAAGTAAGTGGTCTGTTCTAATAGTAATTTTTTATTATTTAAAAGTTGTTAATAGACAGTGGCTCATGCCCATAATCCCAGCACTTTGTGAGACGAAGGTGGGTGGATCACTTGAGTTCAGGAGTTCAAGGAGTTCAGGAGTTCAAGGAGTTCAAGGAGTTCAGGAGTTCAAGATCAGTCTGGCCAACATGGTGAAACCCTGTCTGTACTAAAAATACAAAAATTAGCTAGGCACAGTGGTGCACGCCTGTAATCCCAGCTACTCAGGAGGCTGAGACAGGAGAATCGCTTGAACTCGGGAGGTGGAGGTTAGAGTGAGCTGAGATCACACCACTGCACTCCAGCCTGGGCGACAGAGTGAGACTCAGAAAAAAAAAAAAAAAAGTTGTTAGTAATTTTTAGGACAGGCTCAATGTATAGTCTTAGCTATGTAATCTCACAATTTGAATAAGGCATAGAAAGAGCCGGAAAGTACTTTATTCCAGTTTGCGGTAAATGTTAGAAATACTTCATGGTCTTCACTTGCTGCCTGCCCTTCCTTCTCAGTTCCAGACCTAATACCCACTGCCTAATTGCAGTACCCACTGTGCCTCACGATCCCACTGCTAAGATAAAACTCCTTTCTCCCCTGAATCTACTTGCCCTGAAGTGAATCCCGTTTGAGAAATTAGCATCTCAGTCTATCCAACTGCTTGAATCACTTCTCTCTCTTGCTTGCACATAAAGTCTTTCCTGTGACTCCCACACCCTGTTGGTCCCAGCTACTCAGTGGGTCCAAGTCCATCCACATCTTTCCCCTCCCCCAGTCCACTCTCCTCTCTCTCATGGGCTGCCCTACTGGGCTTCCTACGTCTGCCCCACTCAGGACCCTCTCTCCGTTCATCTCCTGATGGCAACCAGAGGGTTTTATCAGGTCACAAATGAGTTGGTGTCACTGCCCATCTTCAAACTCTGAAGGGTGTCCTGACGTGCCTCCTATAAGCTACATGCCTGTCACCTGGGCCCTGAGTCGTGTGTCCCCTCCTCTCCTCTCCAGCTTATCCCACAGCATTTTCGCTTCACAGCGGCTCACAAACAGCCCACATGACAATCATTTCTCGAAAACTGTTAACTGAGAGGCTGTCCTGAGGATGTTGCTTAAAAAGCATGAGTTGTTGCAGAGAAAAGCAGAGAAAAAGTTGTGCAGGGAAGGGAGTGCAAGGATCACCTTATAAAGACAGAAGCCCTCGTGTTTTTGGTAAACGTTTATCCTGGTTTTTTAAGGGCACTTTTTTTTTTTTTTTGATGTCTGGGGTGCCTGCTTCTTATGTTACTTTTAATATTTTTCCTTATTTTTTTTTAGTTCTTAACAAGCCATTATTATTAATAGTCGTGCTAAAATACGCTTTGATGGGATGGGGAGACCTTCATTTGCACTTGCAGCGTCTCCTATGGTCTCATCCAATAGTGAGGAGACACATGCGGGGAACAGGATTCTCACTTTAGCGCAGGGTTAGCGGAAAAAAAAATCACCAACACATCCTCCTTTCCCCAAACATGTCAACATCCAACATCACACCTTCCTTTTAAAGAGAGGGCTGGTTGTTGAGCAAAGTGCATTCAGAGAAGCAGCAAGGGGTAGTAAACCCTTCAGAATGGAGGAGGAGGTGGGAGGTCCCTGCAGGGTACTTGAGGCATTTGTGTGGATCCTGCTAGGACACTCAGCAGGGGAATTATATAGCAGGTGTTTGTAAACCGTGTGTGGGCAAAGGCTTAGCAGCCTCCCTAGGGCATTTAGGATAGTCTAAATCCTTGCTCCTCCGAGACCACGCAGCCTGTTAGAAAAGTAGAGTCTCAAATCTCCCCCTCCCCCAGATGTACTTCATCAGGATATTAGTGCCATCAGCATGGCCTGGGGATAAGGAGCACATTAATGTTTGAGAAGTTGTGGCACAAACATTCTTTCTAGAGGCCTGGTATTTATTGCATGGTAAATCGACAACTGTGTATTTTTTCCTGTCTTAGCACCTTATATGTTGCGATTAAACCATTTGTCAGCAATTAGCACCAAAAAGGATCATGTTTATTGAAAAATTAACTAGTGATTGTTTTCGTGTATCAAGAAAGTTGGTAATGCAAATTGTAATGATTGCAAAATATTTGTATATATTTACTGTCTACCCACAAATACGGGTCTAATATTCTGGTTTCATGGGCCTCAGAATGCACAGATCTGTTGAAGCAGCATTGATATTTATTTTTAAAGTACTAGTAATTTTAAGAAGACAATGCACACGGTAATTTAATACAGACAACTATAGAAAGTGCAGTTATATATAACTTTGTGAAGCAATATTTTTATTTAAATAAATATTTGCTAAATTACAAACAGTTGCACACAATAGCACTACCAATCAGATGAGAATAGGACTCGCTGGTTGAAGCCAATTTTCTGCTCTAGAGTAGGCTTAAATAGGTGCAGAATAAGAAGAATATTTGGGGTAGAACGGAAGAACCCAGAGAAAACTAAGGCAAGAAAGTGAGAATAAGCCGACTGGGCGGCGTGGATACTTGGCGAGGGTCTGCTGGCCAGGCGGTGGAAAGTTACGGAGAGTAGGGGAAGGTTTTGGTGAGGTTTGAAGACAAAAAATGTAGTTTTTGTTCAGTGTCGCGGGAAATAAGGAACCACTATAAATTTTTAAACTGAAAATGAAATTATGAAAACTTCAGTGAAGACTAATCTGATAGATTTAAAATTGAAAATACATAATCACAATAGTCCGGGCATCTTTAGTAATGGGATGAGAAAGTCTACCTGAATTCAGCAGAACCGTTTTGAGGCCTCAGCCTTTTAATGACTATTAGACTTGGGGAAAATGATATAAAAAATGTTAGCATCTGTAACTTTATCTGTAAGAAAGTCGAATAACGTTTGTATCTAATAGGCTTGTAGTGAAAATTAAGTAAAAAAGCATGATGTGAAAACACTATAACTATAAAATCATGTATAAAATAAGACATAATTACACATATGTACTTATATATGTTTTCTCAGACATATAGCTATAAGTGTGTATACATATATATATACACAAACACACACACATACCTGCAAATACACATATAGTTGATGATTCCCTTAAGTTAGTGTTTCCTAAGGTGTTTTAATGACCCTGATTTTGAATTTAATTATTTGATTATAATCTTACTAAATATATACAAACATAATGTTTTGCGTGCATATTTGTATTTGCAAGTTAAATGCATATTTAACTTACACAATTCAAATTGAGGAAAATAACCATTAAGATGATGATGTTTTTATGAAATTCAATTATTACTTGAAAAATTATATATGATACTCATAGGTATTTACCACGTGTGTGTGTGTTTGCGTGTAAAATGAGTCCATCTTTTCAACATTTCTTACCATATAAGCATTATATGGCTTATATTTGTGGAAGTTTCTGTATAGTCACTTATTCTTCTCTTGAAGCAAACCCATGATTTCTCCATTATCTGTCTCTAATATTTTTCTCTTTAGGCTGCAAAAAATTAACTGTTATTTCTTGGCCCAACATGAACATAAACTCAAAAACAAATGGCAGGCACTAATATTGTATAGTACAACCTATGTAGATAGTAATCTAGAATATTCTTATATTACAATTTTGATTAGCATTTATATGTGTACATATATTTATACTTCTATATACATATATAATTTTAATAAAAAATTCTTAAATACTTTGGAAATACTTGAAAATCCTAACATTCATATGTGTATACATATTTAAAGTTATATATACATATTCATATAAATACGTATCTTTAATAAAAAATTCTTACATTGGAAATACTTAAAAATCCTCAGAAATCCTCAGGCTGGCCAGGCACAGTGGCTCATGCTTGTAATCCCAGCACTTTGGGAGGCTGAGGCAGGAGGATGGCTTGAGCCCAGGAGTTCAAGACCATTCTGGGTAACATAGTGGGACTCAGTCTCTCCAAAAAAATACAAAAAATAGCCAGGCGTGGTGGCCTGGGCCTGTAGTCCCCAGCTACTGGGGATGCTGAGGTGAGAGGATGGGTTGAGTTCAGGAGATTGAGGCTGCAGTGAACCT
The DNA here is from genome assembly GCF_000001405.40 of Homo sapiens. Classification (NCBI taxonomy): domain Eukaryota; kingdom Metazoa; phylum Chordata; class Mammalia; order Primates; family Hominidae; genus Homo; species Homo sapiens. The sequence continues at coordinate 3,056,435 of NC_000008.11, read as the reverse complement.
GGACTGTGCCACTGCACTGCAGCCTGAGTGACAGCGAGACCTTGTCTCAAAAAGAAAAAAAGAAAAAAACAGAGAAACGTTTTAAGCCTGCGGAAACAAAGTTAACCACTATTTGAAGGATCTTAGATATCCAAAGAAGAAATCCCATGTGGGGTTTGTGGTATTAAAGGTTCAGACAACACTGGACGTCTCTTCTACTTACTTTTTTGAAATCAAACTGTTACACCTCTCATGAGATATGTAAGTGAAGTAAGCCATCTTACTACCTACCAACTTACTCTTTGCTCTCTTTAATAAGTAGATAACAGAGAGTTAATCCTTGCAACTAATATTTTTATTTGCAAATAAATAAGTAAAAATTTTATGTGTGTATGTGTAATACAAAACATATTCTGCCTATAACATAATTATTAGATTTTCTGCGTATAATAATTTGTCATTGATTGAATGCCTATGTCGTGTGGACAGAGGGCTCGCATTTTGTAAGGATGATTTCATTGAACCCTCCTGATTACCTTTTGACATAGGTCTTAATAACCTGAGCGTAAGAAGACAACGTTCATTAAGTAAGTTAGCTGAAGCCACACTGTTATTGAGAGGTACAGCAAGAACTGACTCAGAAGTCTGAGTTTGAGGCCTGTGCTCCCAAACAAAATTTAACTTTACAGGATCAATAAATGATTATTCGCCTAAGCTGCTGGGACATATAATAATACCTTAGTACAACTAAAGAAAAAACAACTGAGGAATTTTACTCTCTTTGGATATACCAAATGTAAGGAAATTCTCCAAACTGTGAAAGTTTCTTACATTGCCAATGCTAATTCGCATTTTTAAAAAAATAGTGATCTATGGATGCCTATCCTATAGCAATCATGCAAAATTTTGGGAATAAATGAGAGATGAATGAATACTAAACTTGAGCAGGAAACTGTCTTCATCCCATGAGCCTGATTTTAGTCCATAAGGATTATGCTGTGTCTCCATTAAATCAGAAGTGTTATAATTCTACTTTTGACCCATTGCCAACCGTTATTTTAAATCTACCAAATAGCCTTTTGTTAAGACGCTTAAGGGGCTAAACACTGTGGTTCAAAACCATAAAAAGATTCCCGGTTGTTGATCAGGCAACATAAAATGGGTTGTCTTAAGACCTGGGCAAGCAGGGGTTCACTTCTCAAATAAGCATCCAGATGTAACAGAAGGGGCTATAAAGATCTTCTGCTTTGGTCTCCCGAGTATGAATTGTTTTGTGATGGGGCTTCATCTGTGTTTGTAGAATGTCATCTTTCCCATTTCGTCCGATAGAAAAATGTCATTTCTTTCCCTGCTCTGCCCAAATGAGAATTTTAAGGAAGCTGAACACTGCGCACATTCCAGCCAGCGAGTGGGAGAAAAATTAAGGCTTGCGATCATGAACACGTGATTTTCAGAGTGAAATCTGAGAGAAAATGATGAGGAAGCTAGATATTGGAACATTGTGAGATACAGAAAAGAAAGGATGGGTCTCTGGCATTTACTGCATTCAGGAAATTAAGATGAATATTTTCCACATGCCAACAGTCTTCCCACAGATCTGTTGCTTCCACAGAGCCAAAGATGATTATTTATTATTTGAAATGCTTTGCCCCAAATGATGCCTTTATGTCTGTGGTTTTTCGTTTTCCTTCTACTGCAAATGGATTATTGTAGTATGCCATACACACATGTACTACACACATGTACACACACGTACACACGTGCGCACATGGACACATGTACACACATGTAAATATGCATGTGCACACACACACACGCATGTGTTTTTTGTTTGTTTTTGAGACAGGGCCTTGCTCTATCACCCAGTCTGGAGTGCACTGGCATAATTTCAGCTCACTGCAACCTCTGTCTCCTGGGCTTAAGCAGTCCATCCACCTCAGCCTCCTGAGTAGCTGGGACAACAGGTGTGTGCCACCACATCTGCCTAATTTTTGTATTTTTGGTAGAGACAGGGTTTCACCATGTTGCCCAGGCTAATGTAGAACTCCTGGACTCAAGCAATCCTCCCGCCTCAGCCTCCCAAAGTGCTGGGATTACAGGCATGAGCCACTGTGCCCGGCCCACATGTATTTTTGATGGTTGCAGTACCTGATCATCCATTTAAACATGAGACATTTTAGAGCTTGAAATTTCCAGGAGTTTGGATTTTATTGGGGAATACATTTTCTTTTACTTCTCTGGCAATTTCCCATTGTATTTATTTAATATTTTGGTAAAGAAGAAAGAACCAATACAGCAAACCAAGGAACTCCAACAATACCGGAGATAACCTGTGCTTTTGCAGAAGAGAGAATAGTCTCGTTTGGGAGTCATAAGATTTGCTCTCTGGCCAGAGGTTACTAAGTCATTGTGTCACCTTAGGTTAGTCATTTTCTTTATATGTAGAATTATGTGTTTATATACATTTCTTCATCCAGCCCTTCCCGCTCTATCTTGTTACACAGATATTCTCATTAGAATCTACATGGGAAAAATTTGAACTATCTGAATTTAAATCCATGGTGTGAACAATATCTTTAATACTGATTGAGTAAAAGAAGGCTCTTTATTTAGTTACCATAGAACTTTTCTTTTATGAGTGCAGCTGAAGTGGGTACGTGATTATTGAAATGTCACCCTCTGCCTGCTTGTTGGCTTCATGACTGTCACATGTAATCGTTTGAGAATTTTTTTCTTGTCCCATAGTAGATACATCTGGATCAGACATAGCAAATTTAAGAAGAAAGGGTTTACACAGAATTCTCCCCAAATCTTGTTTTTTATAAAACCTCATCTGCATGCATACCTCTTTCTTGCATGGTCTTTCCCGTGAAAGCGGTCCACATCCCCACTAGATGCTGCCTTCTGCCCTGGGAATCTTCCCCGAGTGCCTCCTCTATCAATTCCTTATGTCGTGTTTTCTTGTAACAGAACTTCCTGGGGCTTTAGGGAAAATGAATTGGGGAAGGGGAGAGGAACAATAAAAAGGGAAGACTTTTCAGAGCTGAGGCGGCTGATTCTTAGGAATTTCGACACCAAAGAGTCTACACTGCAATAAGCATTGTGATGATAAAGATGCTGCTTCATCCCTTCTTCTTTCTTTCCAATATGAGATGAAGTTGAGTGTGTGACATTGTGCTCCCGTGGCCACACCCTCTGATAAAATATGTCAGACTGCGGCTAAGCTGCATGAGAGTGGTCAGTCTTATCTTCCAGAAAAATAATTATGAAGAGCTTTTATTCTGACCCATTTTCCATTGTTCCTCATTTAACCTTTAATATACTTAAGATTTTGAAAATGTGTATACTTATCCCATACCCTAGAAATAGAATTCATGCTGGGCATGGTGGCTCACGCCTGTAATCCCAGCACTTTGGGAGGCTAAGGTGGACGGATCACCTGAGTTTGGGAGTTGGCAACCAGCCTGGCCAACATAAATAGTCTGTACTAAAAATAGAGAATTAGCCAGCATGGTGGTGTGCACCTGTAATCTCAGCTGCTTGGGAAGCTGAGGCATGAGAATCACTTGATCACTTGAACCCAAGAGGTGGAGGCTGCAGTGAGCTGAGATCGAGTCATTGCACTCCAGCCTGGGAGACAGCACAAAACTCTTGTCTCCAGAAAAAAAAAAGAAAGAAAAAAAAAGAAATATAATTCACAATTTTAATGAAAAATGGAGTCAATAATAATGATTAATCAATCAATGGTTTTAATAGCTGGAAAATAATTTCTGTAAGAATAAGCCTACATTTGTTTCATTTCTTTTCAGCTGTGTCCTGTGGAATCCCAGAATCCCCAGGAAACGGTTCATTTACCGGGAACGAGTTCACTTTGGACAGTAAAGTGGTCTATGAATGTCATGAGGGCTTCAAGCTTGAATCCAGCCAGCAAGCAACAGCCGTGTGTCAAGAAGATGGGTTGTGGAGTAACAAGGGGAAGCCGCCCACGTGTAAGCGTAAGTGTTCAGGGGCATCTGCCCATCTTTGTGGGTTTAGGTGGGAACTGAATGCTTTCGGGAGAAGTCCGGGTTCCCACGTTCAGAGGTCCTCTCCCACACCTTGTGAGGATTTGGTGTCTTTCATCATAGCAATATTAAAACCAATGTATTTCATATAAAATATTTTCAGCCATTTAGAATGAGCTATGCACTCTTGAATGTTAGGTGAATCCTAAATATAGACAGTATAGACACGATGTAATTTGCACATCACATCCTATTCTGTGCTGCCATTTTCAATCTGGAGGGATGAAATCTAGAGGAAATTGAGACATTAAGCCCTGCAATAAGACTGTACTCAAGATGTTAAAACATAATGTAACACAATCTTTCCTATTTATCTTCCATATAATTTTAAGTTCTTTGAAGTCAAAAGCAGTGCCTCATTTATTTGTGTATCACCTGCTCTGCATAACACATCGATGCTCAGTAAATAAAGCATTAATTTGATTTGTGAAGTGGGGTAAGTTTTCGAGAAAGCTATTTACAGTCTATAGTAATAATCTTAAAAGAGTAACAAATTGGAGTACTTTCTGAAACTCTAGTCTTATGGAATAATAGTCTGTTATGCAAAACCCACCAGAAGAATAGTTCCACTCACATACACACTAAATTTCTACAGCAAGATTTTCATTGCAGGTATATTAAAACTAGACTCAAATTGGAAATAATGTAACTTCCCAATTTTTCTAAGTTAAAAACTATATAACATTTCTGTATAGACAATGAATTTTTATGGTTCTATAATCTTTTTCATTTAATATATCATGTATGTCTTTACATGTCAGTACATATAGAATGATCTCCTTTAAAAAAAAACTTTATTTTAGGTTCAGGGATACATGTGCAAGTTTGTTATATAGGTGAACTACGTGTCACAGGGGTTTGGTGTGGAGATAGTTTCCTCAGCCAGGTAATAACCATAGTACCCAAGAGACAGTCTTTGAATCCTTACCTTCCTCCCACCCTCCACCCTCCCATAGGCCCCAGTGTCTGTTGCTGCCTTCTTTATGTCTGTGTGGACTCAATGTTTAGCTCCCACTTACAGGAGAGAAAATGTGCTATTTGGTTTTCTGTTCCTGCATTAGTTCACTTGGAATAATGACCTCCAGCTCCATCCATGTTGTAAAGGACATGATCTCACTGTTTTTATGGCTGCATAGTATTCCATGATGTGTATGCATCACATTTGCTGTATGCAGTCTACCACTGATGGGCATTTGGGTTGATTCCATATCTTTGCTATTGTGAATAGCGCTGCAGTGAACATACATGTGCATGTGTCTTTATGGTAGAACAATTTATATTCCTTTGGGTATATACCCAGTAATGGGATTGCTGGGTTGAATGAGCATTCTATTTTAAGTTCTTTGAGAAATCACCACACTGCTTTCCACAATGGCTGAACTAATTTACACTCCCACCAGCAGCATGCAAGTGTTCCCTTTTCTCCACTGCCTCACCAGTATCTGCTATTTTTTTACTTATTTACAATGATATTTTTGCGCCAGTGATACTAGCAGAAGGATTCACATAGTCTTCAATAATAAAGTCAGATCATTGGCTTCTTTTTGTCTACAGTATTTTGGTCATGTTAAAAATTTTAAACTAACTTATATCCATATACTTAGATATAAATAGACAAACAATTATGGAAGGCGGTTGAGTTCTTCCCAAAAGCTTTTATTTTTCTTTATTTCATCATTTTTATTGCATTTCCTGAGAGTCAGACAATATTGAATCAACATTAGTATTTCTTGGTTATTTTCTATTTAAGACGGTACTATTTTATTGCAATTAAGTAATAGTATGGGAGGCTAGGATAGCAAGATACATTGGTATGTTTTTTGAGTTCAGTCCTAAACAGAACTATTCTCTCAAAATAGGAACTTAACAGATGGCAATATGTATATGTTTGGGGTTGATTTTAATAAGAACAATGTCCCAGACATTTATGGACAATGTTTCTTTTGCACACAGCCTGGAGGTCATTCATAATGATGCCTCCATTTTTAAAGTCTGTATTTCCTGCCAAATATTTCAAATAGCTTATCTACAAAACTCATAAAAACCCTGAAAAACTGGGACACAAATGAGGTGAAAACTACTAATTTGCAGATTTGAAGTTGGAATTCTACTCCCTCTTGTTCTAAATCCTATACCCCTTTTATAATGCCAGTGGTTCTCTACTGGGTATGCACTGAAATACTCTAGAGAGATTTAAAGTAAATGTTAATGTCCAGTTTTGACCCTTAGGGATTCTGAGGCAACTGGTCTTAGGTGGAGACCAATCATCAGTTTTTTTTTTTTTTTTAAGTTCTCTAGGTGTTATGCATAAAATGTCAAGTATATGCCATGTTTTAAAGGAAAACCCACTTTAAATTTGTATACTATCTGAGAAAGACTTGCTAAATGACAAGGTCACTTTATAAAATGTAATTTTTATTTTCAGAGCTTTCGTTTCTTTGTTTGACAGACGTTGTTCTCGAGAGTAGTTTTAGGTTCACAGCAAAATTGAATGGAAGACACAGAGATTTCCCATAAAACACACCGTCCGCAACATGTGCATACCTCCCCACTATCAACACCTCACACCAGAGTGGGGTGCATGTTACAATGGATGCACCTACATTGACATACCATCATCACCCAGAGCCCAGCGTTCACATGAGAGCTCATTTTTGGTGTTGCACCATCTGTGGGCTTGGACAAATGTGTAATGACAGGGATCCACCATGATAGTATCACACTTAAAGTCTCCTTTGCCCACCCATTCACGCCTAAAGTGACTTTTGTGGCCCTTAAAGTCTCCTGTGCTCCACCCATTCACGCCTTCCTGCATCCAACCCCTGACAAACACTGACCTTGATCTTTCATCTCCATAGTTTTACCTTTACTAGAATGTCATATATTGGGAATCATCTGGCACCTAGCCTTTCAGATTGGCTTCTTTCACTTAGTAATAAGCGTTTAAGTTTCCTCCATGATTTTGCATGGCTCTAGCTCTCATTTCTTTTTAGTACTGAACAATATTCCATTGTCTGTATGGACCATGGCTTATTTACCCGTTTACGTACAGACAACATCTGGGTTGCTTCCAAGTTTTACAATTGTGAATAAAGCTGCTATAAACATCTGTGTGCAAGGTTTTTATACAGACATAAGTTTTTAACATATTTGAGTAAATACCGAAGGTTGAGATTGATAGAGTGAATGGTAAGAGTATTTTTAGTTTTTTAAGAAACCATCAGACTATCTTCAAAGAAGACTGCAGGATTTTGCATTCCCACCAGCAATGAGTGAGAGTTCCTGTTGCCCCACGTTGTCGCGAGCATCTGGTGCTATCAGTGTCTGGATTTTGGCCATTCTCATAGATGTGCAGTAGTATCTTATTATTGCTTTAATTAGCAATACTCTGATGATGCATGATGTGCAGCATCTTTTCATATGCTCAGTTGCCATCTGTTTGTCTTTTTTCATGAGGTGTCTGTTCAGGCCTTTTGCCCATTTTTAGCCAGGTTGTTAACTTCCTTTTTTTTTTTTTAAGAGTTCTTTATATAGTTTAGATACCAGTTCTTTATCCCATATGTCTTTTGCAAACCCTTTTTTCCTAGTCTGTGGCTGGTCTTTTCATTTTCTTAATAGTGTCTTCTGCAGAGCTGAGGACTTTAATTTTAATGAAGTTCAACATATCTGTTCTTTTTAAAATGCATCCTGCCTCTGTTTTTGTATCTACAAAGTCATTACCAAACCCAAGGGCACCACAATTTTCTCCTATGTTATCTTCTAGGAGTTTATATTTTTGAACTTTATATGTGGGTGTGTGATACATAATGGATTAATTTTTCTGAAGGGCAAAAGGTCTGTGTCTGGATTATTTTTTAGAATGTAGATATCCAGTTTTTCCAGCACCATTTATTGAAAAGATTATCTTTACTCTCTTGGGTTGTGTTTGCTCTTCTGCTCGAAGTTCATTGACTAGATTTATGTGGGTTTATTTCTGGGCTCTGTATTCTGTTCCATTGACACATTTGTCTACTTTTTTGCCAGTAACATAATGTCTTCTTACCTCCGTTTTATTTGGCTACGACAGAATATGATGTATCGGACACTTTTTTTCAAAATGTATTTAATATAATTTGGTAATTTGTAAAATTAATTAAAATAACATCTCCCAGTTTCCTACAAGATCGGTCTTGTTGGTCGCGAATATTTATACTGACCTATTTGATTTTAGGTCAGTGTCCTGACTGACATGGGTACTTTCATTACATTTAAAGCTAAATAGAAATTGTTTTACCTGAAAATAATTCAGCTCTTTGGGTATCACAGATACATCATCTCAGTGAAATTTTATTGTAAGCAATGATGTGTTACCCTTAGATTTCTTTAAGGATTTCTCGCACATGTGCCTGTTACTTCACAGATTGACAAAATGAACAAGAACCTTCAGTCTATCACCGTCAAGTTGAGGTGTTTGTGAATACATCCAGAACAGAATGCCTTCACGGCATAAACAGAAACTACTTTTTATGTCCCTATGAGCCATATTTCTGTGTAAAGGCCACACATAGCTGGGTTGAGGAATTAGACACACTCAAGTGTTTTCCTCTGCATTGCAAGCTGGTCTCTAGAATGTCCATGCAAGTAGTTTATATCTGCCAAAAAAGGGATTGGCATTACATAACCCTGAAATAAAGAGCCAACTATGTGAAAATTATGAGGAAAAGAAACACAATGTAGGTTTTAAGTCGTTGGTTGGGGGTAAAGGAAGGGAGAAGCAGAGAGTTTCGAAAAGACGGGAGCAAACAAAGTGCCCTGGATTCCATCAGGACAGCATGTGAGATGGTGAGTTCCATGGGCACAGCGAGGCAGAGACATTATTGGTACAGGCAGGAGCTGTGTACTCGCAACCCCTCACTGAGCGTCCTGGAGCGTGTGCTCTGAATGGGGCATCAGGCTTGTAACTACTGGTGTGAGACTGGTAAGTGATATCTCCTGCCCTTAGAGCCTGAAGATATGCACAGGACATGAAACAGAAGGCCGGATGCAAACAGCAGCGGAAAAGAATAACGGATGTAGATGAAGGAACACGGGAATCGTCTGGGACCAATTTCTACAGAAGAGATGGCTGGGGCGAGAACTTGGCCTGGCAAAATAGGAGGAAAATCAGAGCAACTCTTTTTTTTTTTTTTTTTTTTTTTTTGAGAGGGAGTCTTATACTGTTGCCTGGGCTGAAGTGCAGTGGTGTGATCTGGATCTTGGTCCACTGCAACCTCCCCCTCCTGGGTTCAAGTGATTCTCCTGCCTCAGTCTCCTGACTAGCTGGGATTACAGGCACCCGCCACCACACCCAGCTAATTTTTGTATTTTTAGAAGAGACAGGGTTTCACCATGTTGGCCAGGCTGGTCTCAAACTCCTGACTTCATGATTCACCCGCCTCGGCCTCCCAAAGTGCCGGCATCAGCCACTGCGCCTGGCCCAGAGCGGCTCTTTGAAGAGTCACTCTAGACATTTATCTAAGCTACGTGATTCAATTAGAATAGCAATCCTAGGAAGAAGATATTATGTTCCTTATCTTAGTGGTTTAATACAAAGAAAATAACTTGAGGTATCAAAGAATTTGCCATATGTGAGCACACAGATGTGGCTGGGCATCACAGAAACCTCTAGGGAAGTGTTGGAAGTCTTCAGCTGCTGCGGGGAAGGCTGCCTGGAAATGATTTGATTAGACACCGGTGCTTTGGGCATCAGGAAAAGGCAGCAATTGTGTAACGCTGCCAAGGCCTGCCTGGGGGTACACTGTACCGTGGTGGAGGGAGAATTCAAGGCTCTGTCCATTCCAGCAGCCTGTACATAGAGATAGTTCAGTATTCACCTGGTTTCATGATCCGTGGGGGCGAGGATCAGGAGACATGATTTGAGCGCACTGTTAGCTCTGAAATGTCCACGGAAGGGAATAAAAAGAAGCAGAGGTGAAGAAGGTGGGCAGAAGCCTGGTTTGGAGCCTTAGGACATTCCCAGCTACACACTGTAGGGTGGAAGGAACCGGAGGAGGCGTACAGGTATCTCCTGTAACCCTTAGCTCCTTTCTTGCTCTCACACTCATTCCCTCACCAAGCCCTGCCTCTGAAACACATGCGTCCACGTGGCTTCACTTCTGCACCACCCAGGTCACCACCTGAGCGCCTGAAACCCCCGCTGCCTCACCTCCGCTTCCCTTGTGTCTCCAAACAACAGCCAGACTGACTTTGTGAGCATAGCAATCAAAAGAGGACACTCCTCTGCAGAAAAACTCCTGAGAGTTCCATGGCGGTAGAAGAAAATTCACAAACTTCTCTTTATTTTGAGCTCCTTTCTCCAAAAGTAAAAGTCAGGTATGATAAAGAGGCCGACTTGGAGCCCCACCCACATCGTGTGTGAGTCCCTGTGTGCATAAGTAGGGCTACACACCATATTGGTAATTACTAGCTTAAAACTAACCCTATACCCCCTACTGTCTTCCACTCTTGCTTCCAATAGCTTTACACAAGTTAATTTACTTAATTATTATGAGGTATGTAATTTCATTATCACCATATTGTATAGAGGAAAACCAAAAGAAGGCATGAGTTGAGTAATTTGGTGAAGGTCATGGATACAGTAAGTAGCAAAGTCCAGAAAATCGGAGAAGAGAATCTGTCTTCCTAATTTCTAGGATATATTGCTTCTAGGAACTTACTAGCTCTCATGATTTTTAAATCTGATGCATTATAAAACTGAGAACACAAGCAGGAAACAGGTGCCACTTTAACATTGCATGTGGTTTATTCTGAGAAGTATTAAGTAGGTGATGGGGTCACCATAGGTAATAGACCAGTGGCTTTAAGGACAAGGCCTAATTTTCTCTAAAATCTTCTGGAAAAATCAGGAATAAGGGGTCTCTTGCAGTTCACAGGTAAATGTATCAATCAATAGAACGGTTTTGTGCCTATGTAAAACATATGACAGGGCTTAAGGTAGCTTCACTTATACCTATTTTTTTTTGTTTTAAAATACATATCTAGATGTACAATTGCTTTAAAGAAGTTACAATGACAACAATTAACAAAATTGCTTCTCATTGTAAAGAAGTTATTGCAGGTTCCATTAAATGGTTGTTAAACAGCAAAAAGTCAATTTGCATCGTGAGTACTCTTTTGATACCAACTATGATATGTTCAGTAACATGAGGAAATAAATGTAACGTTTATAATAAAATGGAAATCCATGTTAACATTTTCTAAGCATCATCTGAAACTTTCAAGTAAGCATTTCCTCCCGTCGTTCTTTAAAGTTTGTAAAAAAGAGATGTGGCTGTTTTGTTAAAATTCCTTGGTATTCAAGGGCTGGAAAACCGATTTAATTTTTATTCGGGGGATTGTTTTTGTTCACTTAATTTAAATGGAAAAAATCTGGCAGAGTAAGCATAAAACTTTACCTCTTAGCCAGAAAAATTTGGTTACCATTAAATGTCCAAGTATGTATTTCCCCAGGGCTCATTCCTTTGTATGATATGATGGTATGAAACAGTTTTTAAGTTTCTTTAGCAATTGCAGTAATATGTAGATCAGTACACTGAATCTCAAGAGATAAATACTTCAGCTTTGATAAATAGTAAATGCAAATGGTAAATACAATTAGTTCGTTTCACCCTCAGGTTTTTAGTAAAATGAAGGTTATAATAAGGAATTATGCTTCCATTTGCCGCCTTCTTGCAGTGGTGCAGATCTCCGAGGCAGATGTTTGAGGTCCCTTTTTTTTTTCATTTCAGTTATTTACTGAGACTGGATTTGGATCATCGAAGACACGATTCATGCTAATGACATGATGAAAGAAGTGAGGGCTATTGGTATTAACGGACTGGGTTTAACAGTCTGACAAAATGATGAAAGATGTGTATCATATACTGTGTATTTAGGAGAAAACAAAACCATTAAGCTAGCCTTCCAGTGAAAAACTAAATTGTTTATTTCTCTGGTGTAAGTGAGCAAAGTCACTACAGGATTAAAATGTCTTTTCTGGGACAAAGTAAAGAACAACGTATACACATCTTAAATGTGGTAGGTCACAAAAGTTAGAATGCAATCACCTTTTCATGCAACAAGAAAATAAATAAATAAAAATTAAATGCTTTACCCAACATTTGGCATTGATTGACACATCAGTAGTGTCAGCTTCACATATGAAGGACAGTACAGTCTGGTTATTTACAAATGCTCACTATGACATGGTATTTGGGCTAAAGATACTTAGAATATTATAAGTGTTTCCTTTTTGATTAAAAGAATATAACATAATCAACATCAAGCTGCTATCATAACTCATCTTTAGCTGTGGTACACCAGAGAAATAAACAGCTTGCAATGGAAGAGGATTTTAGTGCTTTTTTTTCCCCTGAAGTAGACATTAAGCTGCTGTTGTAGAGTGTTTGCAGCTCTTTCCAATATGTGGAGACATTTTTATTTATGAATATTTATACAAAAAAGGAATTCTGTCAAGATGACAGCTCTATATCACTTGAGAATGACATTATTTAATTAGAGAACAAATTGCATTTTTTTGGTAGTGCCTGTCCATACCTCTTGTCACTGTTTGCCTTATAATGTGTTTTTTGAATTCACTTTGAGCTGACGGTTTTGTCCAAGGTGTTGGATGAAGAGCACTTGAAAATAAACTGGTATGTTGTTTTTCAGTTAATAATATGTTTAATAAATGTGTGATTTTTGCATGAAAAAAACCCCTAAGTTCTAATCACAATATGTGGGTATTGTTTCTTTAGCTAAAACTACTACTAGTCAGTGAAGCAAAGCAGTCATTAACAATTTATTTATGTGGACCTACTCTATGCTGGGCACCATGAGGACTTTACATGATTAAATGCAATTTATATACATCATAAAAAAGGGAAAGCAAACCAGAGCAATACTAGCTTGATACTCATATCTAGTGATAGGTTTATATCACCAGTTCCATCTAGTCATATCTAGTATTTATAGGTCATAGAAACCTATCGCTATAGTGACCTATGGTACTATATAATCTGTATATATCGTTATATGTATATCACTTTATATACTATATATATCACCATAGTGACCTAGTACTGTAGGTTTACATGTACTATATTCGCTATAGTACTATATGTACATATAATCCTACAGTACTAGGTCATATCTAGTATTTATAGGTCATAGAAACCTATCGCTATAGTGACCTATGGTACTATATAATCTGTATATATCGCTATATGTATATCACTATATATATGTACTATATATATATCACCATAGTGACCTAGTACTGTAGGTTTACATGTACTATATGCATTATAGTACTATATATACATATAATCCCACAGTACTAGGTCATATCTAGTATTTATAGGTCATAGAAACCTATCGCTATAGTGACCTATGGTACTATATAATCTGTATATATCACTATATGTATATCACTATATATACTATATATATATCACCATAGTGACCTTGTACTGTAGGTTTCCATATACTATATTCACTATAGTACTCTGTGTACGTATAATCCTGCAGTACTAGGTCATATCTAGCACTAGGTTTATACGACCTATAAATATAAATAACTCAATGTAGAAAAACTAAGGTTATGTCTATGAGCACCAGGCACTGTTTTAATCATTTTACACGAGTTAAATCTCTGAGCTCTTATAACAAACCTATGAAGTACTGCTATCATGCCCAGAGTATACATGGGAGCTTGAGTACCTTTCCCAAGGTTGCTCGGTTGCTCCATGATGGAGTCAGCACTGAAGATGGTCCTTTTATGCTCATCCACAGGGTTACCCATGTGGAACTAGCGTAAAGTGCCCGTCCCGCTTTCAGCTGTGCTTCGACGGGATTCCCGTAAGCAGGTTTACAAAGTCAAACAAAGGTCCCATCCCCACCTCATCTAAATGCATCATCATCATGTGCAGATGATAAATACATTTAGAAAATACCTATTAAGGTGATAAAAGGAAATGTCTCTGTGCTAGATAGGAGGTACATATCCACCTCTCTCTTCTGAGGCTGTTTGCTACCTGCTTGGAAGAAATAATTCAGGCCAAAAGGTCAGTTTGGTACCTTAGCTAAGGAGATGCACGAGTCTCTGTGCTAGATAGGAGGGTGCATATCCATCCACCTCTCTCTTCCAAGGCTGTTTGCTACATGCTTGGAAGAAATAGTTCAGGCCAAAAAGTCAGTTTGGTATCTCAGCTAACCAGATGCATGAGAGACCCCTGGAGAATTGTCCCCATCACCCTCCTGCCTGGGTGGCTTGGGAACAGAGTTGGCAGGTGCTGGAAACCATTGTGTGATGATGAGGGAGGCTTGGGTTCCCAGTGGCATGGGAGCCCGCACAAAGTTGTTAAGGCTTCTGTGCCTTCCAGAGCTGATGTTTCCCAGAGATGAAGGGTGGCCAATAATCACTAACATATTCTGAAACCAAGAGGACCGTGATGTCAAAAGACATTTTAGAAATGAGCATAACGTTTGCGTGATTGTACTGTACTGCTTTAAAGCACTTTACACCCACAGACTGTCGGCTACATGGGGTTTACCGCCATTTGATGGCTGCCAGAAAGAAGCTGTGACAGGCTGGCAAAAACGCTGTGCTGTGTTGAACTATGAAGTTTATCGGTTTATAAAATAGCAGTGGATTGGCATCCTCATCTTTCATTTAACAGTTCTAAATGTATACTTGAGTAAAGATGGGAATATTAGCACACATTTCTATCTATGTATGAGTTTTTAAAATTCACATTTCTACAGATAGATGTGGTGCTGTTTTCTTTGAAATGCTACAAGCATGTAACAACCAAAAATATTTCTACACAGCCAACACTTACATTGACATTTCAAAAGAAAAAGAAATAACCTGATGCTATGGATAATATTACGCCTAGAAAAAATTTAAATGTTGCTAGAAAAAGGTTTTCAAGGTGTGTATTTTCATGTTAGCGCCTTTTCAAGCATATTTATGATATTACCTGGGATTCTTTATGTTTGGGATCAGAGAACAAGTAATACATATAAAATAGAAGAATTTGCTTGTTCTATATTAATATAATGCTGTAAAGAAAACAAGAAAAAATGCATTTTACGGGATATATTTTTGCTCTGTAGTACATATCTATTTAACTGTTAAAATAATATTTGAGAATTTTCTAAATTATTTGCTTTAACCCTGTAAAATTTCCTTTTTATTAAGTCCAAAAATGTTGAATGACATCAATTTCATGTAATTCAAAATTGTCAGGAGCTCTCTAATATTTTTAAGTTCTGCTCAGCCATTTTCATGTTGGTTAAGAAAATTATTATTTCTTGTACAGAAATATTGATAATTTATTTACCGATATGAAGAAAAATGCTTTGCAATATTAGGCAGAGAAAAGGAAACAGAAATATGACACTGGAACTTCTGTAGAAACATTCAACACGTTTTAAAATGTTCATGATGCTGCAAACAATTTCCATTAAATGTTTTATATGAAAATATTACTCAGAAATATTCTAACAGATTATTTTCGACAAAACATTCAAATCATCTATTAATTTATAATCTTATTATTATTATTTTGAGCTGGAGTCTCACTCTGCCACCCAGGCTGGAGTGCAGTGGCACGATCTCAACTCGCTCTAACCTCTGTCTCTCGGGTTCAAGCGATTCTTTTGCCTCAGCCTCCCGAGTGGCTGGGATTACAGGCACACGCCGCCATGCCCGGCTAATTTTTGTATTTTTAGTAGAGACGGGGTTTCATCATGTTGGCCAGGCTGGTCCTGAACTCCTGACCTCGTGATCCACCTGCCTCGTCCTCCCAAAGTGCTGGGATTACAGGCATGAGCCACCGTGCCCGGCCCAATTTGTTATCATTTTGTATATACATATATATGTTTATATGTTTATATATATAGATAGATAGATTTCAATTTGTAATCATTTTGTATATACATATATATATTTCTGTTATATATATATATATATATATATATATTTCAATGTGTATATGCTATCTACACCTTGATTTTCCCTTTCACTCAATAAGAGTTAAAATCCATTTGAGAAACTAAAGCTTCTCCAAGCTATATATTACTTAATAGTAGCCAGGTGAAGTTAATATTTTTGATGGGAGTGTTTGGCTGCATTAACATTTTGGTGGTGATATTAGAAATGAGGAAATAAACAGAACATAAAGTTTGGATGTTCGTTCCTTCTTTCAATCTTTCCATCTTCTCCAAATTCTAGAGCCTGACTTCTCACTCTGAAATTGGAGGAGGAAAAGTAGAGGTGAGAGAGAGGAGAGCCTTCTGGACCAATCCATAGGAGACTCCTTTTCACCCCTCAGTGGTCTAAGGACATCTCTGAGGTTGGAGTCACTTTCTGGATTCTCAGTGAAACCTGCTTGGAAACTACCCTTCTTTTAAGAGAATTCCGTGCTATGACTATGTTTATTAAAGCCAGATTAATTTTTAGAAGAGGAACACGTTTGGTTTGATATTGGGGACGGCAAATCTAATATGAATGCTGATATTTGGCAAAGCATGTATCAGTGCTAAACGAGCTTAATTTTTAAACGCAATCTCCTTAAATTAAGTCTAATCTCTGGGTTTTAAGGCCGTGCTGTAACTCAAGTTGCTATAGACAGGAAAATATTTTGAAAGACCTTAGGCCTGTGAAATGCCTTTCTGAACCCACATTTCTTAAAGGTTGTAAAATGCAGACGAGGTCATTTAGGGCTTATAATCTCAAGAAGTGCAAAATGCCTCCTCAGGTTAGTACAAGTGGTGGAAGTTTATTGTCATAATGTATGAGGAAGAAAATAAGGAGGAAAGGAAGGAAGGAAAGAAGGAAGGAACGAAGGAGGGAGGAAGGGAAAGAAGGAAGAATTGAAAGAAGGAAGGAGGAAAGGAAGGAATGGGAAGGAAGGAGGAAAGGAAGAAAGGAGGGAGGAAGGAAGGGAGGGAGGGAGAGAAGGAAGGAAGGGAAGGGGGAAGGAAGGAAGGAAGAAAGGAAAGTAAAGGAGGAAGGAAGGAAGGCGGAAAGGAAGAAAGAAAGGAAAAGAAGGAAGGGAGGGAGAGAGGAAGGAAGTAAGGAAAAGAAGGAAGGAAGGGTCAAGAAATGGTTTCAGGCACGGGAGTCAGATTTTGCGGGCTGAGAAGGCTAGAAGTTGAAAATTCAGGACCCTTCACTCTGCAGGAATCTAGGAATATACCTTCTTGTAATTCAGCTTCCTGTGTCTGCCTCACTCACACGGTGTTTACAGCAATGGCCAACCACCCACTTTCTCTAAGTACCCTTTGCTCCCACTCTGCTGCCTGGGTTACTTTCTGTCTAGATCTCTTCTGCGAAGATCCAAAGTACTCAAGAGTTGACCTAGTCTGCTTGTCGCCATCTATTCTTGTAGAATTTCTTATCAGTTTACCTAATCTATATAGTCACCAGCTCAGATGCCAACTGCTGGTTTTTATGGCTTGTCTCCATGATGAAGTTTAAGCCTCTATGTGGCTCTGGCTGGGTTCTCATGGCACTAACTGTGCCAAATCCGTAATAGCATTAAGGTTTAAGGTCGTCTTCATCATAATCAACAAATTACGCTTGAGTATGTGGATATATTCTTATTTAAAATATTGTAAGAAAAAATTTTATAATTAGGGCAATTAGGAAAGAATACTTAAGCGAATTTTTTTTTCAGCAAAGAGCTCTAAGGATATTCTTAATTTGAGGAATTGTCTAATACCCAGTTCAGCGTTATATGCAGTGCATGGTAAAACCATGACCTCGAAAAGCAGGCAACATGTGAAACCTTATAACATGTAAATAAAAACAAAACAAATAACCACAAGAAAAATTTTAAGGAACGTTTTAGAAGTAAATAAGGAAACAATCTTTTCAAAGAGAGCCACCAGTAATATAAATGCTGTGTATTGCTTTTACAATTAAGCCCAACAAGTCAAAGAATGGAACACTAAGATTTTTGACTTTAAATCTATGCTTGGATCAGTCATACTATTTTTCAAAATCCTTCCCAGGGGTTGGATTAGACTCATTTTATGTAATTAAAATATCAGGCATTTCATGAAATTTAAAAAGTAGCTTTGATATTGAACTCAGGTAATAAAGTTGCAAAACTTCAAAGGCCTATTTGCTGGTATCACTAACTGGATGAGGTGAATTTAGTGTTGGTCTTGTCTCGCTGAGATCAGATTCCATGGCTGGTTTGCCTTTAGGCTACCGATAGCGTTGGAACACTATTTATTTAACATGGCTATAGTTAGTTATTT
Organism: Homo sapiens; assembly: GCF_000001405.40. Lineage (NCBI taxonomy): Eukaryota > Metazoa > Chordata > Mammalia > Primates > Hominidae > Homo > Homo sapiens. The sequence continues at coordinate 3,038,100 of NC_000008.11, read as the reverse complement.
AAATATTCCAGGATCTAAGTCTGCTCAAATATATGTATTTTAAAATAACCATAGTATAAAAAATAAGAAAGCCGGGCCAGAGAAATATAGATGCCCGATTTTCTGAAGGTTTTAGAAGCTTCACAAATGGAAAAAACAGTAGTGGCAGGAATAAGGAAAAGTCTGGTGATTCGAAACCCTAAGAATATGACAGTGTTATGAAGGTCTAGATTCAGTTGGAAATCTTGGGGAAGAAGAAGCTAGAACTTAATGCCTTGAGACCTTTTTGTCTAATGTTTCTAAAAAGCTAGTCACTCTCAGGTGAGCCCATAAATTACTTCCTAGAAGTTAACTTTAAAACTCTATTAATTGGTCATCTACTCTTATTCTAGATAACTCATTTAGGAATCATTTCGTTAAGCTGTAAGGGTAAAGCAAAAATCCAAAAACAACTTTTGTCCTTAAGAATCCCATATCCTCTTACCGTCCGCTCCAGCAGCCCTACTACGGGGCATCTACCCAAAAGAAGAGAAGTCACTCTGTGGAAAAGACACATGCACACCCATGTTTATAGCAGCACAGTTTGCAATAGCAAAGATATGAAATCCACACAGTGCCCATCAACCAATGAGTGGATAAAGAAAGTGCGGTATAGGGAGGCCGAGGCGGGCGGATCACGAGGTCAGAAGATCCAGACCACCCTGGCTAACACGGTGAAACCCCATCTCTACTAAAAATACAAAAAAAAATTAGCTGGGCTTGGTGGCGGGCGCCTGTAGTCCCAGCTACTCGGGAGGCTGAGGCAGGAGAATGGCGTGAACCCAGGAGGCGGAGCTTGCAGTGAGCCGAGATCCCGCCACTGCACTCCAGCCTGGGCCACAGAGCGAGACTCCGTCTCAAAAAAACAAAAAAAAGAAAGTGTGGTATATATGCACTATGAAATACTGCTCAGCCATAAAAAGGAATGAAATAATGTCTTGTGCAGGGACTTGGATGGAGCTGGAGGCCATTATTCTAAGTGAAGTAACTCAGGAATGGAAGACCAAATATCGTTATGTTCTCACTTTTAAGTGGGAGCCCATCTATAGGGATGCAAATGCATAAGAATGATACAGTGGACTCTGGGGACTCAAGGGGATGATAGATAGGAAGATGGGTGAGGGATAAAAGACTACATATTGGATACAGTGCACACTGCTTGGATGACAGGTGCACTGAAATCCCAGAAATCACCCCTAGATAACTTATCCATGTAACCAAAAACGCTTGTACCCCAAAAAGCTATTGAAATAATTTTCTAAAAGCCAAAAAGAAAAGAATCCCATGTTCTTGATTTTGTCTTGGTGGACGGGTTTTTTAAGAGAGGATTGTTGAAATTCGATGGTATGAAACACATTTAAAAGGTCTTAGTATCCTAGTTTTCCCCAAAAACTTTATATTTATTTTTTACCCAAACCAAAGTTGTCTTGTTATTTAGGCTTCTAAGGTACTAGAACTAACACCAGTTTTTCTCTCGCGTGTCCAGTAAGCACAGGTTTTTAGTGCTAGACTGCACACTTTGCTTTAGTTGTGTGTATGAGGAACAGTTATGAGGCTGATTAAATCAGTTTACTCCAATGACATCTAATCATAATTTTATAAATCTCATTAAATGTGCTTCAATTAAAGTTGGTTATAAGAAGCACTTACCCACATTGAGTACGATAGGGGAGACTTCTCTGTTAAGAAACAAAACAAAGCAAAACAAAACAATTGCATCCAGAATCTAGGGGCTGATTAGAATATCACAGAAGATTTATGATAAGTTTCTGAAATTTTTGAGAGAGAAGGGCAAAGGGCTTTATTTATGGTAATCTCACTTCCCTTGTCTAAATATCTTAAAGCAATGTTTATTCTTCTATCCTGTCACTGGCTGAATGAGTCTATAATAAATCAGAATTACTCACGGCCAAATTAAAGGCTGATATTTCTTAAGTAAAATGCAAAGTATTTTGTGTTGTTGCTGAAACACTCACAAGTCAGGGCAATGTGTCTTTTATGCACAGGACTATATATTGTTTATACTTTCAACTGATCTGGATTTGGGAAGCATAATTTAAGGTTTTTAGAACAAAAATGTGTCAACCATATCAACATAGTCAATGGTATTAACCATGTCAAATATTTTGAAATGATCTCCAGTAAATGTTCTCCTGAATTTGTGAAAATTGAAGAAAATTATTCCTTTATAGTTGTTTTCTTTAAGGTAATAGAAGGTAGCCTGTATTTCCTTAAAAATAAAAAAGAAGAAATATAAGGTAAACTGGCAAGTTGAACAATGTCTGTCATGCCAGCTAAACCCTTATGTTTTTGAAAACATTTAATTTTACAAAACTTGACCTGGCAATTTATTCACTTATAATTGTTAAAAATATTGATTTATAAAGTTTATATTAGCAAAACACTTTCTTTTGCTACATTTTCCCAGGTTGACCAAAATTTTAAAACATTCAAGGAGTTTGTTATTCATTTGATATCTGTATGCTAGTATGTTTGGAGCTCTTGTCGATTCAATTCCTGAAACTATGCTTGGAGTTACTCATTTTAGTCATTTGTAGAATAAATCAAATTTTCCCGTATTGTTTCTAGTGTTCAGGGAAAGTGACAAGTCAGAAACACAACATGATGTGAGACCCACAGATGGAAATTCTGGCTTGGTTGGGGTGAGCCTGGGCTTCCTTGCTCCTCTGTAACTTGCAAATAAATACAAATAATAGTGATACCCTCCTTTTCTGTCTCAGTGTCGTTGTGAGTGAGGATCCGCTTACAGTAGAATTACATATACAATTACATACACAATGTGAAAAGAGCTTTTTAAACAGATGCGCGTCTCTGGGAGCAGCCGCGCTCTGCAGTATCTGCCTATGATGGTGGGGGACTGGGGAGTGCTGGCAGGTACAGGGAACAGCCCTGTATCTTAGGAGAGATCTAGCTAAGATATTTTTGTTAGAAAGAACCAAGTGTTTTCTTTAAAAATGTCAGCACAGAGGTACTCAGGCTGTTTCGTGTTGCCTCCTGACTGTAACTCCACTTTGTCTTAAGTCTTAGGGGAGGCGTGCATGTTTACTGCAACTGCCTTTGAGTGTTAGGGCCATCCCTGGGCAGAAATGAGAGCTCAGTAGAAAGCCGTTTCCGAGGCCCTCCTTCCCTTTCTCCACAGTGCCGCTGGCTCACGCTTTGCCTTCTGTGATGTTCGAGTCATATTTTTGCTCCAGTTCTTAACTTCAGCTTCATGTATTCTACCATCCTCTATATTTCTCAGTTTTATCTTATTCCCTAGTCTATAATGTTTAATGTCATGAAATGAAAATGTCCCTATAGACTATATTTTTACTCTCTTTTCACTTTTTCCTCTCTAAGTATGATATTGTGGGAAGAAATAACAAAGTAAGAACATAACAGAAGCATCCTAGTCTTCCTAAATAATCCCTTGTTAAACTATTATGCATTGATTTTTATAACCTTTTGCATTTATGTGTAGTAGGTATATATTAAAATTTATACATACATATAAATTACATATGTACATATATTTATGTGTTTTTATGTGTTTATATATGTAATGTGTGTTTGTATACATATATATTTGTACCTCAAGACAGAAGATTTTTTCACTGGGACTTAGTTGAACTATTTCCAGTTTTTCTTGTAAACAAATAAAGTCCTCTCAGCTTTCAGTTTTTCAGCCTAACTGTAAAATGATGTCTGTGCCTATCAGGCCACTACTCCTAAGTCCCTTTGATCTCTTGGTTGGCTTTTTCTCTGACCATTAGTAATATATAGAAAACCTGGAAACTATGGAAAACAGTTAAAAAAGGACAAAAAAGCATGGGCGATTTCATCAGCCAGAAACCACATCAAATCTTTTTCTTCATTCCAACTATTTTTCTTCTACCTGTTAAGAGAAAACTTTTGACACATGAAATTTAGCAGAGTTTATTTGAGTAAATAGGTGTATCAATCAGGCAGCCTTCAAATCCAGGCAAGGTCCAGAGAGCTCCACCCAGCAATGTGGGCAGCAGCACTGATAGAAAAAGGAAGGCACATGGGGAGGCAGCTGGAGGAGCCACGTCTGGGCACCTGCCCGACTAGGGGGTGGTCTGACTAGTCTGGGGCCCGCGATGGGCTGAAGCAAGGCTGCTGTGATGAGCTGAGACTCAACTCCTTGTTACAACCACATCCTCTTGAGTTGAGTTGCAGTTTGCTGTGTACTGAGTGAGGTTGCAGTTCACTGTGTAGGAATTCAAGGTGTAAAGGTAACTCGAAGCCAAATTTGTTTATTTATTTTTATTTTACTTTAAGTTTATTTTATTTTTATTTTACTTTAAGTTCTGGGAATCATGTGCAGAACATACAGGTTTGTTACATAGGTATACATGTGCCATGGTGGTTTGCTGCACCCGTCAACCTGTCATCTAGGTTTTAAATCCCGCGTGGTTTAAGTATTTGTCCTAATGCTCTCCCTCCTCTTGTCCCTTACCTCCCGACAGGCCCTGGTGTGTGATGTTCCCCTCCCTGTGTCCATGTGTTCTCGTTGTTCAACTCCCACTTATAAATGAGAACACGCGGTGTTTGGTTTTCTGTTCCCGTGTTAACCGTCATTCTCAGTGAGCCAAATTTATTTTAACACTACTTGTCTTGAGGTCTGAAGTCCACAATAGCAATACAATTGATACTACAGCTTGTCTCTTTCTAACAATCAGTAGTGCATGAACAACAATGCTTTATCTGTAGCATCAATTGGTGTCTTACCAATAAAACATTACTTTTGTGTTGAATGTAGATTATCAACAATTTTATCATATTGTTTATTCAATCAATGGTATATTAATAGGAAATTTGCATCTAAATCAAAGAGAATGTTTTCACTGTGAAAATGTGTGGTCACAGGAAATTTAAAAATCGAAGTTTGGTACAGTTAAGTGTTATAGATTATTCATAAAGAACTTTCAAAATAAAATATCTTTAAATTTTTTTTATAGAAACTGTAGCCTAGAATTAATAGTTGGAAGAGAACAAGGAATGAAATAAATTTGTTGAATTTCTTTTAAATGAATATTCAGAAGTGTCAAGTTGCCGTGGTATTATTCTCTTGGACTTGAGTAAAAGTGGTATTTTATTTAATGGCACTTTTACCATAATTTGCATTTCATATACTGGTAATGTCAATGACTTAAACTTATGAGGAAAATTTTAAATTTTTAATGAAGGGTATATAAAGAGATCAGTGTTTTTTAAAAATATTCTTTTAAGGGTGTGCAAGTGAAATTTTGCGCCAAAACTAAGCATTTGACTCTGAAGTAAGGTAGAGGTTGAGGATGCACAGAAGAGGAGAAAACATAGGGAGTTGGGGGGGTTGAGTGTAGACACCTTTGTGAGAGTGTATGTGACAGGGACTGCAGGAAGACACTGTTTTCAGGCTTCTGATGTCAGTGACTAGAAACCACGTACAGGCATGTGAATCAGTAGACTGGGGTAGGTGTTTGGGGGTTGTAAAATGTTCTGTTTTTATTTGAATTCAGTACCCTCTCGCGAGAGTCACAGTTCTGTTATCAGATTTTTGCCACATTATTTTATTGGACCAAGATAAAGGACATTCTTTGGGACAGCCTTATTGACCACAGCAAATCAGGGCCCACCATTCCGTGGGGGCTGTTGGCACTGTTTTTGTATGAACGCAGGGGTGCATGGAGACACAACTGACAAAGACTGTACCTTTTCTACCACTCTTTAGGGAAAATGGTCTGGCATCCTCTTGGTTTATATTATTTGGGATTTCTCCTCCCAAATTACGTCACAGAGTATTCAAACTCAGTTTTTTTTGTATGTTCTCTACCTATCATTCTTAAAAAATATTAAATAAAATGATAATTTGCACAAATTTCTGGAAATCTCCACTCTTCCACTCTCATCCTTCAGTTAACAAAGGACAAGATGGACTTTAATATTAATATTTATTGCAGTCCTCACTTTTCTTTTTACTCCTAATTTCCACTCATACACGTTTCTTTCCTCTCTTTCTTTTGTTGTGGCAATGTATTTTCTTGGCAGGCTATTTTTCAAAGCATACACACATATAATTATATTATGTGTATATATATATATATACACACACATACACACATATAGTGTCTAATTTGTCAGTCACTATACTAAAAAAATGTAAAAAGACAGTGTTTACAATAAATGAGGGTATAGCATAGCCAAAAAAAAAAAAGAGAGATGTGAGCAAATAATCAAACTAGCCTAAGATAATTACAAACCAAACCAAATACCATTTTCATGAAGAAAGAGATCATCATGAAGAACTTGGAAATTGATACTGTAGATGGTATCAGCTCAAAAAATTGTCTGATTCCGTTGTGTGAACCAAATTGGAATTTTTGGCTGGGTGCAGCGGCTCATACCTGTAATCCCAGCACTTTGGGAGGCTGAGCATGAGGATCACTTGACCCAAGACTTCAGGACCAGCGTGGGCCATATAACTAGACCTAGTCTGTATAAAACAACAAGGAAACAACAAAGAAAGAAAGAAAGAACAAAGTTGAGTCATTCTTGGCAGAAATAAAGTTTGTAAAAGATAGTTCAAGTTATTAAAAATAATTTTTTTTTATTATTGTTAGACTTTAAGTTTTAGGGTACATGTGCACAACGTGCAGGTTTGTTACACATGTATACATGTGCCATGCTGGTGTGCTGCACCCATTAACTCATCATTTAGCATTAGGTATATCTCCTAGTGCTAGCCCTCCACCCTCCCCCCACCCCACAACAGTCCCCAGAGTGTGATGTTCCCCTTCCTGTGTCCATGTGATCTTGTTGTTCAATTCCCACCTATGAGTGAGAACATGCGGTGCATGTTTTTGGTGAAATTAAATGCATTTTATTTGAAATATGCAGTCAGATTCAAGTTGAGTTATAAATTTATGAGGCTAAAAGCCTTTAAGGGCTTTTCAGAAACAGTTTTGCTAGAAATTGTAAGAGTATTTTGGCTGGAGAAAAATATTATTTTTATCATTAGGTTAAACATTTGAATCTTCTTATAAATTTAGAATAATTCCTTCAACCTAAAAAAATACTTGAGAGAAAGAAACCTAAGGATTACTTTTAAATTAGCAATTTTTCTTCCCATTTTAGACTTCATTGTTACTGTTGTGATGATATCAAAAAGAGCCACATTTTTCTGTATATTTTTATATAGTACTTGGAAATTACTGAGAAAAGACTAATCAAGATTTTTGTAAAATTTTGGTTATGCCTGACTCAATTCTAATAAACTTGTATAGAATTTGAATATAGGCTTGGTGTAGTGGCTGATTCCTGTAATCCCAGCACTTTGGGAGGCCAAGGTGGGTGGATCGCTTGAGGTCAGGAGTTCAAGAGCAGCCTGGCCCACGTGGTGAAACCCCATTTCTACTAAAAATACAAAAATTAGCTGGGCATGGTGGTGGACATCTGTATCCCCATAGTCCCAGCAACTTGGGAGGCTGAGGCAGGAGAATCGCTTGAACCCGGGAGGTAGAGTTTGCAGTGAGCCGTGATCATGCCACTGCCCTCCAGCCTGGCAGCCTGGGAGACAGAGAGCGAGACTTTGTCACACACACAAAAAAAGAATTTAAAATATAACACTATGATTCTGAAAATAGCTATAGTCTCTCCAGTTAATTCTTCCCAGCTCAATAAATTAATCAATTTGATCAATTTTCTTGGTGGTTGATTTTAATGAATGATAGCTACTAAATCTTCGTAATTAGAGAAATGGTTCTGGTTTCTAATTTTGTGTAATGTATTTTAAATCATCTTGCACTTTTCAAAGAATATGTACCCACATACAACTCAGACTCTGTATATATTTTCAGTATATTTAGAAAGTCCTTGAAGTCCACCCTGGTAATAGTATACTACTACTGCTACTACTGTTGCTGTCACTATTACAATTGCTACTACTCTTTCTTAAGTAACTGCTATATTCTAGGCCCTTTTCTAAGGACATGAATAGATGGTCTCCTTTAAGACTTGTTAAACATTTTTGGAAACAGTATTAGTGCAGTATGCCTATGTATTTCTGTGTGTTTCTACATTCAATGATATATAGATATATTATATATGTGTGTTTCATAGGTTTGAAGAAATGAGGGCATCTGAGTTTCTGAAAATTAGTGTCCCAGCTGGTTTGCAATTACACAATTACTATTCCAAGTTCCTCCAAGGATATTGAGGGAAATTATATGTAAGATTTTTATTTGCATATGCTCATTACCCTCATGAAAATTTTCATCAACTTCAATGAGCCATATACTTTTGTGGAAGTGATTTACCCCCTTTACAGTTCAGTCTGACTGCAGACTTCCCAGGACATCTGTAGTGAGGCAATTGAATGCATTTTACATATGGGATCATTCCCATATGTCTATGTGGGTGGTAGAGAAACACTGAGATAATACGTAATGGCATCAACTTTGCCAAACAAGATCAGTTTCATATAGCAAGACCTTGCCATCCAAAGCAAGCACGGTCTGATGTTTTCCAAAAAAGAAAAATGATGATGTGATGTACGTTTCCCTTCCAGCGGTCGCTTGCCCCAGCATTGAAGCTCAGCTCTCAGAACATGTCATCTGGAGGCTGGTTTCAGGATCCTTGAATGAGTACGGTGCTCAAGTATTGCTGAGCTGCAGTCCTGGTTACTACTTAGAAGGCTGGAGGCTCCTGCGGTGCCAGGCCAATGGGACGTGGAACATAGGAGATGAGAGGCCAAGCTGTCGAGGTAAGTGATGAGGGAGGCACCCCTGAAAGTCACGGCATCCTAGATTATTCTAGATGGCTTATGTCAGTGGTGAGCTTCTCTAGTGGAGCTATCATCTACCATAGTCCTATAGATCAAAAGAACAAATGGCCTGTCTTTTCATTGCGATGTGAATATGTATTGTCATGTGACATACTTAAACCACATTGCTGCTCGATTAGGCATTTGATGTTGTCTTTTCCTTGTTAATAATTGTATTTCTCCAACTGTATTTCAAATCAGCTCAAAGACAAATACAAACCTATGTGTAAAAAGATAACTCTTACGCCATAGACAGACTATTCAAGAGTTCTAATTGGGATCTTGGGAAATAGTATGAATGCTGAAGATATTGTGTTCTCAAATAAAGACTGTTTTCACAAGGGAGATGATTATTCTCTTAGGTACAAGATAAGCAGTTAAAGCTTTCAGTGAGTTTCACATTAAATATGGTGAAATAGAAAAATAAAACAATGCTAGTATTGTTCAGAGCACTCTGAATCAGATGTGTCTAGTATACAATCTTTACTTGATTGTTCACAGAAAATTATCATGCATAAAAACAAGTAGAATAGTGTATAATTTATAAAATACACAGCTTGGTAAGAATATGCCAGAATAAAAATTGAAAAAGACAAAAGCATGAATGTTTAACTGTCTTTGATAATAATTTTAATTCAACTTTTAATAGAACAAATGTTAATGAAACACGTACCACAAGCTCTTCACCAGGAACACAAAGATAAATCAGGAAGGATTGCTGGCCTCAGGGAGCTCAAAGCTTTCATAATCGTAATGAACATGGTCCCCGTTTCTCTAAGATAGCCCTGCCTGAAGCCTGTTTTCCAGGTGTTTATTAGTGATTGCTTGTCACTCTGAACGGTGTCCTGGTTTGGATGGGTAATGACCTGGTCACTGAGTTTGCAGAGCCGTTCCTCTTTGTCACACCTTTGCAGCTTAGGAAATGCCCCCCTTCCCGACATTCTTGCCAGTCGTGCACAGATTTTGTCACCTGGAGATTCCAGCATTAGCACCGGTAAGGAGAGATTAGGAGAAGGAGTCAGGAACTCTAACCTTTTGCCTATTTTAGACTCTTCCCGCCAACATCATCTTGTCGATTTCAAACCAGAAATAGGATCTTAAAAACAGACACTTATTAATTTCTTCCAGGTGGGGTTTTACACAGGGCTTCTGCGGCTGGCACAGCGCAGTACAGCGTTTTCTTGTCTCTCTGATTTCCCAGGGATGCCCACCTACGGTGTCCCTGTCTTCCCAGAGCAGGGCCGTGCCAAATGGTATTTGCTGCGTGACAATCTTCCATGCTCACAACTCAGCGTTCCCGAAGAATTTTCACGTACAGTGGAGAGCCTTCTCCTTAAGGGAATGTTAACAAAAACCTCATTCCTGAACTAAACTCATTAGTAGCAAGGCGTTGACCTCATCTTGGGAAAGAAAGCAAAGGTAGAGCTCTGCTGTCCTTGAACGGTGTTTCTGCTTCCAGCTTCTGAAATTCTAGAAAGTCTGTTTTCCTGCCTCTGGTTTTATCAACTGTATTCTGGTGTTTCTGACACGGAGCGGGGTCCAGTCACAACCCCCACACATCATTTATCATCACATGTCTAGGTGTCTCGGGCCACAAATTTGTTTTCTAAATTGTCAGCTGCCTGCTGCTTGCGGGCTGGGCACGAGCTGTTCTATCACACTTTGCTATTTGTCCCTTGAATGTCATCGTGTACACGTGGCATTTTCCAGAGTCACTGGATTCCAGCTGAAATCATTGTTGACTTTTAAAAAAATGATTTTATTAATATCTGTAGCTCAGGTTGTGACACTTTGGCCGGGGAGTCCCTTTTACACAGCTTTTTCATTTGGTCCCTCTAACATCTCTGAAATGGTCCTTGTTTTCTCATAAAAACAGGATGTTGTATGGTTATCTGGAATTTTTCTTACCCAAACACATTGTTCTCCAAAAAGCCCTGGTATCGTCTGGTGGAGAATGGTATCAGAGAACCAATTCCACACCAGGGAATGCAGTGTGCTGGGGAAAGCTGACATGGAGTATATTGTTACTTTTGTGACCAAACTGAAATTTTCTGCTTTGTCTTTTTTTTCCCCCCAAAAGGCCTGATGTTGATATTGTCAATTTATTCTTATATCTACTATATATATTTTAAACATTTAAAAAAATTTTTTAAATTGTACTAATACAGGGCTTGTCAATCTTTTTTTCTCTTTTTGGAGCATAGGTTTGCCGTCTTAGATGTCGTAGTGTGTGACTTTTTGTTTAAATTGGGATGCTGGCTAAAATTTACAAGCCTTAATGGCCGCTTTCTCCTCTTTTTATCTCTTGCCTCAATGTTTTGGAAATGACATCAGAGTACAGAAGTCTAGAAACCCCTTTACCAAGGTCATTCAGCAGACCCTCTATGGAAGGGATAGCCCAGCCTCTTTGAAGGCAACTGTTCTCAGGGGTTTTCATAAAATTTTTATTTTTAAAATTTGAGGACCTGTGTTAGTTATTGATTGCTGCATAACTAGTCACCACGTGCTAAGGGCCTCATGATAACACAGATTCGCTACGGCCCAGCTTCTGGGCTCAGATACCTGGCACATTTTGGCTGGATCCTCTGCTCACGGTCTCACAGGGCAGAGTTCACGGTGTTGACAGGGCTGGAGGCCCGGTGAGGTCCAGTGAGGTCCAGTGAGGCCCAGTCAAGCCCAGTGAGGTCCGGTGAGGTCCAGTGAAGTCAGTGAGGTCCAGTCAGGCCCCGTGAGGCTGAGTGAGGTCCAGTGAGGTCCAGTGAGGCCCAGTCAAGCCCAGTGAGGTCCAGTGAAGTCCACTGAGGTCCAGTCAGGCCCAGTGAGGCCCAGTGAAGTCCAGTGAGGTCCAGTCAGGCCCAGTGAGGCCGAGTGAGGTCCAGTGAGGTCCAGTGAGGCCCAGTGGGCTCCAGTGGGATCCAGCGAGGTCCAGTGAGGTTCAGATCAGCTTCCCAAACCTGGCTCCTGGGCAGAGTTCATGTCCTTGTGGTGTGTGGCTGAGGACCTGATGTTATTGCTGCTGCTGATGGGGAAATACTAAGCTCCTGGCCCTCTGTCCCCCACCCCACCAGGCCCTCTCCTGAGTCCAATCTCTCTGACTTCAGGAAGGACTTAGTTCCTGATAAGGGCTTCCCTCACCAGGCTGTTCCCATCCAAATCATCTCATTTTTTATTAACTCAAAGTCAGCTGACTCCTAACATCCTCAGAGTTCTGCCCTCACTCAGGGGGAGAGGATTTGAGGAGATGTCTCGACTCAGGGGTGGGACACGTAGGGACCACCTTCGAATTCTGCCTACCACTGGACCCCAAAGACCTTTTTATAACTATATCATACATTAAAAACTATTATTATTTTAAAATATTGATTTGTTAATTTATTTACACTAAAACGGATACAATTTTACGTATTAATTTAAAATAACATATCAATTACATGCTCACATAAGTAACACATTTTTATGAACAATAAGGATTCATTTTCAAACAAAGCAAAAATTAATGTGAAGAATGTCATCATTTTAAAATTTTTCAAAGCCCCTTAATGTGTGGCTTAATACAGGGTGGCTGGATTCTCAGCACCTTCTGCATTAACTTTGTCAAAGTTTGTTGTTTTGGTGGAGATATGTAAAATAAAATATATTGATGGTTGGTAGTGTAGTCATTGGAAAGGGAGATGCTTGTTGACCGCTAAAAGAATATCAGAGAAGTCCAGGAGTTCTTGGATCCCATTTTTAGAAGAGCTGTTTCGGAATAACACCACACAATACACAGTTTCAGAATAACACCACACAATACACAGTTTCAGAAGAACACCACACAATACACGGTTTCAGAATAACACCACACAATACACGGTTTCAGAATAACACCACACAATACACAGTTTCAGAATAACACCACACAATACACGGTATCAGAATAACAGCACACAATACACGGTTTCAGAATAACACCAGACAATACACAGTTTCAGAATAACACCACACAATACACAGTTTCAGAATAACACCACACAATACACGGTATCAGAATAACACCACACAATACACAGTTTCAGAATAACACCACACAATACACGGTATCAGAATAACACCACACAATACACAGTTTCAGAATAACACCACACAATACACAGTTTCAGAATAACACCACACAATACACAGTTTCAGAATAACACCACACAATACACAGTTTTAGAATAACACCACACAATACAGGGTTTCAGAATAACACCGCACAATACACGGTTTCAGAATAACACCACACAATACACAGTTTTAGAATAACACCACACAATACACAGTTTTAGGGCACGTGTATCCAAGGCACAGGCAGGCAGTACACAAAGCAGTGGAGGGAACAGTACGAACAACAGTTGTCTTGTGTTTCCCTCCAACATGGATTTTCATGAGTACTAGTGTCATTATCTATGTATGTTTCACAACCAGCTTTAGTGCAATATTCAATATTCTTGATTTTATTTACTTGGGACAAATATTGAGTTCCTCAACATGGTAACCATCTACTCTCTTGAAAGTCACTTAATAGTATCAGAGAAAACACAGGCAATGTGGTGGTGAGAATTACACCACCTTTAAAACTTTACTCACCCAAAAGAAAGTGAAAAACACAATTTTTAAAAACTTAAAATGTAGGCTAGGCATGGTGGCTCATGCCTATAATCACAACACTTTGGGAGGCCAAGGCGAGTGGATCACCTGAGGTCAGGAGTTTGAGTCCAACCTGGCCAACATGGTGAAACCCTGTCTCTACTAAAAAATACAAAAATTAGTCCCGTGTGGTGGCATGTACCTGTGATCCCAGCTACTTGGGAGGCTGAGGCAGGAGAATCGCTTGAACCCAGGAGGTGGCAGTTGCCGCGAGCTGAGGTCCCATCACTGCAATCTAGCCTGGGCGACAGAGCAATACTCTGTCCCCAACCTCCCCCACTGCCCTCCCCCCCCAAAAAAAACCTCAAAATGTAAACATTATCTGGGATCTACAAGAAAAAAATCAATAAACACATTAATTCATTTTTTCTGTAACACATTTTTATTTCATTCTATGCTTAAATTACATTTATCTCTCATGTTTCCTACTTTGCACACACATACACACACACACACACCACACCATGAATCCTGGTAATAATATAATTTACTATTAAATAAGTGTGTGATAAACCCCAGGAAATTAAAACATAATTTAATTCCTTAATTAAAAGTAATGAACATGACACATTTTTGTAAGGCCAATTTTCCACACTGTGCTAGCTTCTTCATAGAAGATACACAGTGTCACTCTCTATGTTCTGTTGGATCAGGACCAACGGAATCTTCAAGGGTAGCATCACCCGAGTCATTGGTGCAGGTAAGGAGCAGTCATTTTCCTTTTTTTTTTTTTTTTGACTCCCCAGTGTTCATTTTAGAGTGGCCCTGCTTGTAAGATCTCCCAGAAATTAAATGTTTTCAGTTACTTATTTGCTTAGGAGCTGGAAATAGAATTTCCCTTTCTGCTTGTCTAGGTAGCTCCAGATGAAGAGGTGAGCCTTGATCACCTATTAATCACATTCATGACAACTGTGGAATCCGCTGAGAAATTTACCACTTTTTGAAGGGTTTGTGCTGTTCTAACTCCAGGCTACTTTAATATGTCCCTAGAGAAAAACTCAGGTCTCCATGAATGAATGGACAGGAGAGCATAGTCACCCTTAAACAGTGAGCTCTGCAGTCCTGTCCTTCAAGAAACAATAAGAGAAAGTTAAAATTGAATATGTAGAGGCGGCTACACACCTTCCTAGCACAAAGTCTTTACACAAGTAGAAGGCTCTTACTCTTGTCTTATTACATTTATTTATTGTTCGACTTACTGTTCATATTTAAAAAGAAAAACATTTATCACAGAAATCCCTGAACCAGAAAAAATAATTTTTGCATTTTTAATTTTATACACACACACTGACTCAGTGAGCTACACTGGAATTTTGTAATATTGTAGATATTCAAAGAACATGGCCTAAATTCTGGGCTGTCTGTGTCCGGGCTGGTCTTTGAAGATCTGCTGTTTGTTACTGGAGGCAGGCCTGGATTGATCATTAAACGTATGGGAGCCTGTGTTTATCAGCAGATGTATTTCGTCTATATCCGAGGAAACCACAGCGTAGTCATTGTCATTTCGTTCCATTGCTGGAGTGGACATTGGACATCACTCAGGACTACCTGCAGTTGAATTTTCTTGATAATATTCTCACAAGTCAATGCCCAGCTAACATCAAATAACTGTAGTGACAGCTCATTGCCCCAGAGACAGCTGATTTCATGTTTGAACATTTTTACTTTGTGCCAGGCTTCCTATGTGACTTATATCCAGTGATTGATGGTAGCTCTATCTCTCTAGGCCTAATAAAACAATTCCTGACTCTGATCTATACGGAGTGCCTTCGTGTATTTGCAAACAGCCATTGTGAGTCCACTGAGCCTTTTATTCATATTAAAGAGCCCCTCCCTGCTCACACATTCTCTTGCCAGCTGTTTATTCTTCATGGAGGTCTGCATGTTCATTTAGCTTTTTTTTTTTTTTTTAGCTAGAATGTATTTGAAAAGACCTACTCTTGAGTTTATGTTTATTTGTCACACTCACAAGTAATATTCATATTTCTGATAGGAGTGCTGTCCTTACAGGTATGAGAACTGATATGTCACAATACAAGTGTTTTTTAAAGTTGATATATTTCAACGTGAATATAATCATAGAATTGAAGGAGAGACAAAAAAGAGACTTTCCTGTGGGAACAGAGGCTAGTGGCTTGGAATCCCCAGGGACAGTGAGAAAACACGCTGTCGATGTGGGATTGCACGTGCATTCCGGACGCTGTGGGATTGCGGGTGCATTCCGGATGCTGTGGGATTGCGGGTGCATTCCGGATGCTGTGGGATTGCGGGTGCATTCCGGATGCTGTGGGATTGCGGGTGCATTCCGGATGCTCTGGATGTGGGATTGCGGGTGCATTCCAGATGCTGTGGGATTGCGGGTGTATTCCGGATGCTGTGGGGCTGCGGGTGCATTCCGGATGCTGTGGGATTGCCGGTGCATTCCGGATGCTGTTGGATTGCAGGTGCATTCTGGATGCTGTGGGATTGCGGGTGTATTCCGGATGCTGTGGGATTGCGGGTGTATTCCGGATGCTGTGGGATTGCGGGTGCATTCCGGATGCTGTGGATGTGGGATTGCAGGTGCATTCTGGATGCTGTGGGATTGCAGGTGCATTCCTGATGCTGTGGGATTGCAGGTGCATTCCAGATGCTGTGGGATCGCAGGTGCTTTCCGGATGCTGTGGGATTGTGCATTCTGGATGCTGTGGGATTGCAGGTGCATTCCGGACGCTGTGGGATTGCGGGTGCATTCCGGATGCTGTGGGATTGCAGGTGCATTCCGGATGCTGTGGGATTGCGGGTGCATTCCAGATGCTATGGATGTGGGATTGCAGGTGCATTCCGGATGCTGTGGGATTGCAGGTGCATTCCAGATGCTGCGGGATTGCAGGTGCATTCCAGATGCTGTGGGATTGCAGGTGCATTCCGGACGCTGTGGGATTGCAGGTGCATTCCGGAGGCTTTGGGATTGCAGGTGATTTCCGGATGCTGTCAGCCAAGTGTCTTTTTTGTGCAAAGACTTGCTCCCAGAGTTCAGAGGAAGCACTGCGGACTGTGAGCGTGGACACACTTTTAATGAAATGAAAAAAAGGCAAACGTAAGCAATTCATTTTTAGAAACTTCAGAGGAAAAAGAACATAAAAATAA
Organism: Homo sapiens; assembly: GCF_000001405.40. Taxonomy (NCBI): domain Eukaryota; kingdom Metazoa; phylum Chordata; class Mammalia; order Primates; family Hominidae; genus Homo; species Homo sapiens. The sequence goes on along the minus strand of NC_000008.11, from coordinate 3,021,461 downwards.
GGCTTTCCCTTCGGTGTATGACAAAGCCTATTTTTAGTAGTGAGGGGCTTCCCCTTTTCAGTCAGGCAAGATTTCCGAGTTATTGCTGCTATCTTTATTAATGCATTGAGTTTACTACCATACAAGGAAACTCTGGGTCTGAAATTCTATTATTCAGCTACTGAAAAGCTAAAATTTTGCTCCATTACTTCTTCTTTACAATTGAGTAAATCTTGTTAGAGGACAAACTTAAAATAGTTTTGTCACCAGAATATTTTTAACAGAGGCTTCAACAATAGAAACAGCCATACGAGCAGAGGGAGGTGGTCTTGCTTCTCTACCATTGAAGGCGAAGGTGCGCTGAAACCTCCAAGAAGAATTCGACTCAGACCTCATTGTTATTTTCTGGCAAGCATGGAAGTTTCAAGACAAGATCCAATTATCTTAAATTGCTACAAATGGATCTTTAAATATCATAGTTGAAGGACAAGTTCACCCTGTTTGGGAAAAGGCTTAATGAAAAGTTTATAACAAATTGTAAAAATCTAAATCCTACTCGAGTTCATTAACATTTGGTAGAGCAAACATATTAGCATATTACTAAATGCAAACGATATGACACTGTAATAGTTTAGCAATCCCCAAAACCAATAAATCGTGGAGGCTGTCTCAATAACAATAGTGTGCTGGTCGTGATGGACTCTCGAGTTGGACCTCCCAATTTCTGGTAGTGCACCCCACAGAAAACTCAGTCTGGGTGTCTCTGTCTGAACATTTGAGATAGAGCCTCGGTTGTCCTATCATAACATGGAGTAAAGACAGCTTAATTAAAAGGTCTGGGGCTTCTGGGAAGGCCAAGATGGGAGGATTCGCCTGAGCCCAGGAGTTCCAGACAAGCCTGGACAACACAATGAGACCCCCATCTCTACAAAAAATAAATTAAAAAAATAAATAGCTGAGCGTGGTGGTGCCCATGCACTAAGGTACTTGGGAGGCTGAGCAGAAGGATGTCTTGAACCCAGGAGGTCAGGGCTGCTGCTGGGAGCTACAATTGTACCACTGCACCCTAGCCTGAGTGACAGAGCAAGACTCTGTCTACATAAACAACAACAAAAGGGCTGGTTTTAGTGGTACATGCATCACTTTATTTTCCTCACTTGAATTATCTCTAAAGGTTTTTCTACTTTTGGTTCAATTGACTAAATAGGTCCTGATTTATACTTTCATTGTTAGTTAACCCTGATTAAGCCTGCTTATGTGCGAGGGATGGCTTCCGTTTGAATCTAATGCACAAGCCTATGCAGTAGGAGCTATTATCAACCCATAACAGGGCCCAGAGACTTAGAAAATTGGCAAGTGCTGCCTGGCTCCTGTCTGGCAGAACCAGACCCTGGGTAGCCTACAGCCAGAATCCGTGTTCTTCCTCACTGTGCTTTACTGCCTCTTGTGGTTTACTGTGAATAAGGAAGAACTCGATGTTTGCCACTGCAGGCTGCAGCGAAGCACCCTGCACATCAGTGCTCACCTAGCACTCTTAATGCTTGCTTTGAATAGCTTTTCTAACACTTTCATTCTTACCTGTTCAAAACATATTTCAGCCTCTGATGATAGGTTGGGCTGGATAACCTTGTGAGTTCCTCCCTCCCCTGAGAGGCCATGATCTTCTGTGCTCAAGTGTTTCTGAATCTGAAGAGCAGAGATTTCAGTGGTGTAGTAAGAATATATAATGAGGGTGACCATTAACTTGTTTGCCAAACTGGAGTACTTTCATGAGTGAAAATGGACACGATCAATAACTGTGCTAAGACGGCAGGTGTAAACATGGGGCATAGGGTCACCCCATCGACACCCAGTTAAGGTCTAGTTTGTATGCACGTTTTAGTTTGTGGAAAGCCTCCAAATGCCCTGTGTAGTCAGCATTCTTACAGAGCTCATGAGCCCAACAAATTATGCAAGTAACTAAAAAAACAAATAAACTGAGCACTGCTATTGCATTCCGAAGTCCTAGATTTTAATACCACACTACTTTGTCCCAGCTGATGGGCTTTGGTGAAGAAAATTGGTATTCCTTATTTCCTGATAGGCTCCTGAGGCTTCTGGTAATTACTACTATGTAATTCTTGGGATTGATATGGAAAGAAAGGTAGAGAGATAGACAATTTATTTGATTGACACGCTTCTGCATTTATACTTTGTATACTGTGTATTTTTTCAAGAATGGTTCAGCTATACCTGTCAGGATGGTAATAAAAATAACATTAATGGGTCGAGGCACAGTGGCTCACGCCTGTAATCCCAGCAATTTGGGAGGCTGGGGTGGGAGGATCACTTGAGGTCAGGAGTTTGAGATCAGTCTGGCCAACATGGCAAAACACTGTCTCTACTAAAAATACAAAAATTAGCGGGACATGGTGGCAGGCGCCTTTAATCGCAGCTACTCGGGAGGCTGAGGGAGGAGAATCACTTGAACCGGGGAGGTAGAGGTAGCAGTGAGCCAGGATAGCGCCACTGCACTCCAACCTGGTCAACAGAGTAAGACTCCATGCCAACAACAACAACAAAAGTTAATGGGTAATTGGAGGAATCTAGAATGTTTTGGAATCCACGTTAAGCTTTTAGGTTTTTGTTTCAGGAGCATAAAGATGGAAAATTAAGCTTCTTAAGTGACTGGTCTATCCAGCCCTAAGCAGACACTCTCAACCATGTTCTTAGTGAAAATTAAGACTAAAAATAGTTTTTTGGTTTTTTTTGTTTGTTTTTGTTTGTTTGTTTGGAGCACAGGAGTAATCTGCATAACTGAATTGATGTTCATTTTATTGTTTTTCCTTCTAGTTATCTCGTGTGGAAGCCTTTCCTTTCCCCCAAATGGCAACAAGATTGGAACGTTGACAGTTTATGGGGCCACAGCTATATTTACGTGCAACACCGGCTACACGCTTGTGGGGTCTCATGTCAGAGAGTGCTTGGCAAATGGGCTCTGGAGCGGCAGCGAAACTCGATGTCTGGGTAAATTCATCTGTGTTCTGGCACTTACTTAATGCAGATAAACCTTAGAAATAGATTACAGCTGTGTAACACATATGACTTCTTGCTATAATGCCTTAAATCCTACCTGGGGTGGAAATGCTGCACCTCCCAGTGTGATTTTTTCTTTGAGTATCTACAGGGATTTGTTTTTAATCCGAGCAATGAATGAAAGTCATATATTGCCTTAAGTGCCATAAAGGCAATCTTGCAAGAGTGCTGAGAATGTACCTGCACTCAAATGCCATCATGGTTTTAGGACACACAAAAATGAATTTCAAAAATATTGTACATTTTATGTTTTTAAAAATTTTAAAATTATGTCAATGAATTGAAGTTATATTCATCCAAATTGACATAAGTACAGTGAATTATTTAAAATGCTATATGTCTACAATAATGTAGTCTTCTTTTTTCAAAAACTTAAAATATTCTGCATAATTTAAAAAATGGATTGAAAAATGTTTCCATTGGAAAATTCTTTGAATAAGTGTATGAAAAATCTTGAATAAGCAGTTTAAAGAACAAGTATTAGTAAAGAGTGATCTTAGTAGGTCTGCTGGTGATTTGTAAAATACCTTACTTGCCTTTGGTTCTTCTGAACCTTCTCCACGCGTTCTTCCTTTTTTTTTTTTTTTTTTTTTTTTTTTTTAAATCACTCAAAGCCATAGAAACTGGGAGCTTTAAGCTTCTGAATCTGCATGGGCAAAGATCACTTCAGGAACTAAGCCAGGCCCAGTAAACTTCAAATAGCAAAACCTGTTCTTCTTTTCATTTGGGAGAATTTGAAGAAACAAGATGAAAGGACAGTAGTAACCCTAGAGAAAAACCAACCACCAAAAGGAGGTTCTCACACTTGTCTGTGAAACATTATCTACTTATTTTAAATCACTGCAGGACTTACAGGAATGCTGCTTGGTTTCTCACACTCTTTCTCACTCTGTCTAGTGTATTATGTAATATATTTAGTGCATTATATATTATTGAACACAATTATATATATGAGTGTGTGCATATGTGTCTGTCGTTGGGTGTCCTCATTACAGTTTTCAGTAGACGATGACATTTCCTTGGACTATGTATGCTTCTTCATGTAGAGAGTCACAAGTCCTTCTAGGAGTTTCCATGCATTCCTAAATATCCTTCTGAAATTGGCTATGGAACAGCACTCTCCTTTAGGCAGCTTTGATATGGACAAGCTCTTCTGCCTGGAGCTTGGTCCTCTGAAGGAGCCCAGTTCCACTGGGAGGGAGCTAGGTGGTCCGAGACACTCACGTCTGACAGTATGTACCACATCTCTATTAGTAATTGTAAACATGAAAATTAACAGCAACTTACAGTTGATTGCTGCTCTACTGCTTACAAACATCCGTAATCTCATCCTTTTGGTCATTACCAATACAGGATGCAGGAAAGGCCTTCGTTGGTGCTTTGGGAGATTAAGTGATACATTCAGTTTACATAACTGTTAAATGATGGGTCAGCTTGGGGATTATTGATCCCTGATAAGCCTTTATCTATCTTGTGTTATTCTTGTGTCTGAAAGTTAGGGTTTTGGAGTAGAAAGGATGAGATAAATGTTGAATAGTTGGCTGCCTGGAGATGCCCCCAAACATGTCTCAGTGCTATGCAATACATCTTAGCAGCTTTTGAAAGATGATTCACTCAGAAATGAGTCCATTTGCTCAGAGGAAAATAAGGAAGAAGAAAAATGCCCAGGTTATAATATATAAAACATTTGTGTTGTAGATATTGGATACAGCATATAAGGAATAATAAAATTGGAAGAGACATAGAGTATTTAAAGGGAAAAAATAGAAAAAGATTAGAAATGACACATACATATGTACATACTAATGGGTAAACCATGAGTAATTCATTTAGCACAAACATTTTGAAAGTTAATAAATATAGTTTTTGCAGCTACCACTGTAACGGAAAGGGTTGAGATTCATAACGTGTGAAGCATGGTAATGAAGCATATTCCTTTATCAAAGACATCTTTTGCTGGGGGGCGACAGCATGTGAAACTCAGCAAGAACATATGTCCACAAGAAACCATAAAGTTGCATGTGAGACTCAGAGGAAAATAGGGATGAGTGAGTAAAAAGGTAGGAGAACAGAGATGATATTGCTTGAGTAGATTGTATGACTCTAAGATAGATGAAGGGAACAGAGGCTGCAATCCTAAATCTACACAAATATTTAGTAGAGTAGCAAATGGATACCTCCATAATCCAAATATCAACTAGGTGCCATATTTGGAGGCAGGTTATAAATGATGATATTTTTTGATGATTTAAAATGCACATGGCATTTGTGAGATTTATCTGATTAGAACGTACAGGAAGTGCTTATTCCTTCGACCTGCAGATAAGAAAGAAAGCATAGAGAAGTACAGAATTTGCCCAACATCATAAAACCAAGAATACTATCATGCTAATTCAGACCAATAAGGAGGAGTGTGTTGTGTTAACTAGAAGTGAAATGAGCTCTGGAACCTGGATTAGTCCCCTCTGGAGGCGCATGCAAGGGGCAGGTGCAAGGGTCTTTGTGCCTTAGTTCTGCCTGGCTAATTGTGTCCTTCATCCTGTACTGCCAGGATGCTGACACGCTCTCGCCTATCAGTCTTGCTATTGCTTTTCTTCCATCTCTTAACTTGTTATTTGAATTAACCCTTTCCCTGTTTCCATGGTTACGGCTCTTTTGAAAATCACTTTGGGTTTCCACCAAGTTAAATGTCCTTGAGTAACCTTCAGGCTCATCTGGACCATGCCGGGGTAAACGAGATACTTGTAGTGGGGAAATGACTGTTACTAAAGATGCAGTTGGTAAGGAGATATATATATATATAATTTCACAAGACGCCATGTGAGTTTGGGTCCTTTTTTTTGTTTACTATTGTTATGAGATGGGTATTCATAAGTACTATTCAGAAGTGATTCTGAATCAAAATATATATATATATTCTGAAAACTGTGTCTATATAATCATGGCTTCAACTCTAAAAATGATGACCCCTTGACAAAACAAAACAACCCCCAAAACTATGACTTTAAAAAGCAAATCATCCAATCAGGAAAAAATGGGAAATTACCCAAACAAACAGAGACAGCTATACCAGATTTTCTGCAAGAAATTCAATTTTCAAGCAAAGCAACTGTCCCAGGACATGTTGAAGAGAATGCAATGCGTTTTTAAAGAGAGTGTCCGGAGGGACAAATCCACCACAAACTGGAAATGATGTGAAGGGTGAGGAACCCCAAGAGAGCTGCCTCAGTTATGCTTGAAACAAGAACCAAATTCATTCTTGAAACTGGTATGAAAATGGATGCTTATTCAGTTCTGTTTTTTTTTTTCATTAAGAAGCTTTTAAAAACTTTTTTAATTTTAATTTTTATGGATACATATTAGGTGTTTATATTTGTGGGGCACATGAGATTTTCGTTACACACATACGGTGTGTAATAAGCACATCATGAAGAAGCTTTATTATGGAATACACAGGTTAGGAGGTTTTTATTTATTTATTTAATTATGTTTGAGACAGGGTCTCACTGTGTTACCCAGGCTGGAGTGCAGTGGTGCAACAACAGCTCACTGCTACCTCGACCTCCTGGACTCAAGTGCTCCTCCCACCTCAGCCTCCTAAGTAGCTTGGACCACAGTGCACAGCAGCATGCCCAGCTAACTATTTACAATTTGTTTTGTAGGTACAGGGTCTTCCTAAATTGCCCAGGCTGGTCACGAACTCCTGGGCTCAAGCAATCCTCCTGCCTTAGGTTCCCAAAGTGCTGGGATTATAGGCGGGACGTTTTTAAAATCAGAAACTGGCACGCCCCAAAGATAAGGAGCTTATAAAAGAGAACTTCAGAGTTCTCAATGAAGTTGTGTCTCCTGCCCAGGAGAATTTCATCCGAATCAGCTGAGGGGACTAAAAATCACACTGCTGAGTTACTGGCAGTGTTCTTGGTGAGATATTATGGAAAGGAAGAATCCTAGAGTGAAACTCATATCCAGTGTGATTGTTCTCACAACAGGAAAAGCAGGAAAAGAAGCTAGCTATCAAAAACCATAAATTGACTTGATGATATATAGAGCAGATACCCAAGCATATTCTTCATAAGTAACTTTGGAAATGTATTTTCACATAGAACTAATATAGTTTCCAAGACACCATGTGAGTTTGCATCCATTTTTTTTTGTTTAATATTGTTATGAGATGGATATTCATAAGTACTATTCAGAAATGTTTCTGAATCAAAAATTTTATTCCTATCTTCGATCAGGGCATAGTTGAAAGAGTGAAAATAATATTGGATGATGGATTCAGGATCTCAAATTCTCACGATAGGACAAACAAAATAATATAATAGAAATTAATGTAAAATTTTTCTCAGAGTAGAAATAAAATAATTGCAATGTATATGAGGAGAAGAAATTCTGAGTTCATAGTGTAGAGGCAGAGAACTTGGGAGTTTTGGGTAAGAGCAGGCTCATATGTGACAAGTGCTGCCATGCAATGCTCAGGCTGAGTCTTATTAATAAGGTTCTTCCCATCCTCTGTTCGCCCAGGAATCCCATATCCAGAATCATGACTTCAGTTTTTTAATAGTTTAAGTGGGCTCTTGAGGAATTGCTATGCATTTGTGGTGATGGATCTGGTACCTATGATCTTTGAGGACTGTTTGGAATTTTTTTTTTTTTTTTCTGAGATGGAGTCTCAGTTGCCCAGGCTGAGTGCAGTGGTGTGATCTCAGCTCACTGCAACCTCCACCTCCTGGGTTCAAGCAATTGTCCTGCCTCACCCTCCTGAGTAGCTGGGATTACAGGCACCCACCACCACACCTGGCTAATTTTTTGCATTTTTAGTGGAGACGGGGTTTTACCATGTTGGCCAGGCTGGTCTGGAACTCCTGACCTTGGGTGATCTGCCCGCCTTGGCCTCCCAAAGTGCTGGGATTACAGGCGTGAGGCACCACACCAGGCTGGAAAATTTTTGATATTACTCTGACAGAGAGAAAAGTAAAGTAGTCATTCATAACTATTTTCAAATATTTAAAATGCTATCAGGTGAAAGATGGAAGAAACTAGTTGTGGGAAGTTGTTTTCCATATCAGTGCCAGCCCTGACGGGTAGAGTCAGCATGAAGACCATGCTGACATCTGTACATCTTAATCAGGAACATGTGGGTGGGAAAAAAGAAACAAACATAAAATTAATTGCATATATCTGCCAAGACAAGGCCCAGGGTTGATGCAGACATCATATGTGCATACTTCCATTCATGGGTTTGTAATAGCAGTGTATTTTTCTGTTCTCACGCTGCTAAGAAAGACATACCTGAGCCTGGGTAATTTATAAAGGAAAGGAGTTTAATGCACTCACAGTTCCACCTGGCTGGGGAGGCTTCACAATCATGGTGGAAGGTAAAGGAGAAGCAAAGGCACATCTTACATGGTGACAGGCAAGAGAGCGTGTGCAGGGGAACTCCCCTTTATGAGACCATTGGATCTTGTGAGACTTATTTACTACCATGAGAACAGAAACTCCCGCCCCCATGATTCAATTATCTCTTCCTGTCTCCATCCTTGACAGGTGGGGATTATTACAATTTAAGGTGAGATTTGGGTGGGGACACAGCCAATCATATGAAGCAGGCACTGTGTACAGAGAAAGAGAGCTTTTGGAATCAGTATAAAAAATCCCCACATCCCCTTTCATTTGTGTATTTTTAAACAGGTGGATCTTCCAAACAAGACAACTAAGACTTTATGCAAAAGCAGGGTCCACTTTGGTTCTTTAGATTAACTTCCCTTGGGCTGTATACCTTAGGTCCAATATGTTTTCCATCCTGGTGCAAGATTTTTTGACAAAAGCATTTTTTTTCCCTGAATTGTGGCTGAGATATTTTGTAGTTTATTTTTGGGGCTACTAGAAAGAATACTGTTTCCTGAGATTGTGCTTCAGTTTCATCGCAACATGACTCATACTGCTGGCATGCTAGTTGTTTCCAGTGACTTCCAACATGGGAGAATATGCTGGAATCCTTTTTGAGTATTGCAGCTGGAGTGGCCAAACACAGGAATGGATGAGCGTTGACAGACTGAGTCTTGAGAATGTCAACTATAGGACAGCTGTATTTAAGGAAAGAAAAGATGATTTTCTACACCTAATATTCAAGAACTCAATCCATGCTGTGTTTTAGGTCCCTGGTCTGGATTCTAAGAAGAACCTTGTGAGAAATTGGAGTGTGCATGTAAATATCATTGTAAATAGATTTTGAGCAAAGTAATGCACAGGTGCATCCGAGTACATTAGTATAAAATTTAGCCCACCTTCATCAACACGATCACTCCTGCGTTATTACTGGGATCTCCCAGAGTTCAGAGTTCTGTAAATTGCCAAGGACCTGCTCTAATTTACCAACTGTACTGTGTAATGCTACACCTCTCCCCAGGCCACAGAATTAAGCACTGAGAATGCTGACCTGGTATCCACTCTCTCAGGCACTTGCTAATCCACCCAGGAAGTTTGTGATCTACATGATCCCTTAATTATTTTCTCCTGTTTATCTTCTCTGCGGTAGTTTGCTTAAACCAACAGAGAACACACAAACTAGGAAGAGGTTATAGTTTGTGGTCTAGGTTTCCTGTCACAGAATCCCACATTCATATTTTGAAAACATTTACATCATTTAGACTTTTCAGCACATAAGAACCCATCCTCTCTCCACTATGTTACCTCTTCAATCTCTAGTATTCAAGATATTAGTGGTAGCTTGAGTTATTTCCCACATAGAGGACATTATCATTTTTTATTAGATTGTTTTGCTATTGTTAGAAATAAGTTTGCATTTATTGCGCTATTATAACCATGAGGAGATGAATTGTTCTGTAAATGCAATATAATGGTTATTTATGTGGCTAAAATAGCTAGATGACATGATTCAAAATACTGTTTTTAGACTGTAGTTATTCATAGTTCTTAGATAGTCAAGTTTAAATATATTCTTCAATTGCCTTGTATTTTGGAAAGATCCACATAAAATATTTAATAAAACAACTGATTATGATAATGCTTATATCACAGCAGAGCAGAAAGATTAGCACTGCCTCCCCTGCCCCACCCCCATCTTTGCCATACCGTCTTAAGTGTAAAATATGTTCTGTATGTTAGTCAGGAAAACTCCCTATACCAGTTCTCAGATTTTCCAAATGCATTGTCAGTGGCTGGGGAATAACTAGCAAACTTCTCAGCGGTGGGTTTTTCTGTCATATTTCTGAATAGTATTTAATGATATTTTTCTTGTTCCTCAAGAACTATGGTGCAGCATTCAGAGGTTAATAAGATTGGTTCTTCTTTTATGAAATCTATACTCTAAGGAGTAAATAAGGTAAATACCAAGTAGCTTTAATAAAAAGTTGAGAATAGGCAGGGCGCGGTGGCTCACGCCTGTAATCCCAGCACTTTGGGAGGCCGAGGTGGGCAGATCACGAGGTCAGGAGTTCCAGACCAGCCTGGCCAACATAGTGAAACCTCATCTCTACTACTGGACATAATGGTGGGCACCAGTAATCCCAGCTACTTGGGAAGCTGAGGCAGGAGAATCGCGTGAACCCGGGAGGTGGAGGTTGCAGTGAGCCGAGATCATGCCATTACACTCCAGCCTGAGTGACAGAGCAAAATTTCATCTCAAAAAAAAAAAAAAAGTTGGGAATAGAATAATGGCAAAAGGGAAATATAGGCACATTACTTGAGAAATCCAGGTGAGAGTGGGAGCAACCTAGAGGCTGACAGAAGAGTAGATGTGGGGGAAGCCGTGCTGATTCTGGGTGGAATTCCAGCAAGCAGGCATGGGGTAAAGCCATTCCAGAAATCAAGAGCTGCAACCCTGGTGGCAACAGCATAGATGCGGAGTGCGGCCCAAGGAAGTCGGACTTGCCTGAAACAAGCAGGTGCTGGGGTCGAACTCTCGACGGCCGCCTGGTCATAAGAGCCTGGACTGATAGGGCCACGAGATGGTGGAAAAGATCTGATAACTCTGACACCCGCTCTAGGGCAGGTTTTGAGCTGAGTCCTGATGCACATGCACAAGGCATGGTGCTGCACTCAGAACTCACAGTCCAATAGGGGAAGTGCATAGGTACGAAAAATTAGAATGCCACCTGCTACATCTAAAACAAAACACAGTAGAAGAGTAGGAGTCTGGGTGTTTTAAACAGGCAACACCGAAGATAGGCTCTCCTATTGTAGGAGAAACCTGAAGTCAGGGAGATCTTTGCCTCCTGTATGAATGGGCAGCTCTTCCTTTGGGGTTTGTGGAAGATGCGCACCTGCGGTGGATTTGGACTGAAGTTTGAGGGACAGAAAGACGTGACACCGGCAGGCAAGACTGCAGACAAAGCTTGAGGACAATGAGGCAGGATAGGCCCAGGGAAGAAGGTGGAAATGGGGTATATTCAGGAACTACATTGAGACAGGAATAGATAAAAAGAATGCTGAAAGCCCCAAAGACAGTCCAAATGATGGCCCTGGTTTGAGGTTTTCTTCAAACCAAACTGGTTTAAAAAAGCTGTCATTCACTAAGATGTGTGAAGCAGAGATCTGATCAAATGGATTTGTGGCAGAGGACTCGGGCCCGTGTTTGATGCTGTCACAAACAGCACAGAGTGTTGTATGCTCTGCAAGCCCAATACCTCCATGTTGGACAAATTCCACACACTCTCTGTGATACCATATGCATATCTATGCATGGGCTAAGTCGGTCAGCATTGCCCCTAGAGATTGCACTTGGAGGCAAAAAAAACACACCTCAGTTATCAATATTCAAATGTGTTTCTTTAGCATATGGAGATCAAGAGACTTCAATATGTCCGTTGAAGTGTACTGCTAATAATAGTTTTTCCTGCCTATAAGTGAATCTGATGCACCTGACATTTTATGACCATTTGTTAATACTGAAGAAAAGTTTGCAAATTGGCTTTGGAATCTACTGCCCAAATAACTCTGACTTAGCCAAAGACCATGTTATTGCATAGAATGGATAGAATAAAGCATATTGTATTCCCCTACAGGCCCAGGATATTTGTAATGTATTTTATTTTCAGCAATAAGTACCAGTAATCACAAAGCAAATACTGAGGTTGAATATTTGGTTTATAGATTTTCTAAAAATGGATTCCGTTCTAATCCCCGGACCAATATTTAGTATTTGTCCTGCTACAAACCTGCACACTGAAGACGTGAGCTTCAAGTAGGCCCCTCTAGGGGCAAAAGTGCGTGTGTGGGAGACCTGGTGAGAGGGGAGAGATCCTACAGCTCCAATGGAAGGAGCCGATTCCTCCCCAAAGAATGCACGGCTCCAGGTCTGTCCGCTGTCATGGGAGACATTGTGGCAACATTCCCACTGGTATATGGGGTTTCTGCGGGAGAAGTGAAACAGTGGAACTTTATTACATTTCCAAATCAGGGAACCCATTTCCAAAATCACACAGGTCTAGGTACTTGTCGGAGACTCTCACCTTGCTGTACTTGCATGTGAGGTGTTCACTCTGCGTGCGTTATGATGTGAAGGTAAATCGGCCAACAAGTACCTCAGGTCTCTTTGAGGGTCCACCTTGCGTCAGTCACTCAGAAAGTCACCACTGACAATCAGTGTGGTGGTTTTAGGTTGCAAACCGCATAACTCCTTTCAGTAGCAAAAGCAAGTGTTGCAGAAACAGTACGGATAGCTAAACAAAGCCAAATCCTGTCTGCCAGTAAGATTCCTCCTCTAAAACACAGCTTTGTAGAACCGCTTTCCAGAAAACATAGGTCACCCAGGGGGGCATGCTGGAGTTCTGAAGGAACCGGATTCGTTCAGGAGCCAGTTTCTGAGTGTTCACTCTACTGGAAACGAACAAACAAAACAACCTTTTGTTCTCTCAGCAAGGTGTTTTATAACTTACACTAAAAGACCTGTGCAGTGGAATTTACATGGAACTCTAGAAACAAAGGCTTTGAGAGGCTGGCCTTGCGGAGGCCCCTGCTCTCCCGTGTTGAATTCTATAAACTGCAGGTGTGCAGCCTCCCCTGGTCTAAGGGTGGGCCACACTGTGCGGGTGATAATGGAGTGAGTGGTTTTCCCTGTGTGTGTCCCTAATGAACCTCAGACTCAACTGACCTCACAAAGGGAATTCAGCCACTTTCTGCCCTCCTGACTGCTCTGGCACAAATGTAGTTTGCAGGGAAACCTTGACCAATCAAGAAATTAGGCCTTTCCTCCCTCTCGAGCCTTCTTCCTGACATTTTGCTTGCGACATACTCTATTTCTTTGCTATGAAAATGGACTCAATACTCCATCCATCTTGCTACCAGTCTCTGTGCTTTGTTCAAATGTTTGGTAGCTTTTATTTATTTCAAATCCAATTTTAGAGAAAGATTGTTAAAATAACTCCCCTTTTTCTATTTGAGACATTTTAAGCAAAATATAATAGCAGTTTATAATTACAAACAGTAACAAAGCTTTCTTTTTTTAAGTTTTTTTTCTTTTATTATTATACTTTAAGTTTTAGGGTACATGTGCACATTGTGCAGGTTGGTTACATATGTATACATGTGCCATGCTGGTGCACTGCACCCACTAACTCGTCATCTAGCATTAGGTATATCTCCCGATGCTATCCCTCCCCCCTCCCCCCACCCCACAGCGGTCCCCAGAGTGTGATGTTCCCCTTCCTGTGTCCATGTGATCTCACTGTTCAGTTCCCACCTATGAGTGAGAATATGCGGTGTTTGGTTTTTTGTTCTTGCGATAGTTTACTGAGAATGATGATTTCCAATTTCATCCATGTCCCTACGAAGGACACGAACTCATCATTTTTTATGGCTGCATAGTATTCCATGGTGTATATGTGCCACATTTTCTTAATCCAGTCTATCATCGTTGGACATTTGGGTTGCTTCCAAGTCTTTGCTATTGTGAATAATGCCGCAATAAACATACGTGTGCATGTGTCTTTATAGCAGCATGATTTATAGTCCTTTGGGTATATACCCAGTAATGGGATGGCTGGGTCAAATGGTATTTCTACTTCTAGATCCCTGAGGAATCGCCACACTGACTTCCACAATGGTTGAACTAGTTTACAGTCCCACCAACAGTGTAGTGTTCCTATTTCTCCACATCCTCTCCAGCACCTGTTGTTTCCTGACTTTTTAATGATCGCCATTCTAACTGGTGTGAGATGGTATCTCATTGTGGTTTTGATTTGCATTTCTCTGATGGCCAGTGATGATGAGCATTTTTTCATGTGTCTTTTGGCTGCATAAATGTCTTCTTTTGAGAAGTGTCTGTTCATGTCCTTTGCCCACTTTTTGATGGGGTTGTTTGTTTTTTTCTTGTAAATTTGTTTGAGTTCATTGTAGATTCTGGATATTAGCCCTTTGTCAGATGAGTAGGTTGCAAAAATTTTCTCCCATTCTGTAGGTTGCCCGTTCACTCTGATGGTAGTTTCTTTTGCTGTGCAGAAGCTCTTTAGTTTAATTAGATCCCATTTGTCAATTTTGTCTTTTGTTGCCATTGCTTTTGGTGTTTTAGACATGAAGTCTTTGCCCATGCCTATGTCCTGAATGGTAATGCCTAGGTTTTCTTCTAGGGTTTTTATGGTTTTAGGTCTAACGTTTAAGTCTTTAATCCATCTTGAATTGATTTTTGTGTAAGCTGTAAGGAAGGGATCCAGTTTCAGCTTTCTACATATGGCTAGCCAGTTTTCCCAGCACCATTTATTAAATAGGGAATCCTTTCCCCATTGCTTGTTTTTCTCAGGTTTGTCAAAGATCAGATAGTTGTAGATATGCGGCATTATTTCTGAGGGCTCTGTTCTGTTCCATTGATCTATATCTCTGCTTTGGTACCAGTACCATGCTGTTTTGGTTACTGTAGCCTTGTAGTATAGTTTGAAGTCAGGTAGTGTGATACCTCCAGCTTTGTTCTTTTGGCTTAGGATTGACTTGGTGATTCGGGCTCTTTTTTGGTTCCATATGAACTTTAAAGTAGTTTTTTCCAATTCTGTGAAGAAAGTCATTGGTAGCTTGATGGGGATGGCATTGAATCTGTAAATTACCTTGGGCAGTATGGCCATTTTCACGATATTGATTCTTCCTACCCATGAGCATGGAATGTTCTTCCGTTTGTTTGTATCCTCTTTTATTTCCTTGAGCAGTGGTTTGTAGTTCTCCTTGAAGAGGTCCTTCACATCCCTTGTAAATTGGATTCCTAGGTATTTTATTCTCTTTGAAGCAATTGTGAATGGGAGTTCACTCATGATTTGGCTCTCTGTTTGTCTGTTGTTGGTGTATAAGAATGCTTGTGATTTTTGCACATTGATTTTGTATCCTGAGACTTTGCTGAAGTTGCTTATCAGCTTAAGGAGATTTTGGGCTGAGACAATGGGGTTTTCTAGGTATACAATCATGTCGTCTGCCAACAGGGGCAATTTGACTTCCTCTTTTCCTAATTGAATACCCTTTATTTCCTTCTCCTGCCTAATTGCCCTGGCCAGAACTTCCGACACTATGTTGAATAGGAGTGGTGAGAGAGGGCATCCCTGTCTTGTGCCCGTTTTCAAAGGGAATGCTTCCAGTTTTTGCCCATTCAGTATGATATTGGCTGTGGGTTTGTCATAGATAGCTCTTATTATTTTGAGATACATCCCATCAATACCTAATTTATTGAGAGTTTTTAGCATGAAGCGTTGTTGAATTTTGTCAAAGGCCTTTTCTGCATCTATCGAGATAATCATGTGGTTTTTGTCTTTGGCTCTGTTTATATGCTGGATTACATTTATTGATTTGTGTAATTGAACCAGCCTTGCATCCCAGGGATGAAGCCCACTTGATCATGGTGGATAAGCTTTTTGATGTGTTGCTGGATTCATTTTGCCAGTATTTTATTGAGGATTTTTGCATCAATGTTCATCAAGGATATTGGTCTAAAATTCTCTTTTTTGGTTGTGTTTCTGCCCAGCTTTGGTATCAGGATGATGCTGGCCTCATAAAATGAGTTAGGGAGGATTCCGTCTTTTTCTATTAATTGGAATAGTTTCAGAAGGAATGGTACCAGTTCCTCCTTGGAGTAACAAAGCTTTCATCAGACACAGAATAGAGTAGACTGAAAAGCTAGTGATTTTCAAAGCTTATGGTACGGAAACTCTTTGTAACTCAGGAAAGACGTTCAAATTCCTGGGTCCCACCCAGGGTACTGCACAGTCCATACGTATAACACCTCAATGGTTCTGAAGTTTCACCGTATTATTGTTATTGTTTTTATTATCTTTTGAGACAGAGTCTTGCTCTGTCGTCCAGGCTGGAGTGCAGTGGTGCAATCTCGGCTCACTGCAACCTCTGCCTCCCGGGTTCAAGCAATTCCTCTGCCTCAGCCTCCCGAGCAGCTGGGACTACAGGCATGTGCCACCTTGCTCAGCTAATTTTTGTATTTTTAGTAGAGATGGGCTTTCACCATGTTGGCCAGGCTGGTCTCGAACTCCTGACCTCAGGTGATCCACCTACCTCAGCATCCCAAAGTGCTGGGAGTACAGGCATGAGCCACTGCGCCTGGCCACGGTATTCTTATTCCAATGACATATTTTGTAGAACAGTGTGTAAAACGGAGTCACTGGAGCAGACCATTTCATTCTTGGTTCCGTTACTGGTTCTCTCAACCATTTTAAGTGGTTGGTGAATTACCCTGTCCACAGTCATACCTGTTCTCAGCATGGAGAAAATGAAGAATTAAAATGTAAAATTCATGAAGTGTGGTAGTAATTGAATTGTTAATTCGTGCTTGAGCTAAAAGCAAATTCTGCAATTCCATGAGGATATATTTACATTGTCTATCTATATACATTGGATTAAAAATCATATGAATTTACAGTTGCATAGCATTCTTTCCTAATTCTTCAACCATTTGCTTCTCAGTCCTGCTGGGTTCAGATTACTAGTAGACTAATAAATTCACGCAGAAGATTGATTTAAGAGTAAAGTGGGTCACTTGCTTTCTTGCCAAGGTTTTCCTTCCACACTTTAATAGGACAATTTCTGACACACACTTCTCAAGAAATCCAGGCTTCATGATGTCCGAGCTGTGACTGTTGTTGCTACACAATTGCCTGTTGGAGACATTGGGCAGTTTTTGTTTAAACTGAAGCTAAACGTCAATGAATAATAAATAAACAAAGTCTGCAAAATCAAGACAAATCACAGCCTCTGGGCTCTGGCATCATAGTGTAAGGTCCACTGAGGAATTTCAGTATTTTATTATCACTAGATGATATTTGGTTTTGAAGTGTGCAGGGCTGCCCTCACCCCACGTTCATTTCTTTAAAAAAAAAATTCAGTGAATAGAGTTGCTTATCCTCCTTTGCTACTGTGCATACTCAGTGGAGTTGTAGCAACTATCTTCAAATAGTGGCAGAGTCACGCAGTGGGGCTGACACCTACTATGTACTAAGCTGGACAGGATGCAAATGGTCACCCTCCTAGCAAATGTATAACTGGGTCATTTGACATCATAGTCTTCATATTTTAACAGATGCTTTAAAAATATATAACATTTCTAATTTCTGTGGCTAGAATGTCTTGCCATCACCTTTTCCTGGCTAACAAGCGCTCATCCTTCAGACTTTAAATGCCACCTCTTTCACCAGGAGTCCTGGTCCTCAGCATGGCTGAGTGTTCCTTCCACTCGTTCCCAGCCTGCTAGGTCCGCACACCCTCAGGACTCTGCACGTGACAGCTGCTCCTCTGCGTTTACCCTCTGCGATTGTGTCTTATTCCTTGTTTAATCCCCAGCCCCAAGAACATTGCAACCCACAACAAATCATCATGAAATTATTGTCAAATAAATGAATTATTGTCAAATACATGAAGGTGACATAGGAGACAATGTAAAGGACATGACTGCCCAGTGGTGAGGTTATTCTGTTTCTGTTCATTTCAACAAGTACTCAGTGTGTGACTGATATGGTAGAGACACAGCAGAGAAGCATGAACTTGATTACATTTCATCCTGAGGGAAGACAGAGAGGCTTTCTAGGTTTTGTGTAGATGACTCAAAACCAAGACTACATCAGAGATATTAAAAGAAAAGGTAACTCACATACAAAGCATATAGAATAATACTATCATAGACTAATAGAATCTTAAATTTAAAATAGAGCTCAAAATTCATTGAGTTCAAATTCCTCCTAATGCAATTTTCCCTTCCTCAACATATTGACACAATATCATTAAGATTTGGGTTAAAGAGTATTCTGTGAGTGAAATTGTGTGGTTATCCTCTATTTGTAATAGACTATAATTGGTCAAAGATTTTGAATGTTTTAAAACAGAATTAACGGATGGCTGGAAAGTGATAACAGGTGAAAAACAGATTGCTATCTCATTGTTTCAAAATAGGAAGCCACAATGAAGAAATAATTGTTCTGTATTAGGAAGCTTAGATACTAGGCAATCCTGCTGATACATAACTTTTTTTTCTTCAGGCAAGGAGGTAAAATGAAATGTTTTTGAAGGACATCCTCTGTTTTCTTTAGGCATTTGGTGCCAATTCCTCAGAGAACCGAAATGACCATGTGTCAGAGAGGAGTTGCTGTTGGGAATCTTTATTTACAGTCATGGCTGTCAGGCTTGCTGCCTGATTTCTAGAGTACACAGATGCTTCCTTGACCATTACAAGTCCTTGTTTGCCAGGTTCCCAAAGAAGAGTGCAACTTCAAACTATGTGCACTTACAAAAAACTCAGTTCAGAAAAATATTAAGGTTTAAAAGGAGTCCTGTTTGTCTAAGTCAAGAATGAGACCTGAACAGATTCCCTAAAATGAGAGGAGCTCTGTTAAAATGCACCCCTTTTCACATCACTATTGCCTTTGGTCCCACATCCCCTCCTCTTGGAGTGGTTCCAGGCTTCAGAAGTAATTCCAAAAGGAATTGCTGGTGTCATTTTCTTGTGTGTTTCTAGAAACTAGCTATTCTATGCCTCGCCTCAGAAATGGCTGGGATCTCTTGTGCTGGGCTGATGGGCTCTTCTGGCTCTCACCAGTCCTCGTCTCCCTGTCTCTAGGGTTGGAACGATGGCTCCATCTCCCCCATGCACGACAGAGCACGTTGTGCAAAGGACAGCGTCTGGAAAGGGGAACCTTCAGAGACAATGTCCTCTGTGCCTGTGATAACACTTGTGCCTTCAGGGGGTCTCTCTTCACAATATGGAGAACATTCACCCTCATCGACGTTCTCCGCTTGTATCAAGTCTCATATGTGGGAGTGATTGGGACAAATCACCAGAACTGACTTATTGATCCGATTGACTGGAATACCTGCCAATGCACAAAAATTAGCCAAATCTAGCCTGGCTTTTTGTGGTCTAATCTCTTCTACGAGTTGAGGCAGAGATCAGATTCTCTTCTGTCTCTCTCCTCTGCAATGTTACCTTCCTGATAATAAGTTTGTTCTCCAAAATAGGAGAACACAATGTTTCTAAACTTTGTTTTAAGCAGAAATATAGATTATGATTTTAAATCTCCCTAGAAGGATATACTTAATCCCAAAGGAGTATGACAACAATTTTGTAATTTCTCAAATCTGGGTGTGCAGGAACTTGTATGGAGAATCATTGGTTGTGTTCCCTGTTGGGGAAATAAGTGGGCAGGGAAAGTCTCCGCCTTGATATTTTGCATGGACTGAAGGCTTCTGTAGCTGTTTTCCTACGAAAAGTTTCTTTCTATAACTTCAAAGATAAATATTGATTATTATTTTTAGAATACGGGTACTCTCACTTTATTGCAAAATTCCTCTTAAAGCAATTGTTTTTCTAATATATTCTTTATTTTCCTGTGAATTAAGCAAAAAGAAATGTTGATGCAACTATAGGAGAGTGACAAAGATGATTATTTAGGAACTCATGGTGAATGTTTTTCCTCTTCTTGTGACTCCAAAACCCATGTGTAACACAGGTCCAATTCATGTAAGTTACTCTTCAGCCTGTATATTTTGTTAATTTAATAAGAATACCCTTTCCATATATGCGAGGAAGGGAGAGAGAGAAAAGGAGAAGTTGGAGGAAAGGAAAGAAGGAAAAGTGAGAGCAGTAAAGAGGCAGAAGAGGGAGATGGAAGAGAAGGTAACAAAATGTTGTGGTGGCTCACACCTGTCATCCCAGCACTTTGGGAGGCCAAGGCAGGAGGATTGCTTAAGCTCAGGAGTTGAAGACCAGCCTGAACAACATAATGAGACCCCATCTCTACTAAAAATAATAATAATAAAAAAATTACTCAGGCATGGCAGCATGTACCATGGTGGCGTAGTCCCATCTCCTCAGGAGGCTGAGGCCAAAAGATGACTTGAGCCCAAGGGATTGAGGCTACGGTGAGCCGTGATGGTGCCACTGCATTCCAGCTTGAGTGACAGAGCAAGACCCTGCCAAAAAAAAAAAGAAAAAAAATGGTGGGAGTGAGTGGAATAATGTCAGAGGGTCTGTCTCCATGTGGAAGCTCTGTTACTAAAGCTCTTTCAATGCCATGTTTGTCAATTGTTTTACTATCTACATGGACATTCTGTCTCCCCTTAAGTAAAGACGCCTGTCGCGATCTCGCGCTCCTTCCTGTTCTTTCACTGTGCACCTGAGTAAGCCCTGCCACCTTTAGTTTCAGCTGTCAGCTGTGCATGCTCCTGTTGTCCCAAGTCCACGCTAACTTCAGCACATCTGTCCCTGGAACTCTAGACTTCTCTTTTCAACTGATTCCAGGCCATTTTTACTCAGACATCAGCTCACCCATAACTCAGATTTTCATAATTGAAATTGAACTTATTCTCTGATCCCTGTCTTTCCATTTGGAATTTCACAGGTAATTTGATTATCTAGTCTATCTGACTGGAAGCCCCCCTCACCGATCTCCTTACTACCCATAATCAATAGGTTAAGAAGCCCTGTTCATGTTAATTCCAAGAATTCCTTCTTTACTTTTTGCTTTGTTTTGAAAATAGTATAACAAGGTAAATAACTGAATACAGGTAAGCAAAATAAGTGAAATGGATAGATGGGAAAATCACAACTAGGAAAATACAAACCATTTCATATTAGAAATATTACTTATTTTTTCCAGGATTTCTGAAAAAAAATAATAAAAAAAAGAAAAACTATATTTAAAAGTATACATATATATGTAATGATAAAGATTTCAATATGTTGCGCCTTCAATACTGTTATTGACTTGATAATAAAAGTTGTGAATGTACTACTTTTATAAATGACAGACACTCTAAATTTTAAAATTGGTTTAACATTTTTAGCTGGCCACTGCGGTTCCCCAGACCCGATTGTGAACGGTCACATTAGTGGAGATGGCTTCAGTTACAGAGACACGGTGGTTTACCAGTGCAATCCTGGTTTCCGGCTTGTGGGAACTTCCGTGAGGATATGCCTGCAAGACCACAAGTGGTCTGGACAAACGCCTGTCTGTGTCCGTAAGTGCACTCTTTGTGGACGAATTCATCGATGCTTCCTTTTGCCACATTGTCTTTTGTTATTAGGTCACAATATACACCTGTTTAATCTTCACTGTAAAAGGGAACAGCAAACTTTCAGTTTTGCCTATACAAAGAAAGAGAACAGGAGAGGTGCCATGTTCACGCTTTCCTTTTTTGATCTCCTTCCCGTTTTGTTTCCTTCAAACTCCTTTTCCTGACTCCACATTTAATTTGCTTATCAATTCATTGTAAATGGATCCCTGGCCAAGTGGTGTCATGGATTCCTCCTCCTTGATTTTATCACAGGATAAACTGGGTGGAGAGAAAAGCTGATAGTAGGAGGGTGGAGGTGCAGAGTCTGGGTCTGCTGGGCAGCTTTGCAGTCCTAGAAACAGCGGCACTCCCTGCCTCATCCGTGTTGCATACATTTTTGTCATTGCTTCGTCAAGAATATAGGGAGTTTTGTAAGCATTCTTTCTTTTACTTGAAAGAGGTAAAATTGGCCAGGCGTGGTGGCTCACGCCTGTAATCCCAGCACTTTGGGAGGCTGAGGCAGGTGGATCACCTGAGGTCAGGAGTTCAAGACGAGCCTGGCCGATGGCAAAACCCCATTTCTACTAAAAATACAATAATTAGCCTGGCATGGTGGCATACATCTGTAATCCCAGCTACTAGGAGGGGCTGAAGCAGGAGAATTGCTTGAACCCTGGAGATGGAGGTTGCAGTGAGCAGAGATCGTGCCGCTGCACCCCAGCCTGGGTGACAGACCAAGACTCTATCTCAAAAAAAAAAAAAAAAAAGGGAAAAAAAAGAAAGAGGTAAAATTACATGTAATGAATGATCAACCTTGAGCTGTATAACTTCAGCGATAAATATTGTAAATATTGACTATTTTTCGAACAATGTACTCTCACTTTATTGCCCAATTTCCCTTAAACCAATTGTTTTTAGAAATATTGTATATTTTCCTATGAAGTAGACAAAAGAAATGTGGATAAAACAGTGACAAAGATTATCTGTAATAGTGATGTGAAAAATGTACAAAGTTCACGGGTAAAAGCTTTACTTATAGGAAAAAAATTGTTGACAAGATAAATGAGGAAGAAAACACCAGTTTTATGACTGTAGTGTGTTTCTGTTGAAAGGGTGAATGATGGATATCTCTCCCTGATCTGTCTTGCTGTTATCTGGGGCATGACATATTGACAGTTCACTGCATTTCAAAGGATCATATGACAGAGATTCTCAACAAAAATAGGAGCTGAGTGTGCTTAGTTATTTTGCTAATTTCATGATGTGTAAATTGATATTGCAATAATTTATACATGGACATTAAAAAGTATCAGACAAATCCCATACTGTCTCAAAAGGAGGGTTTCACAGAGTCAGCTGGTGTGTATGGAGAAAATGTTCAAAACTCATGATTAATACAAGAATTTTTAGCATCTCTTGTTTTTCACTGCTTCGTTTTTAAATCATTTGGTATTCTGTCATGATTCAAGAGAGAAATAATAATTATGATGGTAAAGAAAGCGTGTTTGGCAGGTGTTTGTTATTTTCCACAATTATATTAAAAGCCTGTAGTGTCAGCCTGTGGTTGTAGCTCCCAATATTCCCTTCTGAATATAAATACCATCTGTAAGCTGCCTGGTTAGTGGAAAACCTTCAGTCCATACCGTTAGCATGCCTGCATGTTTCTTATTAATAATCCCAAGGGAAAGTGATGACCTGTTCAATATTTAACAATGACGTTGACCTGTCTCTCTACAGCCATCACATGTGGTCACCCTGGAAACCCTGCCCACGGATTCACTAATGGCAGTGAGTTCAACCTGAATGATGTCGTGAATTTCACCTGCAACACGGGCTATTTGCTGCAGGGCGTGTCTCGAGCCCAGTGTCGGAGCAACGGCCAGTGGAGTAGCCCTCTGCCCACGTGTCGAGGTAGGAACAGCATCCAGGAATGAGCCCTTTGCTCTGAGAGTGTTCTAGGCTGCCCAGTAACACCATCAAGAGCCTGTCTCCATGAATCAAGGGTAATGCATAAAGAGTTCTGCAAACTCTCACCATTCAGGTGTGAAAGCATTTCTGAGAGTAAGCACAAAGCTCTCCATGGCTTTTTCCTGTCTCGTGGCCAGATGTTCAATTACGAAAATCTAGAATTATCTCCCTTAAAGATAACTCATCTTCTATTTCTCTTTTTATTCATGTATTTACACATTTATTTCTACCCTGTATAGTTAGCATTTGGGGGCCATTATGCTTCTAATTTTATGACTGTCTTTACGAAGTTCTTACTGTTTTAAATTTTCAATTATTTATTTTTTGATTCATTTCTTTAAACGTAGTCACAGAGACCTCTGCTAAATCTGAGTTTCCAAGAAAATTGTGTTCTTTTTTGCATTTCTAGATGTTTGAGCTCATGATGTTTAAGATTTCATTTCAATTACTTTCCATTACAACATCACTCTTATTGGTGGTGTATTGTACTTTAGTGTGAAGGGCAAGTATTTTTTATGGTATTAAGATGAAATTGAAGCCAGGAACTTATCAATGTCTCTTTCTCTGACAAGAACCTCTCTTATCCTAGGGCTCCCACGGGAGCTATCTTCAAATAAGCTGATAGCAGAGTGGGAACCCAAGTCATTTAAAAAATGATTAGAAGTTGTATAGAAGTTGGCTACTCAGCTGCAGAGTTCTGGCTCAGGTCTAAATTGGAGGTCTTGGCGTAAGCTCAAAGGCTAAGTAAAGACTCCTACCTCTGTTTCCCCCTAAAATACTAGTCACTGTCAGGATCAGAATGCTTGGGTTTTGACCAACACACTGATGAAACCCAGTTCACTCAACTAACCACAGTGCAGAATGCAAAGGAAACCAGAGTGAGGGGGTGAAGCCAGTGCCCCTGCCTCCGCCGAGCCCCAGCCCCTGACCAGAGGAGGGAACCACCCCAGCTTAAGAAGCCCAGGGACATTGGTCAGCCCCAGGTGCACAGGGGTGAGCTTGCTTCAATCACAGCTTTCATTGTATCCAAACATGGTCTCCCTCCAAAAATAAAAACAGAGAGAGGAACATGGTTACTGATTTCACCTGAACTACAACTTTTCTTCTTCTTTCATTGTATTTGTGTTTGTTTTTTCCTTTAATAATTACATGGGAAATATCTGATGTGCAGAATTAGGGTTGAAATGATCTCTTTCACTTTAGTTTCACAATCACGAGAAATAAGAGGAGATGCAAAACACTGCTGTGTTCTCATTCTAGCATAATTCAATCTTTTTGGCAGTTGAACTCTTATGACTGACAACTGTGCAGTGGTGTTTTAGGAAGTATGGAGCAGGGCCTAGCAAAATATGCTCTGGAGCTCAAGAGAGCTAGCGGTGACTCTTTGTGGAGGCCGCAGGACTCCATACGGAGCAGAGCTGAGTTTACTGCACAGGCCTGATACTTCCAGAGTCAAACATGCCTCACCCTGCCCTCAGCTCCTCACAATCGTGTGTGCGTGCATTAGCAATATGCTTCATTTCTTTACTTAATAACAGCATTATCTCAGTGAAAATCTAACATTGGAGGTCTTGTGGGTGATTATCCTGATAAGAAGCTGATCTAATGTGTAGTCTCTCATTTTAAAAAATATTTCAGCTCAAATATGTTAACATTATGTTTTAACATGGTAAATTACTAAATTACGTGTTTATATGGAATATGTAAAATATGTCATATGTTCAGTATGTTATTTTTTTGTTAGGATAAAATGTCATCAATTCTCTCTCTTTTTTCCCATTAAAGTCCTCCTTTTCTCTGTTGAATGAGTAAATACATTCATAATAAAATGTTTCATTTTGAGATAACTGTAGATTCCCAGGCAGGCACTAGGTATAATACAGAGAGGTCCTTTTTGTCCCCTACCCACTCTCACCCAGTGGTAGAATCTTGCAAACTTAGAGGGTATTAGACCAACCAGCATATGGACATTGATGTGGTCAAGATGGAGAATGTCCATTATCACTAGAATCCGCCTTACTCCGCTTATAAACACACCCACGCATCCCAACCTCATTCTTAATTCCTGGTATCCATTAACCTGGTCTCCACTTCTCTGACCTTCTCCCTTCAAGAATGTTATATAAATGAATGAAATCATGTGGTGTGCAGCCTTCTGAGATGGGCCTTTTTTATTCAACATAATTTTCCGGAGATTCATCCAAGTTGTGGCCTGTGTCAATAATTCAGTCCCTTTTTCCTGTGGAGTAGCATTTCATGGTACAGATGTAACAGTTTTTTTCACCATTTACCCATTGAAGGACGTCTGGGTTGATTCCAGACTTTGCTGTCACAAACAATGCTGCTACGAGCTGTTATGAACACGATTTTGTGTGGTTATAAGTTTTCATTTTTCTGGGAAAAATGCCCAAGAGTGTAAATGGTACTGGCACATACGGTATTTGCAAGTTTAGTCTTATAAGAAACTGCCAAGCATTTTTCCAGCATGGCGGTACTATTTGTCATCCCTACCCAACATGTGTGGGCGATGAAGTTTCTCTACATCCTGTCCAGCATTCGGTGCGGTCACTCTGTCTTATTTTAGCTTTCTTGATAGATGTGTGGTGATAGCTTTCTGTGGTGTTCACTTGCAATTTCCTGATGGCTAACGACGTGAGTACCTTATCTGGTGATTATTCCCATCTGTACTCTTCAGTGAAATGTCTGTTCATGCCTTTTGCTCACATCCTAATGGAATTGTTTGGATTTTTTTGTTTGCTTTTTAAGACTGAGTTTCAAGAGTTCTTTATTCTGTGTAATAGTCATTTGTCAGGTATATGATTCGCAGAATTTTTCCCAGTCTCTCGTTTGACTTTCATCCTCTTCACAGGGTCCTTTGAGCAGCACAAGTTTTAAATTCATCGTCTTTTCTTTTTCTGGGTCATGGTATTGATGTCAAGTCTAAGAACTCTGCCAAGACCTAGATCTTGAAGTGTTCCTCTATTTTGTCTATCACTTTGCATTTGATATATTTTAAAGTCTGTGATCCATTTTGTGTTAATTTTTGTATAAAGTCTGAGATTTAAATAGAGTTTCACTATTCTTTTTTTAACCTATGGATATTCAAGAGATATTGGTTTTAATATGGTAATTTATTAAATTACAAAGGAACATTATCAGGAAGGGCTTCTATGTTTCTAACCCAAAATAAAAAAATTAAAAATTGAATGATAAAGATGTCTATAAATAATTTTCTGAATTAGATTTTTTAATTAATTGATCCTATAAAAACTTTACTGTGTGTTTCTATGTAGCTATACTCACTTTCCATATAAAGATAAAACATTGATGGCTTTAATTTCTACATTTACCACATATGAGTTGTTTTTCATAAAAGTTTTAGTCTTTTAGTCAAAAAGCATCCGTTTTCCTCTGTAAAACATGGCAGTGGTATCACGTGAGTGGGCACGATGGCGTGTGGGGAACTGGTGCTCATTTTGGGAACTTTCCACTGCCCCGGCTGAGTTGTCCGCATGACATCAGCACCTGCGTCCTCACCACAGCAGCAACAACAGCAGGTGCACACTTCTGTGTGTGGGGAAAGAATCCACCCACTGCAAGGCAATGTTACTCTGAAAATGCTCATCCATCAATTCCCTTTAATTGTATGTCTCGTAGAATGACCCAAATTGACCATCAGCAATCAGTACACACGAGGTCAACTACTTAGGCTACTTCTTTGGTTGTTTGAATGTTGTTTTCTTACTTTCTTTCTTCCTTCTTACTTTCTTTCTTCTTCTTGCTTTTTTTTTTTTTTTTTTTTTTTTTTGAGATGGAGTTTTGCTCTGTTGCCCAGGCTGGAGTGCAATGGCGCCATCTCAGCTCACTGCAACTTCCGCCTCCAGGGTTCAAGTGAATCTCCTGCCTCAACCTCTCAAGTAGCTGGGATTGTGCCAATATGTCCAGCTAATTTTTTTTCTTTTTTTTTTTTTTAGTAGGGATGGGGTTTCACCATGTGGGTCAGGCTGGTCTTGAATTCCTGACCTCACCAAAGTGCTGGGATTACAGGAGTGAGCCATTGCACCCAGCCTGTTTTCTTACTTTCAGAACAACCGTTGACGATAACATCACGAGCCTTGTCTGCTTTCTTCAATGCAGGGGAGTAACTCCAGGCCAGATTGAAGTCATAAGGGCCGAGACGGGAGCTGTCTTCATTGTGGCACTCAGTCTACGTCCTAAAACTTTAGCCACGCTCGTCTTTTAAAACATTAGAAACAAAACCAAGAGCTTCCCTTTGTATTTTACACTAGAGGATTAGATCTATACGTCCCGGGAGACCTTTGAGTGCTTCCTTCATTTTAATGAAAATTCAGCTTTATTCTTGCTTTTGATGAAAAAAAGATGGATCCTTCTCAAATAATTGGAAGCCGACTTCCTAAAAAATATTTTTAAAGTAGATCCAGTTGGCATCTGGGAGACGCTGAGAGTTGGGCTGTGCTTTGCCTCTGCCTCAGTGCCCTGACACTCCTCTTTTGTAATAGGATCAGGAAAGTGATGCCGGACAGGGGCAGACAGTAGCCCCCTCTGCTGCAGTTTACAGGATATTGGCAATAAATGCATTGAAGGAGGAAAATATAACCTTACCTTCAACAAGGGGGATGATTTAGAAAACCCAGACAGGCAATCCACACCCATTTGTTGCTTCAAATTTTGGAAAAGTGTCTCCAATTTAAAAGGACTTCACTAACTAGAAGTGGCCTTTATACATTGTTCTTAGTTTTAAAACGCACGTAAAATTTCACATAAGTGTATATAAAGGGAAGCAGTTTTTAATGAGTAAAAAAAATCTGCTTTGGGATTCACAAGTACTGGATGAAGCTCCAACACATGATATTGGACAATCCTTTCTTTCAGTGTTTATTTTATTCTTGAGATAAAATTCATCCAGGCATAGTGACTCATGCTTTTAGTCCCAGCACTTTGGGAGGCTGAGGCAGGGAGATCACTTGAGTCCAGGAGTTTGAGACCAGCCTGGGCAGCATAGTAAAACTCAGTCTCTACAAAAATTAGCCAGCTGCGATGGTAGGTACATGCCCGTAGTTCCACCTACCTAGGAGGCTGAGAAGGGAGGATCCCTTGAGCCTGGGAGGTCAAGGCTACAGTGAGCCAAGACACGGCACTTCCAGCCTGGGCAACAGAGCAAGACCCCATCTCAAAAGAAAATCAGATGGCATAAAACTAGACCTAGTTTGCTGGGCATGGTGGCTCACGCCTATAGTCACAGCACTTTGGGAGGCTGAGGCGGGCAGATCACGAGGTCAGGAGTTCGAGACCAGCCTGACCAACATGGTGAAACCCCCCTCTCTACTAAAAATACAAAAAAATTAGCCAGGTGTGGTGGTGCACACCTGTAATCCCAGCTACTCAGAAGGCTGAGGCAGGAGAATTGCTTGAATCCAGAAGGCAGAGGTTGCAGTGAGCCAAGATCACGCCACTGCACTCCAGCCTGACTGACAGAGCGAGACTTCATTAAAAAAAAAACAGCAACAACAACAAAGCAAATCAAAACTCGACCTAGTTAACCGTTCTAAAGTGTGCAGTTCAGGGGCGCTTTCGCCATGACCATGTTGTGCAACCATCACCTCTGTCTAGTTCCCAGATGTTTCATCACCCCAAAACAAAACGCTAAGCCCATAAGCAGTCCCCATTTCCCTACTCCTCTACCTCCCAGCAATGAGTGTGGCATGTGTGCATGTGTGTGTGCATGTGTGTATGTATGTGTGCATGTGTGTGTTCATGTGTGTGCATGTCTGTTCATGTGTGTGCATGTGTCTGTGTGTGCATGCATATGTACTATTCATGCATGTGTTTCTTTTAAATCATGTGAATGTAATTAAGATAAATATTGAAAGAATTGCTATACATACACACTAAAATTTTAAGAAGCTGGTTGTTTCTCATATGGAATATTTAAATCTGTTATGTTTATACTGATTTAACATATTTTTAAGCATCTGTACTTGACAGTAGAGTAGGAAATAACGTCAGGTTTTCGCTGTGTAGTCACCTTCTTAAACGAAATTTCCTGTGACTTTTGTACCCACTGCTTCTTTGTAATAGGTGGAATTTATTAAAAACAGCCCCATTTTCCCTCTGTGACTGTCCATGACTACTGCAGTTCTCAGATGGGAAATACAGCCATAGACCAAATGCTATTTATGTATTTAAACACAGGAATACTCTTTTCTGAACATCTATTACTTTCACAACGTTTGAATACTTCAGTGACTCATATTCACTCGCATTTTTGCTTTTTTTTAAAAAGGGTATGTTTCATTAATCAATTAATTAACAAGTTTTACTTTCAAAAATGTTTGCTCATAAGGAAATGGCAATTTTGAACCACGTCTGTTGTTAAAAAAATTCAAATTCCAGGTTGTTTTTTAAAGAAATGTTTTCTCTTCTCTGAGATTTTTCAAAAGTCTTAGGATAAGGCCATATCTGGCCTTTTAGAAAATGATTCTGGTTTCATTTTGATGAATATAAACTTTTGTACTTTTTATTATTTCCATTTAACTCATTGATTGCATTGCCAAAAAAATCTCCAACAGTGACAGTTTCATTCGTAGATGTATATTTAGTGTGTTTTAGTCCTTACCCTGTTACAGAAATTTAAATAATGTATATAACCTAAAAGCTCTAAATTTATCAGAGTGCCATGTGTATTAAGAAGTATTTTAGCATTGCGATTTTAAGTGGAAGAACATTGAGTGTCTTAATGTAGTTTCTACATAAAGTAATAAATACCCTTAATGACACACCCTAGAAATAATTGGCCTGTTGAAGGACAAGACAATAAGAAAATCACCTTTTAGATGATGTATATTGTATAAGGCTTTGCTGCCAAAAGATATGAGCCCAAGTTTATCTGAATTGGTGTATCTGCAGCAGCAGTCAATTCCTATTGCTAATATACCCTATGGAAAGCAATCTACAACTGAAGGGAAAAGATCACATTGAAATGTGGGAAAGGCGGTGAATGAAGAAAGACCAGAGCAGTTCTGCGCTTCCCTGGGATGATGCCTCTGACCAATAAGCTCAGCTAACAGATGCGAAGTTTCAAACTATCTCATTTGCTCAATACCTTGCATAGCTCTGGGCCCATGTGCTGTAGGTGAATACTTCTGAACAAATACATGGGGATTATCATCGCTTCTCGCTCTTCCAGGGTAGAGAGCATCTTACATTCATAACAAAATCCTCAAAGTTACTTTGTTCTCACTCTCCCCAGAAAGCAGGCTTCTATTGTGTCTTATTTAGGAGGGAGGAGGAATGGAATCGCTCACAGAGGTGTCCCTAGTTTCTTGCTCAAAACCTCCTGCTTTCGCCGATAATGTGGGTGGTCTGGTCAGCTTGAAAATTAGCAAGTCGATCGTATAGTCTATATAGGATTATTATATAATAATGGGTTCGTAGAGAGAGGCTCACTTGTAAAGTCAGGGGCTATGGAAAATGGGGGATGGGTTTAGGGGATACCCTGAAATGTGTCAACCGGAGCTGAATGAAATCTTGTCCCACTGTCTCTAGCACCAGGAGGCTTTGCTATACATGAAATATTTATTGCACACTGTGCTAAATATGGCTGAAACAATCACGTTAACTCATTCAGTTCTCAGAGGAATACATGAAATCCGCACATCTACAAGAAACTATGAGGACCGGAATGGCGATGGGAAGACAGATATTAGTGTCAGCCTCTTGCTCATGCAGCTGCAAGGACTTAAGGAAAGATTCAACAGCTTTAATCAAACTCTTTTCTCTTCCTTGTGTGACAGAAAATAAATTGCATGACTGAAGGAACCATTGAGAATGAATGTCCACAAATGTTGTCCCAGTTACCTCCACACAGGGGGACAGCATAATTATGTCTTCACGTCTTAGGTGTATCAGAACATTCTGTATCCATCCCCCTAGAGCCTTCTAGGCCATGCAATGCCACATTTGTTGAGCACCTACTATATCCCAAATGATGTGCTAGACACCATCAATACAATTATTCGTGTCTTTAAGTAGATAACTATGCAGACGACCAGAGGAGTTTGCTAGCTAGGAAGACTCACCCAATCTGCCGTGGCATCTGTGCATTGGACACAAAACTTGTTCTTGCAGAATGAGAGATTAACTGAACTCAAAAGAGTGGGCTTTTAAGTATGAAAAGCTTTTTTTGTATGTAGGTTCCACTTTCTTCTAATTTATCCCAAGGAAGAGAAGAAGAAATTAAAAACACCTCATATTTATTCATCATTCTCTGTATCCCAGATACTGTCTCTGGTCCACTAGATACCATGTCTGTTGCACAGCTTAAACAAATTCGTTGATGCATTTTAAACTCTTCAGGATTAATGTAGCCTTTGTTTTTTAAACTTCTTGCCTTTTCCTAGAAAAATAGAAACAAACTTAATTTTAAAAACTGCTTTTTCAAATATATCTGATGAAGCAGGGGATGGAGGAGGAGGTTAATGGACCATCATTGGCATGTCATGTTGATTAGAAGTGCCTGGATCATCCCTAGCTGTCTGCCTGCTTTAGTTTTCTATTATTCCATTTTGTTTTGTTTTGTTTTGTTTTATTTCAGAACTAAGATTCAATCTAGTACACAGAATTTATATGCATGTTATTAAAACAGGAAAAAACAATATTTCAAAGAGGACAGACTCATAAAGATGGTGAAGCTTCAGGAAACAATG
The DNA here is from genome assembly GCF_000001405.40 of Homo sapiens. NCBI lineage: Eukaryota > Metazoa > Chordata > Mammalia > Primates > Hominidae > Homo > Homo sapiens. The sequence goes on along the minus strand of NC_000008.11, from coordinate 2,989,227 downwards.
GCATAAAACTCAAAAACCTCAAGTTAAAAAAAAGCAGCTGAACAAAATTGCCAGGGATTCTTGCTGTTTACTGCAATATGGTCTGATTCTTACTGTGTGTGCTTTTTAAAATATTCTCACAAGAGTTGTAGGCTGTTGTATCTCACATAAATGTGCTGTTGTCTTTGCATTCTTTTCCTAACTACTTCCTAAGATTCTCAAGTGTGTAATCTGGAGGACTCATTGAGTGTGACCCTGGTGCAGCACTTAGTTAATGGCACAAAACAGAGACCCCATCCCACATTTTGAAACAGAGCCCCAGGTAAATCCGTGCTACTGTGAGGCGGAATTAGACACAGATTTCTACAACATCCACCTCACCCTGGGTAGCCTGCTTATTCTCAGGTTCAACCCTTCACAGGATGCAGCTCTATCCAGCCCTGCAGTGCTTGTGATCAATTAGAAAACTCAGATTTAGGAGACTAAAGAAAATTCATTATACTCAACCCAGTAACACTATCTTTGCATATAAGATTAAAAAATAAATAAAAGAAGGTATCCCTTTTATTAGTAGTAGTATCTTTCTGGATGAAATAATTTATACAGTTGAAGATGTCATAAGAAGGAATGAAAACAAGCATCTTCAGGTTTATTTTGAGAATCACATTTTCCTACTCTCCTGGAGGCCCATATTTCCCTAGAGGAGCTTTCTTGGAAACTTTGTCCCCTATTCTAAACTATGTGTCACTATGCCTAAGAGTTGAGCCAGTTCAGTGAGGGACCAGTTAGATTTACCAGGTCTCACATCGTTTCAGGATGATTCACATACTGTTTCCCTGCTTTGTCTAATAATTTGTGTATTGCATGCAAACATTAAGATATTGTTTTTTCTTTTCTTTCATAATTTTATAGGATTGGGTGTTTAGACACATGTAAAACATGTGTCCAGATATGCTTATGTACATAAGCATAAAGAAAATTAAGAAAATATGGGGTTAGTGAATGTTCTGTTAGGGTAGAGGAATCAAAAAGGAAACAACCACAAAAACTTCACTAAAGAATCATTATGGGTTTAGTTGTACTAAAGTGTTAATGAAAAATGGGATATAATAACATATTCTCAAAATGTTAAAATAGTAAAATTTTAAAATTAAAGGAAATGTAAGCTAATGTTAAAATAGCTAAAATAGTTATTTTAATAACTGGGGAAAATAGGTTTTAGGAAAAATAGCTAACGCATGCGGGGCTTAATACCTAGGTGATGGGTTCACAGGTGCAGCCAACCCCCATGGTACACATTTACCTATGGAACAAACCTGCACATCCTGCACATGTATGGCAGAACTTAAATGAACCAATTGCAGTGATGTGACTTAACAAAGCTCCTCTTGGGCTTAAGGAAGTGGATGGGAAGGAGCTTGTCAAGAGCAGGAGGTTGGTGTGAGCCCAGGGACCCTGAGACTCCAGTCTCCCCGAAGCTGCCCTTATGCGCGCCGCTGGCAGGGTGTGTCCCCTGGCACAGAGGGAAACGGTGATGAACCCGCATCACTCTTGTGCTTAGGGAAGGCCCCTCTTATGGGGGCATTCATCCTCCGATTTTATGTTAACTTAAAAGTCATGTGTTCATTTCTCATAATGCAGTGTACATTCCTTACAGCAAAAATTGTGAGTTATATCCGAAGAGAAGTACTGTATCAATCATCTTTCAAAATAGTAGTGAATAAGCTTTGATTTTTAGAAAAGGTATTGTAGATTTTATTGCATTTTATGTATTTCTTATATATATAGAAATATACTTCTTTATATATTTCTTATATATATTTATGTATATATTATATAGAAAGAAATATTTCTGTTTCTTATATACTTATATATTTCTTATTTATATATATGATGTATACACACATAAGCTTACATATAATTCCTATGGACTCTTTTATAACCTGCCTTTTTGTGTAATCATATATCATGAAGAATTTTTCATGTCAAGAATTATCCTTATAAAATTAATGCCTCTTTAATTAAAATTTTAATAGCTCAGAGAGTTAACTTGCCTTTCTTCTTGACCTGCAAATGCTAAATGCCCTTAATATAAGCTGTTTATTATTTTATCAGTAAAATATGATAGAAAAATACATCCAAAGCCTGGAAATAATATAGTCGGAGAGACCATTAAGAATTAGTTGTAACTTTGCCTTAGGGCTGAGTTAAAATCAGTTAAGAGGGAATGTACTTGCAAGAGTCTCTGAAGTCAAGATGTAAATATGATGGTGTAGAGAATTTGCATATGCCACTTCCTTGTGTTATTAGGTCGATGCAAAAGTAATTGCGGTTTTTGCTATTGCTGTAGTAAAAACCGCAATTACTTTTGCACCAAATTAATATTTCCTGCAATGTTTTTCCTTTGCATTAGGCATATTTTCTTTGGTAAAAAATGAACTAGAGAGCCGGGCGCGGTGGCTCACGCCTGTAATCCCAGCACTTTGGGAGGCTGAGGCAGGCGAATCACGAGGTCAGGAGATCAAAACCATCCTGGCTAACAGAGTGAAAACCCGTCTCTACTAAAAATACAAAAAATTAGCTGGGCGTGGTGGTGGGCACCTGTAGTCCCACCTACTCGGGAGACTGAGGCAGGAGAATGGTGTGAACCCGGGAGGTGTAGCTTGCAGTGAGCTGAGATCGCGCCATTGCACTCCAGCCTGGGTGAGCCAGAGTGAGACTCTGTCTCAAAAAAAATAAAAAATAAATGAACTGGGGAAAATATTAATATCTGTGTAGGCCTTAGAGGGAGTGTTGCTGAGTAGAGAAAACACAGTCTTAGGGGTTGATCTGATATGTGTTTGCACCCACACCACCTAGTCCTAGCTGCAGGTCTTACAGTTCATGCTCGACTTCCTGGGAGAACAGCAGTTTTCTTAGATGAAGAATCAAGGAAGTGGTAGCCACAGTACCCTCTTCATAGGTTTTTGAGAGCTCTAGATAAACCAATGCTTGGCCAAGTGCCTGGCAGACAGTGAGTCCTCAGGGAATCTGAATTTCCTCTTCAAAGTTTATATTATCGCAGGAAAGTCAGGCAATCAATTACAATTGTCAATTACAATAAATTATAACGTATTTCTTTTATCACACCTAAAAGCCAAAACTATAGCTGTAACCTGGTTATCAGTCCCTCCCTCCCTTCTTTCCTTCCTTCCTTCCTTCCTTCTTCTATGGAGACGGTTTTCTCCCTCCCTCCCTCTCTCCCCTTCCGCTTCCCCTTTCCCTTCCCCTTTCCCTTCCCCTTCCCCTTCCCCTTCCCCTTCCCCTTCCCTTCCCTCCCCTCCCCTTCCCTTCCCTTCTTTCTTTTCGATCACAATATGCAAAGAATGTAGAAGGAGCAGTTCAGAAGCCACTGGGGCCTCCTGGAGCACATTTCCGGTTTCCTTGTAGAATAAATTGAAAGTACCAGACCCGTCCACCTGTTGCTCCGGGCAGCTATTGTTAAGACAAAGCAACTTCTTAAGGCCTTGCCTGATTTCCCACTGAGCTCCTTGAGTGAAGCTGAGTCACCCTCTCCTATGACTTTCTTCCTTGTATGTCAATCAGTTGACAATGTTTGTTTGAACAGTGCCCTTTAAACTTTATCAGTTATACTTCATTGAATATTTTTTTTAAGAAAAGTAAAATTTCAGAAGAAAACTATAAGGAGTATTGCCTATATATTGCCTATGCATTGTGTAATTTAGTGACTTTGTATAGAACCTTTGTAAGGAAAGTGGTGAAACAGTGTAGCAGTATCACACCAGTCTCCTCCCTCACGTGGTGAAACAGTGTAGCAGTATCACACCAGTCTCCTCCCTCACGTGGTGAAGCAGTGTAGCAGTATCACACCACAGTCTCCTGCCTCACGTGGTGAAACAGTGTAGCAGTATCACACCACAGTCTCCTCCCTCACTTACATGTGGAAATATCATGTGTTTTGCGTGTTCCTGAACTAGGCAGAAGCTAGTGATACAGGCATGATGGGGCCACAGGATTCTTTTTGAAAACAAAATAAAGCTTTGAACATGGTATATTTCCAGTCTGCTTACAGAATTAAGGTTTCTATATTCTGTACACAATTTTTGTGACATAAAAATTGTGTCACAGTTTATATTGGGACGTATATTGATTTTGAGTCGCTTTGAGGCCAATGATGGTCTTAAAATAATGGTTTTTCTGCCAAAATTTTAAGCTCAGGTCTGATTTGTTCCAGTATCTGTTCAGAGTTAACTGTTAACTTAAAATTCAAACTTAAAGAAGTTATACTTTAAAACATTTTCAATGTATTTTTTAAGTTGGGTATGTAAACCTCTTGTCCAGGTGATGTGTAGTCAAACGTGTTGGATTAAATACGTGCATAAATATGTGTGAGTTAAAAAACACCAACAGAATCTGAAGTCGATGGTGGTATGGACGATTGAAAAGTTTATTACCTCCAAACCCATGTGCTTTGCACGGGATGCTGGGCTTGTTGGGATTCCTGACTTCCTAGACCCAAAATTACCACTATGTGTCTCTGACAACTTCTATTTGCTCATCTTCGCTGGCCGTTCATCCAGCACTCATGAAGTAAAAGAATGAGGCGAGGCGCGGTGGCTCATGCCTGTAATCCCAGCACTTTGGGAGCCCAAGGTGGGTGGATCACGAGGTCAGGAGTTCAAGACCAGCCTGACCAATATGGTGAAACCCTGTCTGTACTAAAAATACAAAAATTAGCCGAGCATGGTGGCGGATGCCTGTAATCACAGCTATTCAGGAGGCTGAGACAGGAGAATCTCTTGAACCAGGGAGGCGGAGGTTGCAGTGAGCCAAGATAATGCCACTGCACTCCAGCCTGGGCAACAGAGCAAGACGTGGTCTCGGGGGAAAAAAGAAAAAGTAAATAAATAGCCTCAACGCACAGGTTTCTTTAAATCCCATGCTCCTCCCAGCATCCTACCTCTCCCTCCTGTGCGTTTGCTCGGCTCCCAGTCACTGCTGTTGAGGGTTGCCCCAGTGAGCAGAATTTGACAGACGTGGATCAGACGTTTCCTGTGAATCCGATTTGAGGCAGCGACATAAACGGATGGTCTCTCAGTGCACCTCCAAATGTATGGAAAGTTAGTTGCCTTTTATTCTCAGAATGTCACTCACAGCCATTTAAAAACAGAACTTGCACTAAGTTGGTTTTATTTTTTTTCTTAGTAATTAACAGTTTTCTATTTGCTCAGGGAACAGGAGTTACCAGTTCATACTGTAACAGTGTATTTCTGCCAATTTTGCTTAATATTAATTTTTAATTTCACATAAAAGCTTAGCCCATAGCATTTAGCTTTTAAAGTTTAATCTGACAGTTTCGATTTTACTTTTCCTTTTTGTATAATAATTATATTGAAATTTAAAAACTAAGCTTTATTTCCATGGTTTGCCTTTCAAAATCAACACACATAAGAACAAATTTGGCCCCAGGCAGAGCTTCTACAAAAATAAGAAGTTAGGCACGACCTCGATCATAGTTGCTTATACTTTCTTTAAAAACTATTGTGCTTGTAGGAAAGAGTGCTGATGCCAAAGACTGGGAAGTGCTTTACTTTGGGTTACGATTAGATTTACAATTTTTTGCCAAATTTTGGATATACAAGTGAAAGTCCACGGTTCTGCTCTAATCATCTCAGAGCCTTCAAGTAAAGCCTTATCTATAATTATCGTTAAGTAATACATTTTAATGAATAAATAAATGAAGTTAAAAATATACAACAGAAAGACTGGGCGAGGTGGCTCACACCTGCAATCCCGGCACTTTGGGAGGCTGAGGCAGGCGGATCACGAGGTCAGGAGATAGAGACCATCCTGGCTAATACAGTGAAACTCTGTCTCTACTAAAAATACAAAAAATTAGCCAGGCATGGTGGCGGGTGCCTGTAGTACCAGCTACTCGGGAGGCTGAGGCAGGAGAATGGCGTGAATCCAGCAGGTGGAGCTTGCAGTGAGCCGAGATTGTGCCACTGCACTCCAGCATGGGAGACAGAGCAAGACTCCATCTCAAAAAAAAATATATATGTATGTATATATATATCAGATATAGATTCTGTTTAATATAAGAACTGATTATAAAAAGTTTTTCTGAGAACAACAGATGGAACTTGGAATTACATTATCTAATTAAAAAACAGTTGAAGTGTTCACGGTGTTTCCTCATCACATAACAGGCTGGAATCGAATAGATACGAATCCTGCAAAGTTATGTTAGGAGTCGTCTGCCCGAAGAGCCCAGCATCTGTGCCATGGAGAGGACACCAGACTCTTATGTGATGCCCTGTTACTGCCCTTCAGCTTAGAGCCAAGCTGCCTATAAGAGACCAGCGTGCAGACAGGTGGCTTCGTTTCTATTGATCAACAGCTGGAGAAGGAACCTGGGATGGGAATTATCACGTTTCTCTGTCATTAGGGAGTTTTTCAGGAAAACACTGCCATTGCTTTGGGTTCTGGAAAGAAGCGAGGATGTGGAGCACACCTTGCTTCCTGTCCCCAAGAAGGGAATTAAAAGGGAAACACTGGTTAGTGAGCACATGGCAGGACAGGGCAGCTCCTGGAGGTGGAGCCGCGGTCATAGTGCGGGTGCTTTGCTGAGACCTACTACGGTGTGAGGCATGCCACGGGAACAGTGATCCCTCTTAGAGCTGGCAAAACTGCTCAAATAATTCACCATCAAATCTCAAAACACAGTGTTTTCAGGCTTCCTTCATCAGGCGATCAGTACGTTCACTTAACTGAGAATGGGGACATTACTGGATAGGAAGGACCTCCATGATCCTCAAGAAAGTTTGAAAGAGAATAAACAATAGGACCTTATGTTTATCCATATTTGCTTTTCGTTTGTTTGTTTGTTTTTTGAGACAGAGTCTCGCTCTGTCACCCAGGCTGCAGTGCAGTGGCATGATCTCGGCTCACTGCAGCTTCCGCATCCTGGGTTCAAGCAATTCTCCTGCCTCAGCCTCCTGAGTAGCTGGAATTACAGGCCCCTGCCACCATGCCTGGCTAATTTTTGTATTTTTAATAGAGATGGGGTTTCGCCGTGTTGGCCAGGCTGGTCTCGAACTCTTGACCTCAAATGATCTGCCCACCTTGGCCTCCCAAAGTGCTGGGATTACAGGTGTGAGCCACCGCACCTGGCCTGTTACCCATATTCGTATGTCAACTTGAGCATCTTTAAGAAGACATCTCTGAGTAAGGAGTGTATATAGAGTAGAGAAAATAGCTTAATGAGTCACCTCTAGAATCCTATCGAGGGCTAAGATTTCCAGCTGGTCCTCTCCAGGAAAAAGGGGTGGGGTGCAACTGGGATTCCTGTCACCAAGGAATGCTGATGCCTTTTATTATTATGCTATACCAGACATGTGTTCAGGAGTCCTGATTCTTATGTATTTCTAGTTCAATTGTCATTGTGACTTTGGACCTGTTATTGATCCCGGTATTAATTTCTTCTTTTACCTTTCCACATACCCAGCTTTCGCCACAGAACACAGCCTGTGTGTTCATTTGAACTTCTCCCTGCTGGGCTGAATGTATATAAGACATCATGTTCTCATTCCTTCCAGCTGACAAAATCCACGCTGAGCTGTATGTATATAAGACATCAGTGTTCTCATTCCTCCCAGCTGACAAAATCAGGTTCCATGTCAGGTTTTCACACTTGGAAATCAAGTCTTAGTGTATTAGGCATTAAGATGTTAAGATGAGGTGCAGCCGTCTAGAGTGAGCCTCTTTATTTCTTTCTGACGCATTACCCTATACTTAACAGCATGTCATGAACCAGGTCTGGAGTCGCTGCAGGTGGGCCTGACATATCTCCGCACCATGAACTTCACTGGCCATTTCTCCTTCTAGTTTACAAACCAATAGCTCACCTGTCACTCACATAAGCCTCTTTCCATCAGATCCCTGGATAGGAATTGTTCACATAGAAAATGACAAAACAAATACAGATGGGAAAGGTGCTTGTGTGGATTGGTTGGTCACTAACAAACTCTTCTGGCAGATAAATTCTTCTCTGTACAGTAAAACACACCCATTTGCAACAATGGTATGGAAGTTCTATCATGGACAAATAAATCAAATTATTCCTGCCCTGTTTTTCCTCCAGCACATAGTTGCAGCTGTATCTCCTATTGGAGCCTCAGAATTAAATAGGAAGGAACATAAAGAAAGACTTCTGACTGCAACTCTATGTAGGACTGAAAAGGTGCATGAGAAGATTTAGAGTATTTGTATCCATGCTTCTTCCATTTTAGGATCCACTGAGTTTCCCCACATGGGGCTCAAGGAATATTTATTGCTTTCAAACATTTTTTACTGCTCAAAATATTTTAAGGGTAGTGAACTAGGTAAAGGAAAGGGTAGGAACTTAGGGCTTAGCATTTTAATACACATCCTCCAAGCAATTCTAATGCAATGTAAGGTTGCAAAATGATTTACAAGAATGAGGGGTTTATTGTCTCCTGCGCACCTCTTTCCACGGCAAGAGTGACCCTTAAAGAGAATTTTAGTCCTTAGTTTCAGAGCAAGGTTATGAACCTCACATATTGTAAATTCCCCTTCACCAGCCGTGGTGGAACTCAGAGAACATTTGGTTCTCTGCCTGCAAGGAGAAGGGTGTGACTGGATCCTGTTGTTACTGCACCAGTAAATAAATGTCTGCCAGTGAACCTTTAAGAGAGGCTGGGCCAAAGAGAAGATGAAAATGATAAGGAGGAGGAGAAAGAGAAGGAGGAGGAGAAAGAGAAGGAAGAGAGGGATGGAAGAAGAGGAGGAGGAGGAAGAAAAGGAGGAGGAGAGGACAAGGAGGTGGAGGAGGAGAAGAAGGAAGAGGAGGAGGAAGAAAGGACACAGAGGTGGAGGAGGAAATGGAGGAGGAGGAGGAGGAGGAGGAGGAGAAATGGTGGCATCAGCTCAATCTGGCCTTTGGCATCCCGGGGCCATTTGGTTTCTCTCGGTCATCCTTAGTGGGAGATGGTCAAAGTCTTCCACTCATTTCTCCTAAGTGGCTTTCTCTGCTTTGATTACAAACACAGTTTGAAATTATTTTTGGACAGTCTCCTAAGAGCAACATAAGCACAAACATAAACACAAAAATATCTTTAGTGTTCCAGCCCGGGACTGTCCGTCTCCTTATGAAAGTATGGCATGGGGGAGCTGATTCCATCTCTTATGCTTGATGTAAGAATGGGACGATGTGGGTGTCTTCCAGGTTATACAAATAATCACATTTTCAAGTTAATTAGAATTTCTCACATTAGGTAATTCCTGCTATTTCAGAGATTTGGTTACAATTGTATTGCAGATACATGCCCTGTAGGGGCATGTACATGCCTTAAAAATTATTTGCCCGAACTTCACACATGGCTTTTTGTTTGTTTTGGCTTTTTTGATTCAAAAGAACTCAAGACTTTCTTCTGTAAACTCAGGGGTGTTTTAGGAAGCATAGAACATTATTCTACTGCACTAAAAGGGAACACTGTAAGCCTTGATTCTGCCCTCTGCCTTCCTTTTTTGAATAGAGAAGAAATAAAACGCACAGTTTGGGTACAGGGTTTGTCTTCAGCTTCTGGGACTCATGATGTGCAGAGGCCGCCCGAGATTCATTTGCACAGTGCTTTTCTGAGCCAGAAATATCTGGAGAGACTGTGGCCTCTGGAACAGCTGCCTCATTCACTGGTGGGGTGGGTCAAAGCATGAGGTAATCAGAGTTCTTTCTTTTCCTCTGCACCTGCAAAAGCACATCGCTAATTCCCTCACAGACGCCAACAGGCATTCAGGCTAATGCCTTTCAGAGGAACCACAGCATGTCCCGCATGCCGCAGAAGACTGCCTCACCACGGACCTGTTTCTAAAAGGAGAAGAGGCCTAAGTCAGAGGCTGGCTTGATTTGCATTTCTGTTAGGTGTTGATGGAATAATTGTCATTTTTAGTTGCGTTCTACATAGAGCAAAATTATTTTAGGCACACATATTAAAGCACTAATGCAAGTAGGTGTGTATGTGTGTTGGGGGGTAATTAACTGGTGTGCCACAGACTGTTCTAAAACACCACACTTGAGTAAAAATATTTAAACGAACCTCAGCTAGTTCTATTTGACCATTATTAGAACACAAAAACTTAACCAAGGAAACTAACTTCAGAATTTACGTTGAATAAACATTACTAGGAAATAGAGGAAATTAGCCTCACGTGAAAATTGCTATCGTGGTCGACCAGTTCTTGACACCTCTTGAAAAAGAGTGGTCCAAAGCGGAGAATTCATCGTGAGAGTGGAATTTCATGAGCCTCAGCCATCATGTTGTCAGTTTTTGAACTTTCTAAAATGATGAGGAATTCGCCTTCATTTCTGATCTATTTTGTTGTTATTTCTAGCTGTTTCTAAATGGTGTGTGAAATGTTTTATTTTCTAGTGGTGAACTGTTCTGATCCAGGCTTTGTGGAAAATGCCATTCGTCACGGGCAACAGAACTTCCCTGAGAGTTTTGAGTATGGAATGAGTATCCTGTACCATTGCAAGAAGGGATTTTACTTGCTGGGATCTTCAGCCTTGACCTGTATGGCAAATGGCTTATGGGACCGATCCCTGCCCAAGTGTTTGGGTAAGTCAGGGTTATTCCCAATTTCTGTGCAGAGACCCCTGCAAGGTCACCATCAGCAGAAAATTCCGTAAGTATATTTAAAAGGCACTGAATTTTAATTCCTTCTGTCCTCCCATCACCAATTGTAGGAGTTTTTATGATAGCTGTAGATCGAGTGGCCAGAAATCACCAAATACAACTTCAGCAAATTTGAAGGGTCGGGGGATGCTGGTATGCTCAGGAGAAATGACCCAGGTTATTGGATGCCACTTGGACAATGATGCCTTTATCTGTTTTTCTCATGGCTTGCCTTCAGCCTCAGCCTACCAGGTAGGCCTGGTCCACACAGCTCAGACACGGCAGCCAGGACCTCCCCGCCAGGCGTCTTACTCTCGCTCAGCCCAGGTGGGCGAAGTGCTCTGGTGTGGAGTTTCTGTCTGTTGACCTGGCATCTACGGCCAAAGAAGGGAGTGCTGTGAGACCTGATTGGGTTTTGTGAGCATTCCTGGTACAGTCCATGGTGACTACAATAAAAACCTCATATCCTTTGAGTATATACCCAGTAGTGGGATTGCTGGGTCAAATGGTATTTCTTATTCTAGGTCTTTGAGGAATCGCTACACTGTCTTCCAAAATGATTCAACTAATTTACATTCCACCAACAGTGTAAAATCATTCCTATTTCTCCACAGCCTCGCCAGCATCTGTTGTTTCTTGACTTTTTAATAATTGCCATTCTGACAGGCATGAGATGGTATCTCATTGTAGTTTTGATTTGCATTTCCCTTATGATCAGTGATGTTGAGCTTTTTTCATATGTTTATTGGCCACATAAATGTCTTCTTTTGAGAAGTGTCTGTTCATGTCCTTTGCCCACTTTTTAATGGGGTTGTTTTTTTCTTGTAAATTTGTTTAAGTTCCTTGTAGATTCTGGATATTAGACCTTTGTCAGATGGATAGATTGCAACGATTTTCATCCATTCTGTTGGTTGTGTGTTCACTCTGAGGATAGTTTCTTTTGCAGTGCTAAAGCTCTTTTGTTTAGTTAGATCCCATGATACATGCATGTGTATGTTCACTGCAGCACTATTCACAATAACCACACATGGAATCAACCCAAGTGCCCATCAGTAAAACACTGAATAAAGAAAACGTGGTACATACACACCGTGGAACGTGATGCAGCCATAAAAAAGAATGAGATTATGTCCTTTGCAGAGACATGGATGGAGCTTGGAAGCCATTATCCTCTGCAAACTAATGCAGGAACAGAAAACCAAACACCACAAATTCTCACTTATAAGTAGGAGCTGAACACATAGACACAGGGAGAGGACCAACACTCACTGAGGCCTGTCAGTAGGGTAGGGGGAGGGAGAGCATCAGGATAAATAGCTAATGCATATGGGGCTTGGTACCTAGGTGATGGATTGATAGGTGCAGCAAACCACCATGGCACACATTTCCCTGCGTAACAAACCTACACACCCTGCACATGCATCCCAGAACTTAAATAAAGATAAAAAATAAATGAATAAAGTTGTTATTAAATCTTTTTTTCTTTCTTTCTTTTTTTTTTTAAAAAAACCTCATATCCTGATAGTAATTGGCTTGTGAATTGAATCTTTAAATCAGGGGAAGGGATATGGCTCTGAAAAATGGATGTGTTCTTCTGGGCAGAGATAATTATAGATGATCCTTATGGCCCCTCTTACAGCTTTATTGTCAGTGTATTTTAGACCATGAAGATTAGCAAGAATATATCATTTTACCCAAATAGCCAAAGTGTTATTTTCTTTGACTTGAAAAAAAAATCAGATTGACTGTTAACTAAAAGAGAATCATGTCTTAAGATCATAGTCTGAAGATTTAGGAAAAGGTGTTACTCTCTTTAGTCTTTTTGAAATTAGGCAGAAGCAAAGCAATCCTTAAAATCAAAATCTGATCTTTGTCCTATGCATTTTACATCCATAAAGAAAGTGGAGGCCAGGTGCCGTGACTCACACCTGTAATCCCAGCATTTTGGGAGGCCAGGGAAGGTGGATCTCTTGAGGCCAGGAGTTCTAGATCAACTTGGACAACCTAGCCAGACTCCATCTCTACAAAAAATAAAATAAAAACTAGTGGGGCATGGTGGCACATGCCTATAGTCCCAGCACATTGGGAGGCTGAGGTGGCAGGATCACTTGAGTCCAGGAGTTACGATTGCACCACTGCACTCCAGGCTGGCCAGCAAACAAATCCCCATCTCTAAAAAAATAAAAATAGAAATGAGGAGGGAAATGGCACTTACATTATGAATCGGATCTACCACATACACAATAAAAGGGATAATGCCTCTTGCCTTTTCAGTTTTAGCACTGTGAAGTGTATTTTGAGAATGGGTTAGTGTTGCAGTTTTTTTTTTTTTCTCCAAGTGAGTTTCCCTCACATTCCTCTAATCTACACAGAAACTCATCTCAAATTCTAACTTCAACAATTCAATTAATTCCTGTGGAGAACGACAGTGGTAACTTTCAAAAAAATTCTCAGCCTTATTTAACAAAAAATGCATCTGTAAATGTGTTACGGTCTTCAAATTATGTCTGCATTCTCATCTTCCTTGCTTTCACACATGGGAATTTTTCATAGAAATTGGTTTAGTTTTGTTTTTGTCTGTCCCAGAACATTTCTTTTATGTCTCCACTGGCTTGTGTGAGACTTCCATTTGGTTTTGTACTGATGCTGATGTTCCTCAAGTCTCCAGGAGCTGGGGTTTAGCTGGCTCTCCTTTTCCGGGGTGGCCAGTTCACTCCGCTTGGTGTCATTAACAGTTGGAATTGTCGTCACTTTGGGAATCCAAAGATCTCAGGGTGCCTTTGCTTTTCCATGCTCTAGAGCAGCTGAGCTCCATGTCTGATTTTGCTGTGATATTGTTTCACTGAAGGTTAAAATTTAAATAAGATATAAATTTTATTTCACCTGGAAATGGTCATTTATCCAGCATTTCACTGTTTCAGGTCTCACTGGCTTCTTTTAAGGACTCTATGTGGATAAAATCCGGTTCTCCAATGAATCAATGTCCATGTAAGACAGAAAGTGACGGCTGATATGACTCAGGGGATGGCCATGGCTTCCAGGCGTTCAAATCTACCTCTCTGGTTGATAACCCTTCTGGGTGTCTCGTTACCAAATGGAATTACTCTAGGATACTAAAGCAGTCGCCTTTGAGTAATTCCTTGGTAGTCTCAAATCGGTTATTTTTGCATATAGATAAAAATTTGTCCATTGCTAGCCCTCATTTGATACTGTACAGTAAAGGAAAAATAAATCTTCACTATCCTATTTTAATCTGGATTACAGAGTTTGCCTTTTTGAAGGATATTTATAAATAGAGTTTAGGCCTGATTTGGTATAATTTTAAGGAAATGAAGGGAAATAATGAGATTATTTTATAGAACAATTTGAAGAACAAATGAATCAATAATTGATTATTATTATTTTACTTATACATATTAGACTGCCCCTTATTCAAAGAGTAACTGTTAGAATGGTTTTCTTAGACATGTGAGCTTGAAGATTAAGCAGATTTGACAGAATCATGTCCGCAAGCAAAGAATATGATTGTCATATTAACTGAAAACATCGTGGAAATAGTTTTAATGCATCCATGTTACTTTCGCAAATTTCCTATAATACTGTTCATTTGGAATATAGTTAAGGGTCGATGGAAAAATGTAGGCAGTATGGCTGTCTCCTTGAAAATCCACATGTAAATTTCTACCATAAGGAAAGCTACCTTAGCAAAACAAAAACTTCATAAACGGGACCTTTCCTTTTCAGTAAAGAAATTAGGGGAGGAAGTGTCATCTGAAAATTGGTATTTCTCACAAATTACATAAGTACCAGAATATTTAGGTGTTTTTCTTTAATACATGATGTCAGTATGGGTGTCTGTATGGGAGATTTTCCAATACAAAGTGGTTTAACTGGAAGGATGTACTCAATTGTTTTATCTTTTTTCTGAAGCTATATCGTGTGGACACCCAGGGGTCCCTGCCAACGCCGTCCTCACTGGAGAGCTGTTTACCTATGGCGCCGTCGTGCACTACTCCTGCAGAGGGAGCGAGAGCCTCATAGGCAACGACACGAGAGTGTGCCAGGAAGACAGTCACTGGAGCGGGGCACTGCCCCACTGCACAGGTGAGGGGCTTACGAGTGAACTGACAGAATTACAGATTTCAAATAACTTTTCAAATAGTGATTTCAAATAATGATGATTTACAGTTATTTGAAAAGCCCTATAATTATGCATTTATTTGAAATTAGTATTGCATTTCTAGCCAAATACGCCGCTCTTATAGATATTGTCTTCATCTTCGCAATAATCGTTAGACACCATTACTTTAAATGTTCTCCTCCGGGGTTCTCAGGAGAGTCTGGATCTCATTTGAGAGGACGCTTGCCGGCCATGGCTCCGTGTGTCCCTGTTCGCTCTTTATTCTTTTTTATGTGGTTAATTTTCCCTCCCTCTACCATCATCCTCTACCATCATCCTCTACCATCATCCTCTACCATCATCCTCTACCACCATCCTCTACCACCATCCTCTACCACCATCCTCTACCATCATCCTCTACCATCATCCTCTACCATCATCCTCTACCACCATCCTCTACCACCATCCTCTACCATCATCCTCTACCATCATCCTCTACCACCATCCTCTACCACCATCCTCTACCACCATCCTCTACCATCATCCTCTACCATCATCCTCTACCACCATCCTCTACCATCATCCTCTACCATCATCCTCTACCATCATCCTCTACCACCATTAACCGCATGGGTCCTCTTTGGAAGAAAAAAAACATTATCTTTATTTTTTTCACGAATGTTTCTTAAACAACCAAAATTCAGCGAACCAGCAACTCTGGACACAATTCTGAAGAGCTAAACCTCTCCTTTGACTTTTTTTTTTTTTTTCCCCACATTCCCTGTTTACCTAAAGCCCCATTTTCCTTTTGCTCTCTACCTACCTTTTCAGTGAAGACGTGATGCATTTACCATTCCTGGCATTTTCCTCCTTCCAAAGGAAACGTCGTTTATTCTCACAACCATATTTGAATAGGCTATTGTGAAGTTAGTAACATGGGAGCCACATCCTAAATTCTTTTCATTTTGGGGCTATCACAAAGAAATTCTTTCTTACAAGATTGCAGAATGTTGTGTAACCATAACTCATGTGAAACACAAATTTCAACAACTTTTCATTATCTTTAAGTGTGACAACTCTGCTTAAAACAAGTCTAACACAATTGTGGATTGCCGTATGTGTTTGTTTTCAATAGGAAATAATCCTGGATTCTGTGGTGATCCGGGGACCCCAGCACATGGGTCTCGGCTTGGTGATGACTTTAAGACAAAGAGTCTTCTCCGCTTCTCCTGTGAAATGGGGCACCAGCTGAGGGGCTCCCCTGAACGCACGTGTTTGCTCAATGGGTCATGGTCAGGACTGCAGCCGGTGTGTGAGGGTGAGTAGCCAGAAGCCTTAAGGTCCACCTTGAAAGTTAAAACCACACAGCTCGTTCTAAAATGCCTGGCAAAATTCTACAAAAATTCTAGAGGTTTGTACTATTTATACAATTAAATCTTTTCCCCGCAATATTTGTGGAAGCATCATCAGAAATCATGACTGGGTGCATGGAGGTATTCCAAGTATCCACAGGTCCCATCACACGGATGCTTATTGTTTGAAAGTTCGTAACACGGAAGCTTCTAATCTTCTCCCAGTGATAATCTATATGTGGTGTTGCCAGTGTTTTCTAGATCCTGGCAGTGAGTGAGTGGGGTTCCAGAGCAGTGAGCAGGACCAATGCAGATCACTGATGGGAATTTCCGCAGGCTGGAAGCAGGCTTCCTTCACACGTCATTTCCAATCTGTTGGTGGCCCCTGTGTGTGGAGCACTCTATTTCACAGGAATCTGGGGTTATATTCTATGAACTATTTTGGAGTGGGTCTACTTGATTCTAATGTTTGAGAGGCATCGTAGGAAGTGGTGGTATGCTCCAGTAATGACAGTAAGAATAGCCACGGACACCTTATAGACACTGCACTGTGTATCAGAAATGTAGCCTCAAGCAAAGGTGAACTGAGAGGTGATGGTAACCATGTATTCGGAGTTCAAAACCCGATTTAGAATTCAGACAGATAGGAATGTAAATGTTAGGAATTCTTTACAAGCAAACTCCTCAATTAAATTTTCAGTCTAAAAAGGTTATACAAATTAATTCAATATGTATTGTTGTATGTATGAAACACTTTCCAACCAAATAATTTTACCAACTTGAGTAAGCTCACATACACACTATCAATGTGAGAAATTTAACTTGAGTTTCCTTAATCTTCATTTATTGTCCTTGACTATACTGTCTCCACTTCTGCCTTTATTGTATTATACATTCTATATAGGTAAATAGAAATAATGTATGTATATGATCTATCTATATTATATAATCTATGTAACATTAATTTCACATATAAAATAACGCTAAATATTAATATAGGAATGTTTGTGCATATATTTGCATATTTATATATTATATTTACCCATGCATAGTGTATATATTTTTTCTCAAAGACTATTTTTGACTATATATGTATATATATGCATATAATATAGGCATACACATATGTGCACACAAACATGATAATCCAAGATAATTTTTTACTCTGAATTGCCTCTTGACAATCAAAGTAGTATAAATCTTAAGACTAGGCCCTAAAAAAGTTGTCTTAGGTCAAATACCACTGATTAGTAGTGAGAAATGGTTACCCATAGTCACGAATTGCAGGATCATACTTTTGTTTTTAACTGAAGTATGACACTATAAATTGATATAAATTTGTTAATCAAATGCAAATGTTTTCAGTTCCCTCTCATCTTGTAGATATTTCAGTATTAAAATTTGCACATGAGAGCAATGTTTTCTCACCAAAACCAGAGTGTTTTCTACTCTTTCATATAGTACTTCAGGTAAGCAATCCTATGGGATAAACCATTATCACCAATATTTTAACAAGGTGATGTTCTATCTTCCCGATATGAGGCACTGAAAAGAGACATTGTCATTTCTATGGTATTGCCAGTGAAATGCGTAACCTGAATCGAGTCCTGAAGCAGCAGCAATAACATCCCCCAAAACCCTAGGGGCATGCAGCAAATCAGCTTGCCCGTGTTCACGAAGAAACGTCAAGTTCAGAAAAGACACCGTCTGAGTGATTCTTTCAGATTTAAGAGACCCGATAAGTGCAATGTGTGGTCTCGGATTGGGTCCTACACTGAGCAAAAGAGAGTTATGAGAGGCGTTACCGAGATGGTAGAGTCTGACCCTGAGATGATCTAGGTGGCGAACTGACACAGGATCTTAAGACAACTATTAAAAATATGTCCAAGAGCTTGAAGTGAATTAGATTATGGGTGTGTATGAGACAACATTGCATCAAAGTTACATTTCATTCTTTTAATAATTGTATTATGGTTATGTAAGAGAATGCCTTTGTTCTTAGGAAATACATACTGATATATTTAACTCTAAAGAGTTGTCATGTCTGTAACTTACACTCACATACCTTAGAAAATACATATTTAGAGAGACAGAGGGAGAAAAAGTGAGCAAAATGTAAACAGTGGATGAATCTGACTAAAGGGTGTGTAAGAATGGCTTATAATCTTTTTGTGAAGTTTGTTTAATCCTGTAGTTATAACAAAGTGTGGAGTTACAAAAAATGTTGCCAATAAATTAAAACAATTTCCATAGTAAAATTTCAACGTTTCTGTCAAATCCCATTTAACAGTAGCTTAATGTATCTGTAGCATTTATCATTCGGGACTTTTGGAAAGCACCATGGTGGGTTTGTGAATTGTGACATTTTGGCTCTAGACCTGATTCTATGTAGTGATCACAAAGTCTTGGTTCTGGATCTTAATTCTCCATTGTTTAAAAACAGAGAGGCTGAAAGATCACTCATCGGCAGTATTTTAATTGAAATTTAAAATATTTCCTCAATAGTTACAAAGAGGGCTGGATGTCAATAAGTGAATGCTGGAATAATTATTCAGACTTTATAGATATAATCTGATGCTGATTAAAAGCAGAACTATCCTTCTGTTTTCAAGAATATTAAATGCAATAATTGAGCCTAAACCCTGGTTTGCAGCCTGAACTTGGTGTATGAAGAGCAGAGACTCTGACACTCCCAGAAAGTGGAATATGAAATATTCTATCAAAGATGGCCATTCACTTGAGACTGTACATTCAGTATCATGTTTACCTCAAGTATTTCAGTTTTGAAAACTTAAAAGATGAACAAAATTATAACAGTTGAGGGTGGGCAATGTTTTTCCTTAGCAATCTCACCTCTGTGGGGCTATGAAGGCACACTATGAGTTCTAGTCCAGCAAAGTACACATTAAACAATTTATTTGAATGAGAGCTTAATTGCGTTTCACTTCCCAATCTATCTAACTCAGGCAATGCAAAGTATTTTTAAAAATTTTATTTTGCTTTCTAAAGTTAGACATTTAAAAGTTTTCTATGAAAAAAAATTAGAAACTTAGCCCTTAAAAGCTGCATACACAAAATAAGTTACAAAAATGTTGCAATGCTGAAAATATTTCTCAAATATATCATGCCTCACAAAATTGATTACTTCTAAAACTGCATTATATGATACGGACATCATGGGAAGCTGAATAAGCCCACTGCAATATATGTTACACCCAATAAGGCAACAAATTATGTATAAAAGTCATAAAATCAGTGACTGAACACACACACACCAGCAAAAATTTGAAATACATTTTGGAGAATCTGTAGGTTTTCATTTTGTTCCTTGTTTGTTATCATAGGTCCAAATCACTGAAGTGTGAGTTCCTCTCGATGAAAAAGGATGTAACCAGTGGTTGCATTTCCAGGAAGCGTAGCTTCTATGACTAGCTATGACTTGACTAATCCCCTAGTTAAGATTATTGCAAACCTGATGAAATTATTTCCTCTAAATCTGTCAAAAAGTTAGATACTGATGGTAAATTGAATAAATTATAAAAAGGAGGAGGAAATTATAATTCTAAACGAAAAATCTTTTTAAATTCTTCAACTCAAAGAATTTATATTGCAGATATATTTCCTTCACATTAAATCAAATTTGCTTTTGTTAGCCATCTAGTCTTTTAATCATAGGCTCAAGCTTAAGATTTCAAATGGATCTATCTCATGAAGTTGCATTACATAACTAAAATATTTAGTTTCAGCTGTATTAGGGAACTCTTAATTCTCTTTCAGATGAAATTATGATAAAGCTACACTTTACTCAATAAGTAAGAGTGATGATGATGAAAATAACAATAGCATAAGCTACAAGCTAACTCATTGCTACCACTAATACATCAGATCTCACACTAGGCATTTTACATATAGCGTGGGTAATTTGGTAACAGCCGGGAATAAGTATTTTTATAATACTCATTTTATGGTTAAAGGCACTATATCTAAGGAATTTAAATTGATTGCTCAGGTTTATTTAACTTGCATGAGCAGATATTCACATCTATTTAACTCAATTTAACAGCAATTTTTGTCATGTAGCATGCAAAATGAACAGTACTAATATTTGTAAATAATAAAGTATATTTAAAATAAGCATAATATTTTATTATATGCTGAGTTAAAGAAATTATGTTTTAGCTGAAGAAGTCACGTTAACAAAATGTACTTTTTATAAAAGCATATTTCAAAAGAAAATAAACTCAGGAAAGAGAAAATATGGCAAAGTTTAAACTTACAGGTTAATTTATTTTTCTTCTTCCAGTTTACTTTTCCTCTTCTAATTTATTGTTCTTTTTTCTCCTCTAAATTTAATCTATTGTTTTGTTTTAGTCTTAGTCCTGTCTTATAATTTTACATAATTGCATTGATAGAAAAGCGGATATGTTGACATTGCCTTCTAGTCATTTTCATAGTTATAACCGTGAGTGAAAGTGGTTTTTGTCAGCCAAAAAAAGAGAAAAAAACTAATCATGAATTTTACTTTCCACAGTACAATATTTGAGGGGACATTCCCAATATTAGGATAGCATTATGCTGGTACTCATTCATTAACAATATTAGCAAACTAACATTTTAGTTTCCTTACAAACTGAATTGAAATTTTTCATCGGTTATTTGACTTGTTTAAGTATTGGTTCTACCTAGGTGGCTTTTGAAGATTTAGACATACAATTGAATAGCAAATGTAATTAGAATACAATGTAACAATAACATCAGTGTCCTCTTTCGGTTTGTTAAACTATGAATTGGACCAAACTCACTCCCTTTCTGTGACAGGCTTTCCATTAGCCCATCCACACAGTACCTGTTGCACAGTAAGTGAGGAATATGTGTTTGTTGAATGAATAGTTGTCTTGGATAGTCCAACCCTTAATTATTGCAAAATGAAATTTTGATATATAGTATAGTTATCATAAAACTTTCAAGTTTTAGAGAGCCTTAAATAGTATGTGCTTCTGGATTGGTAAATACATCCCAACTCATATGCCAACCAGGAAACTACTAATAGGTCTGTGTTAGAAGGGGTTGGAAGTCACACCGTGAACCATCAGAGAAGAGGGCTGTGATTGAGTACTTCTGTCTGCCATTGGCACGGGACCAGGAAGCACCAGCGTGTGCACTTTGTATTATTTTTTTCAAACAAGATCCAGTTCAACCTGAGCACAAGTGCTTTATTTCTATGTAATCAGAAGGGTAGTCCCTCGACTCCCAGTACAGTGACTTCTCTGTGCTGAGCAAATTTTGCAGGATGTTTTCTTCCATGTTCTTTTAAGAAAAATATATCTTTGTTCTCCAGGCCAGATTTGAAATTGTTTCAATTAAATGTGCAAAAGTATTTTTAAATATTTTGATCAGCTCAGAGGCAGTCTCATGATATATATTCTTGTTAACCAGCCAAGGGTCACTTCCTTTATTTACCTGCCTATTGTATATTATTGCAACAGTACTAAGGAGAAAATGTAGCAATCTTTCTGGTAAATAGGCTCGACTAAAAAAGGGAAAAAAAAAAGTGTAGATTGAAATGTTCACCCTGAAACGTACCCAGCGGCAGCCGAGCTTGCTTTTGTTTACTGACTAAAGAGCGTAAAAAATAGGCACAGAGTGTAGACCTGTTGCACTGACCATCGTTAATTGAGGCCTTATTGCCTGTACATGGCATTAGGAGCCTTTTGAGAGAAATGTAAAGTTCAATCATGTCAAAGCCAATTAACACAGCTGCTATTAGAGCTGGTAATTATTGAGGACACCATTTTACAAAGCAGTTCAAGTACAGTCATTCATACTTCTGAGGCATTCTTTATTTTCCAAAGTGAATTCTCCTGGAGATGTAAAATAGGACCTGAATTGCCTAGATTTTAAAAAAATACAGTGATTACATAAAGGAAGATGCTTCAGTGTTGCTAATATCATAGATATTCTTTTTTAAAAATCACAACAATTCTGTCACGGCATTAAAAACATTCAATCCCCAAATAGCAAGGCTATTAAAAACATTCAGTCCCTGAATAACAGGGCCTTGAACTTTTAGTGCTTTAACTCATGTTTTAATTTGTTTAGAAATAGTTCACTTTAGAAAAGACGAATTGAAAGGTTATTTTTATATTTGTAGCTAATCAGTAAAATAAACATATGAGCCATAGTAAGCCATATGTTAAGGAACTTCCATAGGATTGTGTGCTTTGGGTTTGTAATAAATGTGTAGTCTATTGCACTGATACCCATTGGTCTCTTGTGTTTGCCATTTTCATGCTGGGTCACTCACTGTGTGTGGTGGTGTTCTTGTTTGCCTAACAGCCGTGTCCTGTGGCAACCCTGGCACACCCACCAACGGAATGATTGTCAGTAGTGATGGCATTCTGTTCTCCAGCTCGGTCATCTATGCCTGCTGGGAAGGCTACAAGACCTCAGGGCTCATGACACGGCATTGCACAGCCAATGGGACCTGGACAGGCACTGCTCCCGACTGCACAAGTTAGTAAGCAGACATCATGGTAGACTCAGACGTTACTATGAAATTCACTCCATTGGGAAAAAAAATGACTTTAAGGTGTTATACTGTTTTTTTATTTTTAATTCATAGAGGAAAAAAGGGAAAACTATGTGTGACATTGTGGCTGTATTTCTTAAGTACTTTAAGATTTTTTTTCCAGTTGCTTATTCGTATGGCTGAAGCTACTTTAAAAGGCCAGTTCAGTCAAACATTGTAAAATTGAGACCAAAAAAGTCCAGACTTTGTCTGTAGACCACTGGGTCTGCAGAGAAAGAAGAAATGTCTTTGGTTCTCTGGCTGCAGGCTTCATCTTTCTGATTATACCCCATGCCTAATTAGGGGCTAGTCAAGGGGTGGAAGTCAGCATCTGACAGCCAGCTGCCAACGGAACAGAAATCAGTGATTCTCAAAATACAAGTGTTCCTTCTGACAGCGGGTCAGTGAAATCATCACACAGAGGGTAGTATTGCTGTATTAATTCACTGCTTAACCACTGTGAATAGCAACTCAGAGAGAGTATCTTGAATAGAAATGGTGACTAATTCATTTCATGGTAAATGAATTTCTCTGATTCTTTCCTGTTCCCTGTTTATTAGTTATAAGTTGTGGGGATCCAGGCACACTAGCAAATGGCATCCAGTTTGGGACCGACTTCACCTTCAACAAGACTGTGAGCTATCAGTGTAACCCAGGCTATGTCATGGAAGCAGTCACATCCGCCACTATTCGCTGTACCAAAGACGGCAGGTGGAATCCGAGCAAACCTGTCTGCAAAGGTTTGTTTGGTGACTCTTTGGATTTTACAGATGTGTATAGAAGTCTTTATTGAATTATGCTTTGTTTAATTTTGCAAGCATTTATGTAGCCCTTCTAGGGGCTAGGAATTCTTGAACAGCAATTTGCAACTATTAAGTCACTTTATTTTTATAATACTTTAATCTCAGTTTTACAGATGGAAAAACTAACTCATAGCGAGGTAGAGGAAAAGGCTTAGGATCACAAACCAGGAACTGGAGATGTCGGGGTTCAGTGACGGTCACGCCACCCTAGAGTCTGTGTCTGAACCCCAGTGCTTTGCTGTCCTGGGTAAACCTGTGACCCTAGCTGTGTGAGGTGTTCGTGGCATGGTGAATCTAATTGTAGGAATTTAGAGGCAGGTTGGAGAGACGAGCCAATCACCTAGTAATGGCAGAGCACTGGTAGAGAGTGTTAGCACCGTGATGTTTCATGGGGTTTGGTTGCCGAGACTGAAGATGACACTGGCCGAGAAGGCAGGAAGAGGTTTATGACTTATGTGACTGGACCCTCTGGGCAAATCAAGACAGGCTCAACTCATCAAGGTGGCTTCAGTAAAGCAGAGTGAGTGGGCTTGGCTCTTACAGTGACAGGGAGCAGGGCTGAGTGGCGGCTGTGCAAGGGCCAGGGATTTGCGTGGTGACAGTTTATTTACCAGAAGCAAAGAAGAACTATCCAGACTTTCTTATCAGCTGGTGCAGAGGAAGGACAAGAAGAGGGGGAGAGAGGGGCTTGAAAGCTGTCAGTGACCAAACATAAGAAGATGGCATTCTCCTCCTTATTAGACTAGGAACAAATAAAATACTGAGGGAGGGAGAGTTAGGACACTCAGTAGCTTATGGAGAAGGTTTCATCTTCGGTGAGTTCTGCAAGACACATGGTTAAATGTGGCAGAGGCTTAAATGTGACCTGAATGCTCAAAAATATGGCTTTCTCTCTCTTCTGACATGGGCGTGTTCTTGGACCATCCTGCTTTCGTCTCCCAGTAGAGTCAAAGGATCTCATTGCCTTCCCTTCTTTGTATTGTAACTCTTAATACTGCACCTGTGATATAGCTGACGCTAAATAAATGTTGAATTTGAATGAAAATGCACTACGTTGTGTCGGCAGTATTCAGGTCAAATGGTCATGATGGAAATTGCCAATAAAATATGCTTCATGCATAATTCTGTGGATTTTTATCCTCTTTCTAGTACCCATTGTGTTTGTAACAACACCACGGCCAGCAAGTCCCTACCAGATGGGACCTCTTTCTCTCTCTGTCCCTCCTTGAACTTGTCTCCTCCCATTCCCCCTGCCCCCAGGGGACCCATGTAGCTCAGGTCTCTTCCAACTGGGGCCTCCCCCTGGACATTCCCTTGGGCCAGAACACGCATTTCCCCAGCCCTCGCTGTGGGGTCTCAGGAAGGATTTGTTGAACGAGTGAACAGATCAGTAGAAGGTGGAGTGGTGAGGGAAGGACCCATTTCCAACTTTTGGGTGTGCACATGTGATTTGTGTGTGTTGGCATGTCTTTCTCACGTGAGAAGGCATGAGCCTGAACACACAAAATGCAAGCGGTTGTTCTTTTGTAGTGCCTTCTGCTACCTACAGGGTCACTTGGAAACTTCCATTCATTTCAAAAACTAGGGAAGTTGTGTATCTTCAGAGAAGAAGGATTTTAGACAGTGGTTTTTGGATTTTTGCCTCCCTTTGTGCATTTTAGTATAATTTCTAGAGTGGGGAAGGTGATCTCTCGTGACATCACCCTCGGGGAAATCCTCCCTAGCAACCACGTGCTTGCTTCTCAGCCCCATAAAGTGGACATCAGGCTCCAAGGCTGTGATGAAACACTTGCAAATGGTATTCCACAGCATCTTCTTTAACCATTCAGGCATTTCTAAAAAAATATATTCAGTAAATAGATGGACCGACTGTGTCTTTTGGAAACTATATGCCATCTTTAAATAAAAAATACAGATGGCCAGAAAAATTCTTACCATCTGTGCCTATAAATTTGTGTCATCTGACCAAATCCTCATTCGAATTGTCTTTGGTAACCATCATAAAAAGACACAAATTAAGCAAGAACGTTTCTTCCTTTCTTGGCCTTGTATATATTGGGAATGTCATGTTCAATCCTATATGTTTTGACTTGACTTTGCTTTTATAGACTTCATCGATATTAATGAAGAAATATTCTAAAAAATATTTTGTTATTTTGATGTACTGTCTTCCTTGGCAATTCTTTTATTATTTTTTTTTAAAAACCTATGTAGATGTCATTTGTAATTCAGGTAAAATTAAAATGGGAATCGTTTGAACATCACCGCTGCAGCGGGAGCTCCGGAATGTTGATCTTGTTTGTTCTTTGGAAATAGCCGTGCTGTGTCCTCAGCCGCCGCCGGTGCAGAATGGAACAGTGGAGGGAAGTGATTTCCGCTGGGGCTCCAGCATAAGTTACAGCTGCATGGACGGTTACCAGCTCTCTCACTCCGCCATCCTCTCCTGTGAAGGTCGCGGGGTGTGGAAAGGAGAGATCCCCCAGTGTCTCCGTAAGTTCTACAGCAGAATTTGTTCCGCCCACTGCAGGTCTGCAACAGGGACGGATAACCAGGGCACATCCTAAGGTTACAATCTGAGGACCTTCCTGGTGGGTAATAATAGCCCTAAAATACACAAAAACTCAAACTTGAGACTGTGTTGCCTAAGGGCAGAGTCTCCTTTTTGAGACAGGTCCTCACTCTGTTGCCCAGGATGGAGTGCAGTGGTTCAATCATAGCTCCCTGCAGCCTCAATCTCTCGGGCTCAAACCATCCTCCCACCTCAGCCTCCCGAGTAGCTGGGACTACAGGTGTGTGCCACCAAACCCAGCTAATTTTTGTATTTGTTGTAGACATAGGTTTCGCCATGTTGCCCAGGCTAGTCTCGAACTCCTGAGCTCAAGCGATCCGCCTGCCTCTGCCTCCCAAAGTGTTGGGATTACAGGCGTGAGCCACCGTGCCTGGCCTCCTTTTAGCGTTTTTCTTGTTTAATAGTTAAAGCTAAAGATTTAACAGAAACTAGTTACCAAGCTCAATTGGTGAAGCTGATCCAGGGACGTTGAAGGCTGACTTCTTCCTGGTTATCTTCCATAGCTGTGTTCTGCGGAGACCCTGGCATCCCCGCAGAAGGGCGACTTAGTGGGAAAAGTTTCACCTATAAGTCCGAAGTCTTCTTCCAGTGCAAATCTCCATTTATACTCGTGGGATCCTCCAGAAGAGTCTGCCAAGCTGACGGCACGTGGAGCGGCATACAACCCACCTGCATTGGTAATAATTATCATACAGCTCTGGGGATACCTGGGAGTATTTGGAGATGAGGACGCTTCATTCCGAAATTGGGTCATTTGTGATTACATAGAAAGTGTTTCCATAGACAGTTTTCTGTACAAGGTAATAATTTTTGCACTGAGTAGGATTGCGCACTCATCAGCTAAACTGATGTGCCACCTCTTTTAAATCATGCAAAATAAGTCAGAAGTCTGCTAAAGTAGCTACTAGACTTTGTTCTCTGACCTCAGTGGCTCTCTCCGCTGTCTACCTTAACTGCCAATTGCATTGTTTAGGGGAAAGGTGCAGGTAGGAACATTCTCTAAAGCAGCCCTCCCCAGAGAGACAGTCTTGCTGTTGTTTTATTGCTGCAGAGTCAAGTTTTATCGCTGGGTTAATTTTGTTCATTGAGATTTACTAAGCAGAATAATGGGTGTTCTACTAATTTTTAGTAAAAAAGTAATACTTAGTCTTGATTATTTTCTAAGAAATTGAATAGTATCCACCTAGAAAATATAGTATTAAAGAAATATTGTCATTGAAGCATTTTTTCTAATTAGAAGAATATTTGCTGTCATTTGATTTAAACTATTGCTATACAGTAGCTATCTCTACACTAAAAATATTTTTCTTCCCCCTAGAAGGTTAGTCACTCTAGATAACAGGTTTTAAGAAGTTATCTGTTTTGTTTTTCTACTGGTAACTGTAGAGCAGCAAGTAAGAGAGCTGAAGTGCCACTGGGTTACCCAAGTCCTGTGTTTTTTGAAAAATGTCACTCTTGGTTTTCCATGTGGTTCCATTATGAAGCATTAAATATATTTTTCATTTTGAAATGTTGAGGAAAATTAATTAAAGAAACTCAGAATAATGTAATGGGTAACCAAATGAGATGGCCAATTATTGAATCCTAATAAGCAAAAAGATAGTGATAGGTCATTATTGAAGATAGTATATCATTGACCAAATATATTTCTATAGAAAAAAAAGCCAGAGAATGGAAAAAAAATGCACTTATTCTTATATAAGAAGAACATACTGAACTACTTAAAGTCTAAAAGTTAACATCTAAAAAACATGTCTTGAAGAGAAGATAAAAGTAGCAATTTAATTTTTAACTTTCCTGAAAAACATCTTGCACATTTCTCAAAACAATATTTTCTCTATTTCATGAGACCTTTTAGTGAAAGCTGTTAAAATTCTCACAATAACTATATCTGGTGCCCTCTTTTCTTTTTAAATCACAAATTTCAGATCCTGCTCATAACACCTGCCCAGACCCTGGTACGCCACACTTTGGAATACAGAATAGCTCCAGAGGCTATGAGGTAGTTCATTATGAATTTACTATGTTTTCTTTCTGGAAATATAAAATATATTTGTTACTTAAACATATGTGAGTGCTTTTTTATATCATACCTTATTCATGTTATATTTACCTGAATAAAATTCGTTCAAAGGGGATTTCTACATGTGTTTTTAACTGTCAAAATCAATATATGTATATATATATATATATATATATATATCTTGCTTACTAGATAATAATGGAATAATGCATAATTTCATATAGAAATTAACATAGCAACTATTACATTATTTTCTATTTGAAATCATGCATGATTCTATTATTTGTCTGTTAAATTCTCACGGCAGTTCTCAGATTGGGGTAACTTGTCACTGATTAGCTACCCATAAAAGGTTCCACTTAGGGACTGGATATAGTGGGGAAATAATATTAAATTCTAGAGATAAAAATAGGAGAAAATGTATGTAAGCCCCTTAGTCTAAACTTACTTGTGAAATTAGTTCTCCGTATGATCTTTAAATTTCTATGAATTATTAGCGTACTAAATATCATTTTGGAACGTTCATTTGACTTTTAATAAAATGAACACTAACACTTCAGTGAACGTTGGAGAAATACCTAAAAGTGGAAGGTAATGAAGCTTGAAATAAAATGTTTTAACCATCTTAAGTACTCCCATAACTTCACTGTTATCTGGTTGGATGACTTTGAAAACAAAAGTTAATTATATAGGGATCTCATCAATTAAGAATAAAAAACCTTCTTCCTCAGCCACTTTCCCCATCTCTCGTGAGCACGAAAATATTCCCATTGTTCTCGCTCGGACACAGAGTGGCCATTTCCTTGTAGCTCTCTTGCATCCCACAGGGGAAGTCCTTACAGGGAGCTAATAATATACTGACTCTAGCACATTTTCTATTATGTCTCAAATATTGCCTTAAACTTCAAGTAAATACTTTCAGGTATATAAATATTTAATGCCAAATTGTCAAGGAATATTGGAAAATACTATATATGGATGTCGCTCTCACTGATTCACTAAGAAAAATAAAATTTTGATCACCATTGCTTTGAGCAATTCTTAACTTGCCTATGTACAACTTACAGTAATTAAAAGTCAATGATGACTGTATTTAGCAACATAGTTCTATAACCTATCATATGACACTAATAGGGTTGGATAAATCCTTCACCCTCCTTATAACAAATTAGTTACACTAACACGAATAATTGATTTTATCCAACAGCAAGATTTACTAATAATTTAAAGAGCCCAGACACCATGTTTTAAGGAGAAGGTTGAGACCATGAAATGCAGCTCTCCCCAAATGTTTTTATTTCTTCCTTTATTAGGAACATTTTAGTTTTTAAAGTAACCAATGAGATTTTTGTCTGTTTTCTTTAGCACCATATGCTGAAACCTTACTTACACAAAGTGAGCCATTTCAGTGTGAAATGTCCCTGTGTTAGGCTATGTTAATCTTGCAGCTTAAATGACTACCTCCCGTTCTCCAGCCAGCGTGTCCCCGAAACCCGTAGCTCCAGGGTTAGTGTATGATAATCAGTTTGCAGTGGCTCGGTATATTCTGCTAAAAAAAAAATTATTGAGAAGGAGACTGTATTTTCTTTCTGCCAGTAAATGATACAGGTTATCCATGACCTTCCTGAGAATGTCAGCATGTTTACCAGGAGGTCTGGTTGGAATTGCAAACATGCTTGCATGGAGAGTTGATGGACACCGTTCCTGATAGAGAGGAAGTGGGCTGGGAGCAGCAGCTCACGCCTGTAATCCCAGCACTTTGGGAGGCCCAGGCAGAAGAATCGCTTGAGGCCAGGAGAACAGCCTGGGCAACATAGCAAGACCCTATTTCTACAAAGAATACAAAAAATCATCTGGGCATGGTAAGGTGCACCTGTTGTCACAGCTGTGCAGAAGGCTGAGATGGGAGCTACTTGAGCCCTGGAGGTCAAGGATGCAATGAGCTATGATTGCACCACTGTGCTGTATACTCTGGGCAATAGAGAGAGGCCCTGACTCTAAAGTTTAAATCGATCAGTCAATCAATCAATCAATCAAGAGTAAATGAGTCAACGCTTTCCCATCATTGAATCTTAAATTAGCTATTGATTTGACATTTAGATAAATTTGTACTTTTCTTTATAAATTCATACTTCCACTTTATCAAGTGCTAGAAGCAGCATTTTTTTTCTCCTGATATCCTTTCACACTATTCAGTGTACCAACTATTTCCTTGCATTTTACTTGTAGTTATTCTTCCCGGAATCCCAACATGGGAGGTATGGGCTTATGCCTGTGAGAAGGCAGACACAGGGAATTAAATAACTGGTTAAAATTCTCAGAGCAAGAAACAAGAGGGGAATTCAAATCTTTGGATGCTAACTTGGTGCACTTATGTGCCTTCATAAGTCAAGCTTTAAGGAAATAATCTGGTCCCAAGCCAAGCTGGGATGAGTGCAAACCCGCCTTCCCTGGGGGCTGCTTTCCTCTCCCTGTATACATGAGTCATGCTGGCCTCATGCTGCAGATACACAGAACCATGGATGATCTTTGGTGCCCCTCAACACACGACCATAGCTCATTCTCTAAAAAAGACATTTACAGATCACAGGAATCTGCCCCTCAAGGCACCTCTGGTTAAATTAGGAACACACATGGGTGAATAAATATACAGGTAATTCCAGGACACTGTGGTGAGTGGAGCAGATACGTTGGGGAAATGCATTCAAGCTGAATGTGATTCATTCTTGGAGGATCAGAGAAGAATCTGCAGCGGATGTGCAGTTTAAGCAAAGTACAGAGAATTAAGTGGGGGTTAGCTTTGTGAAGACCTGGTGAGGAAGACGCCTCAGACATTCAGACAACAGTAAATAGTTTGTACAGTTTGAAGCATCAGAAAGACAGGTAGAGTTTTGGTGGACTCTGTATGAGTAGGAGTTGACCAATCCCCTTGGAATGCTAACAAAAGTAATTTTCTAATAAATACCAGTTGTTTCAAATGTGAGTGGCAGGAAAAAAATGAAAAAGGAAATAATAATTATTACAAACAAAAAAGAAAGAACTCTAAAACAGAAAAGGCATAATTTCTTTACCCAAACAGCCGTCTAAATTTTCAAAATTCGAGAAGATCTTACATTATTCATTGAGCAATCTACATTGTGTGTAACACTGTAGCAGGCAGTTAAAATGTACATGTTGACTTAGACAGTGGCTTGACATTAACCTGAAAAGTTGCTGCTGTACTTTTACTCGGGCGTGTACTTTCAGGTATCACTAGTTGACACTTCGTATATTCCCTTGGCCTCTGAAGCTAGTATTGGATTTCCTCTCTAGGTTGGAAGCACGGTTTTTTTCAGGTGCAGAAAAGGCTACCATATTCAAGGTTCCACGACTCGCACCTGCCTTGCCAATTTAACATGGAGTGGGATACAGACCGAATGTATACGTAAGTGTGATTTCTTCCACCCCCATCACAAGTCACCTATTTATTGTGAATGTCTGAGACGTGTTTACCACTAAGGGAAATAATGAGAAATTGTTTTTAATTCCCTAATCCTAAATTTTCGGATGTCCTCAAAGTTTGGTTCCCTAGAACTGGCAGCATAACCATTGGCTGGACATTGGGCTGTGAAGGCTGCTCTCAAGCCCCATCCTTGACCTTGAACCAGAGCCTCTGGAGGGAGCCAGGGAGGAGAGAAGGGGGACAGTTTAGTTTAACAAGCGCTCCAGGAGATTCTCAGGCACTGTAAAGTCTGAGAAACTGCATGAAACCGAAGATAAGTGCATAATGTTATATTGAACATTCTTAGAGGGAAAACTTATTTGTACGTGCTATTATTCTCCTAGGATATTTACATCAAATTACCAAAGAGAGGATGAACTGAATAACGTCATATGTCAGAGTCTAAGTAGAAGTGTTTAAAAAATTATTCTTGCTATAACAGGAAGTATATATGAATTGATCATTCAAATACATACTTAAGGATCACATTTTATTTTGTGACTTAATCATGAGAATTAGAAAAAATATATGGATGAGTAGTATGTGAATTATTCATTTCACTCACTCTGAATTTAGTGAAATGCGGTGTCTTATTCTTACTGTATTAAAAATAAAAACATTAATAGAATGTTATAAAAATCTCAGTATATAAGGTGTGATTTTTGGGTGTATTTATTTTAAAATTATCTCTGCTCTAAATCATTACTCAAATTATATGTTGATAGTACATGTACATATATATGTATATACATACACATATATATATGCATGTTTATATATAATATGGAGCTTGATAATATCAGGTATTTGTTGTGGTTACTAATTAGTGAAATAGTGACAACATTCAAAACAACTGCATGCACAATTTTAGAATTGTAAACTTGGCTGGGCATGCTGGCTCATGCCTATAATCCCAGCATTTTGGGAGGCCGAGGCAGGTGGATCACGAGGTCAGGAGATCGAGACCATCCTGGCTAACATGGTGAAATCCCATCTCTACTAAAAAAACTACAAAAAATTAGCCGGGCATGGTGGCGGGTGCCTGTAGTCCCAGCTACTGGGGAGGCTGAGTCAGGAGAATGGCGTGAACCCAGGAGGAGGAGCTTGCAGCGAGCGGAGATCGTGCCACTGCATTCCAGCCTGGGCAACACAGCGAGACTCAAAAAATAAATAAAAAATAAATAAATAAAAATAAATAAATAAAATTGTAAACTTGTTTTATAATAATATGTCAATCCTTTATTTGCAGCATGTATGCAAACTTTATAAGGAATGGAGTGATTTGAGATATAGAGTATACATCACAGTCTCATTTATTCCTAAATTATATTTCAAAGAAAATAAGAATCTATATTAAGTTTCTAAATACACATTAAAGTTTTATCAAAATAATTAATTAAATTGAGTAATAAATTTGGTAGTTTCCACAAGAACAAAATCAAGGCATATCTAAATATTCACCAGTCTCTATAATTTATAAGACTGGGCTTTTAAGGATCTTTAACATATTTATTTCGGTAGTATAGCAGAAGTGTTTTTATTTCAAAGCTGTGATCTCTAAATCTTTGCACATAATTACCTATGTATAAATATATATAGGATGGGTGTAGTGGCTCATGCCTGTAATCCCAGTACTTTGGGAGGTCAAAACAGGAGAATAGCTTGAGGTCAGGAGTTCTAGCACAGACTGGACAACATAGCAAGACTTCATCTCTACCAAAAAAAATATACATATATATGTGTATATATATGTATATATACATATTGACTGCATAACCATTTCCAAACTATTTTAATCTATTAATTTCTCTAGACACATGTGCTAACTTTACAATAAACAAAGTCTCAATGTTTCCTAATGTTGTTTCAGCTCATGCCTGCAGACAGCCAGAAACCCCGGCACACGCGGATGTGAGAGCCATCGATCTTCCTACTTTCGGCTACACCTTAGTGTACACCTGCCATCCAGGCTTTTTCCTCGCAGGGGGATCTGAGCACAGAACATGTAAAGCAGACATGAAATGGACAGGAAAGTCGCCTGTGTGTAAAAGTAAGTCATTGATCAAGGAGTGGCATACTTTTCCAAAGAGCAAGGGAAAGGATCAGCTGCCCATCAGGCTAGTGTCCACGTGTGAGACCCATAAGTAAGAGCATGAGGCTGCAGCATCGCCACCTGCCTCAGTCGTGCTTCATGTGCGTGAGCTGTGTGTGTGAACGTGTGTATCCTCAGTGTTTGATGCAATGGTGGCATAGCTAAATATATAGTACAATTAGTATGCAATTAGTACATAATAAAATGATTGCATTATTTCAAGCCAAAAGAGAAAAGCTATTTGGTTAAAGAAAAGCATTCTGAGTTAAAAGGAAAATAATACTTGGTATAGTTTCAGGAAAAGTAGTTCTTAGAGATGAAAATGAATAAAGGTCACCAAGTATCCGAGAATAGGTAAATGAAACTCTGTCTTATTTTTAAGACCACATGCTGTTTGTGGTAAAACCTCAGTTTATGTGTCCCTGACATTGATTCTGCTTTTTAAAATTACAAAAGCAATTCACATGGAAACGATCCATTAATTACAAATTTGTGTGTTTACAAGTGAGAGTCATCAGCCTGGGTCAGATTTGACGATAGCTACACTTACAGGTTCTCCCCTGTTTGTAATTTATAAATCCATGGAGTCTAAACAGCATAAACCAAAAATGATGGCGTGTGAGACAGTCAGTGACTTTAGGTTTTGTTTCCTGGAGCCTATTTATAGTTCTCATATTAGGGATTTTAAAGAGACTTTTGTTTCCCTTGCCCTTCCCTGTTAGAAATAGAAGAATGAAAACTTTTAAAATGGTAATTCGTAGTTTGATCTAAAACTGTGAAAGCTAAGAAATTATGACGTAAATCTAACTTGATAGACCAAAATGAACATTCTGCAATGGAAATAATTTTGAATTTTTCAGTAGTAACGTATAAATTGATTGATTTGGGTGGGGTATTGGTCAATGAAGAGGGACTGTAACATCATGGTTATTTGGGTGGGGTGTTACCTTTTAGTATGTGGCAGGGTATTCCAAACAGGATACAAGAAATGTCATAGAAGGCACCCTCCTTTGCAAGGCTCTCTGTTGTAGCACTTTAAATGGAAATATACGTAGATAGATGTACATTGATTTTTCATCCTTAAACTCCGCTTTCCCACAAACACCAAGAATATTCTGCTGTAAAGACATGAGTTTAAAATGTATATGTATAAGGTATTCATATTTTGTACATTAAAAAAATCTGGAGAAAGGAAAATTGCTTCAATTTGACATTTTTTCAAACTTACTCAAAAATAAATGTTTTTTTTAAAATGATAATTTGTCTTTTTACTTGTAGGTAAAGGAGTGAGAGAAGTTAATGAAACAGTTACTAAAACTCCAGGTTTGTATACCAGAACAGTTCTAGATTTCAATCCAATAAAGTGATTTGTTCTCTACTCTGCACAGTGAAACTATTTTCAACATTTAAATTTCTGAATCCGTTAGTCCACGACCAAGTTAATGTTTCAATTATTTAAAACACCAAGCTTACATGGAATTCTGTTTATTTCACAACAATGGTTTGTTAATGAAATAACATTACTTCCCTTAAAAAGAAAACCTTTGGTGTTATCACACCCTGTTTCATTCAAACTTGCCTTCGGCATTTGGTAGGCAGAAATGAAAACATTGGTCGTTCCATGTGGTATAATGGAGAGCCTTATAAAGAGGGTTGCGACTTTTTTCCTCCAAATGAGGAAGCTCATATCAATGAGGCATTTTCACAGCATAAGTTGTTAATGTAAACAGTTCAGACATGGAGCCCAATTTTTTTCCAAGTGTCTCCATTCATCTAGGCATGCTTTGCCTTCTAAAATGTTAATTATAGTTTTTTGTTGTATGTGGCACCTTTTGCTAAAAGCATTATATAGCAAATCGCAAAGATGCAGTCCTATTTCCCAAGGAAAGTTTTTACTATACAAAATCATCTGGCATGTTCTGTGTTTTAAATTTAAATTATTTTTAAATAACAAAATGTATCCCAAATTATATTAATTTAAGTTGGGTATTTTGTTGTTGTTTTATCAGAAACAGAAATCCTTTGTAAATATATAAGATCACTTGACTAGTACTTTCTTTATTCAGGTTTTAACACTGTTTTTTTTTTTTTTTGGACATAAGCTCTATTTTAGAATCAAACATGGAAAGAGTATTTGTATTGCTATTGTCAGGATACTGTGTGACACATTTAATTCTTAGACAAGGAAAAATATTGTCAGGATGCTGTGTGACACATTTAATTCTTAGACAAGGAAAAATGTGCCAATATGATGAAAGGAATTTCTCCAATCTGAATAATAAAGAATATAAAATGCTTTTTAAAGCTTTCTAGACTATTTTATTTAAATATTACCTAAAAATCACATACAGAAGTCAGTGCTCTTTATCCAGGCAACATGTTCTTCAATGGAACAAAACACAGCCTCTTTTTGTTATTATTGTTGTGTGTGTGTTTTGTTTTTTATTTGCTTATTTTGTGTTTAAGATATTGAAATATCTATACACTCCTTTTGTAGGTGCAAACATTATTATCAATATTCCTTTTCTTGTACTCTTGGAAAGCAAGTGCTAATTGAATGTGATTCCTCATCATGGTGGTACATTCTAGTACAGCTCAGCTATGTGGCTGCTGCATTGTACTGCGGGCTGCCAGCAACAAGTGAAATTATAAAGACCCAGAAAGATGACCTCTGCCACATGACTCGTGGTCCTATTTTAATACACAGAAGCCACTTCTAAGACATTGGTTGTATCTTACCCTACCCAGCCAGGCCTGGCCCATTCCTGTGAAACTTCAACAAGATTAACTTAAGTGAATGCTTGAACAAGTGGATTAGTAACTTCAGAAGAGCATATAAATTCTAATTAGGGAAGATATTTTTTATGTACTTTAAAGGCTATTAATTTTAGTAATGGAAAATAAAGTTATTTTGAGGTTGCTGATTAAAATGGGGGCCTCTGTTGTGCTGACAGTGGCTAAGCAGATGTGTCTAAAATCAGTGATTTATAAGCAAATGTGTTAGATACTTGTGTGGATATATGAGTTTTTTACTTATTTTATTATCACTATTATTATGAGAAAGTGGGGTCTACAAAAGGCCAAAGGAAGCTATTATCTTCTGTTCCTCTTTAACCCTTCTCTTGCTAGGCCAAGTTTTATAGGTTCAGCCTGCCTAGGAAAACAAGAAAATGGCCAGTTGGGCTGGAAAGAAAAGCATGGGTATAGGAACAATATACTTTTGTCCTCATTATTTGCGACTATAAATGGACTTTTTAAAAAATGGGTTAGGGAGACATGAATCTTCATTTCCACCTAGCAACTCAAGCAATGTGTTTTGACCAATTATGCTTATCATGAATCTTATCTAATTAAATAATTCATGCACATCAGAAGGCAGAAAACAAAGAGTAATGCTGAAATCATCATGTGAATTTATACACTACAATTCACGTTTATGTGTGAAAATGGCAGGATTTTATACACATTTTTAAACAGACACATGAAAAATAAGTTTATTTTTTTCTTAAGCCGTGAAAACAAGAAGAAATATCTCAATAATCTTTGTTAAGTTTTCCTGTCGATGGATTCTGTGCTTTAAAAAGACTGCCTTTCATTACTGAATTTAAAAGACATGTATAAAAGAAACATTTGAAATTATTGAGCCCATCTCTTCTTACTCATGGAATATATTACATAAAGAGATTAAAGAAGAACAGAAGAGTATGAATGACAGAGAGGGACTCTACTTACAAAATAAAGACTCTGAAGTGAAAGGGCTTTGTCTTCATAAGTCCACTTGGTGCTGGGATATGTAAGCTTTTTCGAGACAGGGCATTGCTCTCGTATTATATATATCAGTTCTTTGGAGCCTTCCAAGTCTTTCAAAGAGTAGACTTGGATATCATTGAAATATCAGTAGTGATTTCATGGGTCAGGTAAACATATTTCTTGCTAAGCACAATAAAAACTAAACTAGCATTAGAAGTACCAGTTCACCATAGCCCATGAGCTTGGAAGGGCTGTTAAAGTAGGTATGCTTTGGCTTCTAATAATAATAAAAGAAACCCATAAGCACAAGTGTCTACTTGCATACCATAATAATCTTCGCACCTGCTTCTTTTGAGTTTTGCACGTGCTGTGAACAGCGATGCACTAGGCTCCTCTTGTCTTCATCACTGCCCTCATCTGTGATCGCTCGCTAAGCAGTATGATGCCTTCTGTGTTTAATAATGTCTGAATTTATTGTTTGTGTGTGTGCTGACATTGGTCTGTTTCCCCCCTTCCCACAGTTCCTTCAGATGTCTTTTTCGTCAATTCACTGTGGAAGGGGTATTATGAATATTTAGGGAAAAGACAACCCGCCACTCTAACTGTTGACTGGTTCAATGCAACAAGCAGTAAGGTGAATGCCACCTTCAGCGAAGCCTCGCCAGTGGAGCTGAAGTTGACAGGTAGGTCCCGAAGAATTCACTAAACGCATGGTGTGAGCAGAAATAGACCTGTTATCTTTTCACAGAGAGGTGATCTAGTAAGTATTAAGTACTTATTACTGTTCTGTTGGCTTTGTATATACTGTAACTCATTGGAGCCTCTCCCTAGCCGTGAGAGGTTGGTATTATTTTCTTATTTTAGAGATTACAAAACGAGTACAGAAAAGTGAACTGATTTGCTCAAAATTATGCACATATTAAGTCAAGAATCTGAGATTCGTATACAGATACTGCATGTCTCCAAACTTTATTTCTTAATACTTTTTCTTAACTCATGTGCTCTTCATGAGATTTTTAAAATCATCACACAATTAATAAAATAAAACAGCCTCGATTTATATGGCAAACACTATTTTAAGCACTGTATGTGTATTATCATTTTCATTCTTACATTAATTCTGTGATGTA
This sequence comes from Homo sapiens, assembly GCF_000001405.40. Classification (NCBI taxonomy): domain Eukaryota; kingdom Metazoa; phylum Chordata; class Mammalia; order Primates; family Hominidae; genus Homo; species Homo sapiens. The sequence continues at coordinate 2,950,666 of NC_000008.11, read as the reverse complement.
TTTTTACTGTATACTTTTTTAGAGAGAGATTTTTTAATTAGCAAAATCAAATATGTTATTTTTTATTCTTTCTGTGGAATAAGGATATTGAACTTAGTGGAGTGGATTATACCTATTCAAGATAGACAAGGATTTAAGAAGTGATTTTCAGGGGAAAATGGAAGCTCCTAAGCTAAAATTCACAAATAAAAATACAATTTCTGTTTGAGTTTTCTATTATCGATGATATTATCATCTCCGTACCACATTCCACATCAAATGGATTAAAGGGCTGAATTACTAACTTTCTCCAAGGTAAGCCTAAACTGCTGATCTTTTCACAGGCATTTACAAGAAGGAGGAGGCCCACTTACTCCTGAAAGCTTTTCAAATTAAAGGCCAGGCAGATATTTTTGTAAGCAAGTTCGAAAATGACAACTGGGGACTAGATGGTTATGTAAGTACATGTGTAAGGTCTGTGACAAAGCACAGGCTTTCTAATCATCTCTCTGTGCAGATGCAAGGGCTACGGATTGGAGGCTTCTGAGTAGAGCTGTCTTGTGTCTGCCCCTTGAAAACTCAGCTGCCCCTCTTCTTGACAGAGTGGCCATTTTATTCCTTCATTTTATAAGGGAAGAAACCAGGTCTAAGAAGTAAGCAATGAACTGGCCATCCTTAAAGGGGTGGTTACTGTTGAGGACAGAACAAGACCTGAAATCCAGGGTCTATGATGTTACTGCTACGTTATATCGTGAGTGGTGCCATCAGAAATTTTCCAAGACCGCTTGATAACCACGCTGCTCGTTCTAAAAGAAATCATTCCCAGATAAATAGAAAGATTTAAGACATCCCCCTTAACACCGTTCTTTGCAAGTTAACCATTTGTTCGTGTTCTAATTTACTATCTGACTTAAGGGTAGACAGCCATACATGATGTACCCTGCCCAATAGCTGGGACACAAAGTGAGTTTTACATAATGTAGATTATTTCTTAATTCATACGTTTGTGTTCCCTTAGAAAGTGCAGTTAACATATGGATATATTGTAAAATTTGCTATCATTTTCGAGATCAAAATGAGATTGTGAGCATTTGCATATGTTAGTTAAAGTTCACTTCTGTGTTGGTTTCTGATCTTTAACTATAAATGTGTCACCAAAAGCCATGGCAAAAATAAAACATTTAACCAGTAGTATCTAAATATGAGATATAACAGTTGTATTAAAAGATATATTAAAAGAGGATATTATTCATCCCTTCGTATACCTTTTTATTTCTTTTCTTTTCTTTCCTATGTGTCAGGTGTCATCTGGACTTGAAAGAGGAGGATTTACTTTTCAAGGTGACATTCATGGAAAAGACTTTGGAAAATTTAAGCTAGAAAGGCAAGGTAAGTTGCACTTAGGATATATTTTAAAGCAAATATCAGTTTGGCTTTCCAATGATGTTTCTAAGAAGAAATGGAAAAGACGACTCTAAAAGAAACCTAAACAAAAATAATGAGAGAGACTAACATATTTTACAGCTGAATGAAAAAAAATTATTTTGAATAGCAAAATACACAAACACAAAGCCGGAAATAATGCAATAAATGTGCCAGACATCATATCTTCACTATATCAAGAGCTATTAAAAATAAGAGAGAAAAAGATGAAAATCAAAGTATAAGCAAAGTATATTACCCAAAGAAAACTAAGAGTTCTTAAAAGTAAAAAAAAAAAGTAAGAGTAATTAAAAGTGGCCAACAAACATATAAAAAGATCTTCAGAAATATACATATATATATTTATATAGTAACAAAGATGATTATTTTTAGTTATCAGAATGACAAAGTTTTAATAATTGGTTTGGGGTTGATAGCAGGAAAAGATGCTCATGTTTAATTTTGATGGATGTATGGGTAGATACAATTGGTCAGTACTTTGTTCATCCAACAATTTTCTGTCTAGAATTTTTAATCAGGCAAATGTGTAAATTGTTTTCTGCATATTCAGGCGTGTCCAAAGCAGGATTGTTTTAGTAGTGGAACTTAGAAATAACCTCCGCATGTTGCCCATCTATGCTGAAAGAATTGCTTCAATGAGTATTTTTATGTAACAAATTATACTACCTATGAAACAATTATTATTCAGTATATTTATTTAAAGAAATGAGGACTATATATTGATGTGGAAAGAGGTTTGACTTATAAATGAGAAAAAGCTTATTCTACATAGACAGGTAAGTCCTCCTTCCTTCTTTATAGCTTTCTGTACTATTTGATTTTTGCCTTAGTGATTAAAGGAGGAACATATGTGGAAACAATCATCAGATCTGAATGCTACCTCGTCTGCTTCCTATTTTTGTCATCTAGGATGGGTCACAATATTCTTGAGCCTATTTCTTCATCTTAAATCTCAGTATAGAAGTTCCCAAGGTTGTTACGAGATTGAGAGGCCACGTAAGCATTGCTTTGTGCATGCTACAGCTCTTTTTGCACAAAAGTCGTTATAATTGTTGCAACCCACAAATAAAAGGAAACGCATTTTTGTAACAACCTTGGCACCATATTTCTCCTACTTGTAGAATACTATTCACACAGTATTACTATAAAGAAGAATATTACCATATAGGCTTTGATACCAGAGCCACCTTTTGGAGGAATGTGAGTGTACAATTTTGTAATGATTACCACTGATGAACTTATTTTGTAAGACTTTTATCAAAGTGCTGAATATAAAAAAAGTCTACTGGCCTGTAGAAAAGCCAAAAAAAAAAAAAGGATAATTAATCATAAAATACTTTACTTCCACTATTCAACCCACAGTATTATTAAATAGAAGAACATTATAATGTTGGCAGTGGCTGAGATTATATGTTAAATTGGGTTATATTATTTTGAGGTAATGAAATGGAATAAATGCATTAGACCAACACTAATGATGGGTGATGTTTTTTCTCTTGCTCTAAGCCGAATCCTGGAGTTATTTGTCCTCCTTTCTCTCTGTAGCACACGCTCTAGTAATTTTGTTGAAGGACACCCCAGTGAGCTGTACAGGATGCTGTGTAGATGTCTAAGTTGACTGATCCAATGAATTTGACCTGAACTATCAGTTTGCTATTACACGTTTTCTTTGCATTACCCCTTTTCTTTTTAATCTAACAAAATAACAGCTTGGTTTAACAAGGGATTTTTATTCTCATGTGATGATGAGCTTGTTGTCAGGAAAAACAGTTTACTTTACAAAATAATTTGAGTCATAAGTAAGTCCCCCCTTCAACTAATTAGAAAAGTTTGTGTTTACGTAATTCTGCAACAGCAACCATTCATTTAAGAATGATGGCAAGCATCTATTTTTATGGATAAAAATAACCTCCTAATTTTCTCTAGTCAGTAGATAAACCAAAAAACGTGATTGTCATTAAGTGGATACTAAAATAAAATTAATTTGAAAGACAAATTTAATGCAAAAACTTGCGTAAGAAACTCAACAATAAACTGGTTTCCTCATTAGGATTGAATGACTCAACCCTAACATACACACAAAGAATGAGAGAAAATACATAAAATTATGTACCTGATAAGTGACTTGTATCCAGAATGTACGAAGAACTCTTATGGCTCAATAATACAGAGGCAAATAACCTAAATAAGAAATTGACCAAAGATTTGAATAGATATGTCTCTAAAGACATGCAAATGGCGATAAGCCCATGAAAAGATGTTGATTATAATCATTATCAGGGAAATGCAAATCAAAACCACACTGGGATACCCCTTCATGTCCACAAGGATGGCTGTGATCTAAAAGTCAAATCGCAAAGGGTGGCAAGGAGGCGGAGGAACTGGAACTGTCCTACTTTGCTGGGGAAATGTGAAATGATGCAGCTGCTCTGGAAAACACTCTGGTAGTTCATCAAACAGTTGTTACTTAAGCTCCAGCAATTCCATTCCTACATGGGTAGCCAAAAGAACTGAAAAATATGTCACACAAAACTTGTACATGAATGCTTAGAGCAGCATTATTTATAATAACCCAAATGTAGATACAACCAAAATGTCTATCAATGGATGAATGAATAAACAATATGTAATATAGCCATACAATGGAATATTAGTCAGCACTGAAGAAGAATAAAGTATTGAAGAATCCTACAACAAGGATGGACCTTGAAAACGTCATGCCAAGTGAAGGAAGCCAGATAAAAAAAGGCCAAATAGTCTATGAATCCATTACAGGAGATGTCCATAACAGGCAAATCCAAAGAGATGGGACACTGATTAGTGGTTGCCTGGGTTGAAGGTTGGGATGAAGGTAGAGGAAGAATAAAGCTAAGAGATACTGAGATTCTTTTGGAGGGACACCAATCTTCTAAGTGAGACTACGGTGGTGATTGCACCACCCTATGAAAACACTGAGAAAGCCTTGGATTGTGTGTTCAGCTTAAGTGGATGAATTATATAGGACAGTCACGCATCGCATAATGACATTTTGGTCAACAAAAGATCGCATATGCACCAGTGACCCCATAAGATTATAAAGAAGCTGACAAATTCCTAACACCTGGTGACACCACAGCTGCCATAATGTCATAGTGCACGGTGTTACTCATGTAGGAGCCACTGGCTGTACCTATAGCCTAGATATGCAGTAGGCAACACCGTCTAGGTGTGTGAGTGCACTCTGATGCTCACACAGCCGCAAAATTGCCTCACGAAGCATTTCTCAGAATGTATCCCCAACATGAAGTGTTGCGTGACAGGATGTGCATTTGTTTCAATAATGCTCTTTAGAAAATTGAATGACCTAGCTTATCACATGTGCAAAGATGCTCACCCTCCTTCAGTAAAGAAATGTAAATTTATAACTACCTAAACACTGTTTGATTTATCATTGTAGTAGTGGCAGCAACAGTTGTGGTTGCAACAGCCAAGGAACCAATAATAACGTGTGGAAGGAGGGCAATGAGAGAGGAGGAGGGACAGGGGAAAACAAGGAGGGGGAAGAGAAGGGAACGGAGGGTAGCAGAGGGATCGCACAGAGCTGTCCATGTGTTATTGTGAAGACCCTCGTACGATAATGATTGAATGAAATTGCAGTGCCTCTTTAGAGAGCAATTAGGTAGGATGTAGCAACACTAAAAGGTACAAATTCTGTTTCTCAATAATTCTACTTCTTAAGATTTGTCTTATGTAATGTCGACTCCTGCTAATGTGTAGATATAGGCAAAAGATTTCATTGCAACATTATAGAAGTATTAGAAACACCCTTAATGTCCCTGGACAGTAGACTGGCTAAATAAATGCTGTTATATCTAATCAGTAGAATACTACACACCTTAAAAAATTAAATCTGATTCATATATGCCAATGGAAGAGCCTCATAAATAGACTGTTAAGGTTAAAAGCCACATAAGCAAAATGCAAATAATATTACCAATTATAAAAATAAGAAAAGAGAAATAATCACACATATTACGAGTACATTGTTGGAAGGACAATTTTTAAAACCCTCAACTATAAAGAGGAACTACCTTGTAGGGCAAGGAATGATTATTTTAATTTTCCTTTATATTATTTGTTTTCATATCCCTTTATGCCATTTTAATTAACACAATGTGTGTATATTAACCTTCAAATTATTAAAACAAGGCAAGTAACTGAAATTAACTAGGAGCTGCAGGCATGTGATAATCTCACGGTAAGTTTGGTTATGTAATTCACAAACACCTTCTTACGTGTTGTTCTTTGTTTTCATGTGAGGTGTCTTGTGACACGTAGATTTTCCAGCATTTTATTATTTGGAATTTTGTTATCTATTATGGATAAAAGTATGTAGCTTTGTTTTCAGATTAAAAAAAGTAACTGTGGTTAATGTAAGTAGAATACACATTTATAAGAATAAGACAGATAATCCCAGAATTACAGAAACTTGAAGATCAATGTTTGGCATCGTAATGGAAACTAAAAGATATTTGGGTGCTGAAATGCTATACAGACAAAACTTTTTTTTTTAATTTTGCAAATATATATTGAGCACATACTGTGTTCTAGGTTTTATTGCAGGTTCTGAGGAGTCAAGAGGAAAGCTACCCAAACCAAACGAAACCAAACAAAACAAAACAAAATCCCTGGCTTCAGGAAAGTTACATTTTTGTGACTATGAGTCCGTGTGAACATTCCCTCTGTGCCAGGCATTGTTGTAAGCACTTGAGATGTACTAACATATGATTTTCACAACCAACCCATGAAGTTGGTGCCATCTGAGTAGGGCACCACTGCTCTCTGTTGGACAGCACCACCCCTTGTCACTGGACATCACTGCTGCACCACTGCTGCTGCTGGGACCACCCTCAGTGCACACATACACACACACTTCATGTTGTCCCCAGGGCTCTAGAACCCCTTCAGCCATGGAACAAATTTTAAACCATCTCAGAATGTTTTGCGTCCCTCGCTTCCAATACAGTGCCTGGGGTGGGAACACCCAATTGGCTTCACTCGCTGCACGTCCATAACCTGGGTGCTCAGATTGCAAGAGAGCAAGTGTCTGGCATCTTCCTTTTGCGTGATGGTGGGGCAGATCTCAAAAAGATAAGTAGTTGTAAAAAGCCAACATTGCTCCAAAATATGTTCCTATTGGACGTTAATATTGTAGGCAGTCATAATCCTACATCTATTGAAGCAAATGGCAAATAATGTCATTTGAAAGTTTTTATATGAAAATTAAAGGGTGTTGATACAAATAATGATTTAAAGATTTTTAATATTTGATTGATTTTTTGCATTTCTGGTTTATAAAACAATAAATACAGCAACATCTCTTTGAATCTGACATTTTATAAATTCTGGAAATAAGAAAACCAGATGAGCTTCTTCTCAACAATTCTGCTATATTGAGATGACGCCAATCATGATTCATTGCACACCTGCATTAAGTGACTCCATGCAATTAGGCCAAATCCATCTCAAAATTATATTTTATTAGTACACTCTTCAAAAACTTACTTCCTCCTTTGGCAACAGTTGCTTAATAAAGGTCTGTGGATTTGAGTTTTTATTGCTTTCCTCTCAGTGCCATGCCATGAGACACTCCATAGTCCTGGCTGATTCTATCACCTTCATGATACTTGAAGTATTCACATTTGCCTTCCTTTCTAATGGACAAAAGGTATATTTTAGGTCAGGTGTGGTGGCTTAAGCCTGTAATTCCAGCACTTTTCGAGGCCGAGGCAGGTGGATCATTTGAAGTCAGGAGTTCAAGACTAGCCTGGCCAACATGGTGAAACCCCATCTCTAGTAAAAATACAAAAAATAGCCAGGCATGGCGGCAGGCACCTGTCATCCCAGCTACTTGGGAGGCTGAGGCAGGAGAATCACTAGAACCTGGGAGACAGAGGTTGCAATGAGCTGAGATCACTCCACTGCACTCCAGCCTGGGCAACAGGGTGAGACTCTGTCTCAGAAAAAAAAAAAAAGAAAAATTAATTATTTAATTTAAAAAGTTACATTTTAGCATTATTTTGTGTCTTCATGGAAACTTGCATTGTGACATTGAACTATAATTATTTTTGAGTATTTCTAAACTCTTCTGTGAATTTCAGAATGTACGTAAAATAAAGACAGATGACACCATCCTATTCACATATGAAGAATGCAATGCCATTTTTATGGATAACTGGGATATTTACATAATTTCAATGACATATTTTGCCGAGTCTGGCCTTAAGACCTGAAAAAACAGCAAATATTATTGACCTCTGAATATAGAAAAAATACATAAATGTTTTCAGTTAGTTTTGTGAAAACACCTATAACTATAAACGAAAGTCAGGATGTATACTGACCCTTTTGCCTTTCTCACATTTTAAATGTTGAGACTCTTTCATAGTATTCTCCATTATTAGTAGGAAATAGTCAGTTTTTTGTCCCGGTCATTAAGTGGATATTAAAAATCTTTAGAAAAGAATATCATTTGGTTTCCTGTGAAATGGCAACTCCGTCTGCTTCTTGAAGAGTTCGTATCCATTTACAAAATTTATCATATGTATTTGTTTAAGCAGAGTACAGTAACAACAAATTTAATATTTCCTTTATCTTACAGATCCTTTAAACCCAGATCAAGACTCTTCCAGTCATTACCACGGCACCAGCAGTGGCTCTGTGGCGGCTGCCATTCTGGTTCCTTTCTTTGCTCTAATTTTATCAGGGTTTGCATTTTACCTCTACAAACACAGGTACTGCAGAAACACCATCTGTTTGAGAATGTTGTGAGTGTAAACTATGGGTTTAAAGTAATGGGCATGCTCTCGTGCTCACATGCACATGTATTTTATATTACTATGCAATGTTCTTTTTTTTTTTTTAAATCAACTTTTATTTTGAGTTCCGGGGTACACGTGCCGGATGTGCAGGTTTGTTACCTAGTTAAATGTAAGCCGGGGTGGTCTGCTGCATGGATCAACCCATCACTCAGGTATTCAGCCCAGCACCCATCAGCTGTTCTTCTTGATGCTCTCCCTCCCTCCAGCCCCCCACAGGCCCCAGTGTGTGTTGTCCCCTCAATGTGTCCATGTGTTCTCATCGTTCAGCTCCCACTCATGAGTGAGAGCAATGCTCTTTCTTGGACTAACAATGCTTATTTGTCAAGATTTTTTGTTGTCCTTTCTGTTGTTTTCTGCCCTACTTTTTAAGCAGAATACATCTAAGAAATAAGAGAATAAATGACTGAGTTGAGAAATAATATGTTTTTTTCTTTCATGTTCAATTGAAAGATGAAATAAAGGATTCTATCTCTACATTCAGGCTCCATGGCCAACGATGAGAACCTTTAGAAGGTATTTCAACCTTCCAGCAAAAGGGTGAACAGAATGTTCTCTATGGCCACTTTCAACTCTGTGAATCTGTGATTGATAGATGTTTCATTGATTTCTTTCTTCAACAAATACAAATTTAGCTCTTTATATGTAGTAAGCAATATAGATGTTCCATCTCTTGAAAAAGTGTTCTGAATACCCATCAATTTGCAAAACTCTGCTAACTGTAAAATGTCAAAACTTGGGGACAAACAACTTTAGTGAACCAGATCCTTTCCTTGGGATTAATGTGGATGCCAGAAGAAAAGAATTATTTTGGAGGAACTATAAACTCCTTGTACATTTTTTCCATATATGGATAATACATTACCTGGAGGAATCTGGAAATGCCAAACTACTCTAAAATACTATTTGAAATGGTAGCATTAACTACAAATAATAAGAAATAAATTATGATCCCCTGAAATAAAATTAGATAGGTTAAATAAATATCAGTACATAATACAGATATTTCACTTAATTCTGGTTAAAACAGAAAAACTGTCATGATATTATTTTTTCAAAACTCATGAAATAGCCTCTTTAAATATTTGCTTTCTTATATTCACTTTTGAAATACACAGTAGAGAAAATGTTGCTTCAAAGGTGTATTAGCTGCTTGTGCCTGTGTCTTCAGTTCCCTATGGCTAGTAATGTTCTTTCTTTAAGAATATGACTCAATGAAAAACATTTCAGATGATATTTAGAAAATTAAAGATGGGCACATCTGTGTTAATTTTTTGGAAGAGAAAATACCCAATACACACAAGTCCGATGAGCCTTATCCTTGAATTTCTGCTCAGGACTAATTTAAAATTTAGTAAATGTAGAAAGATATGCCACTACCTTCTCCAATAAGATGCCATGATCAGATGAGCTTCTCTTCTTAAAGGGATATACACAAAAATGTATCTTCTTTCACGGGTTCCTCTGGGTCATATAATATCCTTATAGAGACACATATGTAGGAACTTACAATTCCTACAAATTTATTTTTGCTTTTGATTGGCATCCACATTAACCCCAAGGAAAAGGTCTAGTCCATTAAAGCTGTTTTCCCTCAACTTGCCTGCAAAGATGCAAACCTTCATATAAGACTGGGATTGTCTTGTCCTTTAAAAAGATAACCCCACATAATTATATATGCATATTTATACATAAATATCACTTCTGATTATATCTTAACTTTAAGGCAATGTAGCATTGGGGGCTATATCCAACATACACACCAGTTTTAGTCGTTAAACCTTAGAAACTTCCCTGTCAATGCTGAGTAGTTGGGTGTCTCCGTGAAGGCGGTGCCTTGGAAAGAGATCTCAGATTACAGAGCCAGAGATAAGGGAGATAGCGCTTATTTTTATGTAAATGTGATGCCTCCTCTGGGTCGGTGGGGAATCTGTCGTCATCACAACTGGACTCCCTCCCTTCCTAACACTGCACCAAGACCAAGAGGCTGCCCTGCATGTTGAATATGAAGGAAGCTGTTCCCTCTCACAGTTCTCAAGAGGACGGCTATGAGGCCACTGTGACTTCTCAATCCATTGGGTCTTTTAGTTCTCTACTTCTGTGCCATAGGAGCGAGGGATGGTGGAATTTTTGTAGAAGCAAGGAAGCCCAGGGCTCAGTTGCCAGCAGCACATCAATCCATTTTCTTCAAGTTCTCACCACCTGGTCAGGAAAGCACCAAGCCTGTAGCACTCTCTACACTGGCTTCTCAGGCTCTAAAGAGATAAATATTTCTTGATGAGTTGGCTCTGCATTCCTCCAGAAAAACCCTGTTTCTGCTCATTTCTGAGTCTGTTGCTTGCATGTTGGGAGTTGCTTCCTCAGAGCCCAAGGTGCTGACAGCCTTCTGCCGGGTGCAGCTGCACACCTGCACGTCAGCATCCAGCTGCAGCCAGTTCCACTCTGGGATTGCATTTCCCTACACATGAAGGGACTGTGGCAGCTTGTGATCTGGACGATTGAGTGAACATTTTAGCCAGGTCTTCACTTCATTGACGAGGGGCTGGATTTGTTTGCTAACGATCACTGCTGGCGCATGTTCCAAGCACAATGTCACGGACCTCTCCCACTCCAAGGGCAGTCACAAAGTGCTGTTCTGCCTTTTTCTCAGAGCCATGTGCCACGTACTTCTCTTTTTCTTAATGAGCATGTGTAACATAAGGAAATCTAGTAAATGTCTCGGCAGAAGTTTCTTGACGCCCAATGTCAAATGATGTTTTTGCGAGCGTGCTTATGTACATTAAATTTCTGGTTTTGCCACGTGGCACATTTTTCTTACCTGATTTCTTCTGGAATAAGGAAAGAATAAACAGAGACAGAGCAGACCAGACATGATTCTGTCTTTTCAGTCTGAAAATCCTCTAATTCTCTAATCATAGATTGTACGTAGGGGTTTTCTTTTAACCAGAAAATGTGACAACAGTTTAATAATGAGTATAGTTCCTTTTTTATAAAGATTCATTTTTAACTCAACAGAGGCAAAATAAAAAATAACTTTTTGTGAATATTAGTAACGACAGTGAACTAAAAGCTTAAACTTGAAATTTAGTGTAAGCATACCGTGCTAAAGGCTAGGCATATGCCCACAACCCTGTTTTACAGAGTAGTAGAAAGTTTCGTGTCTTAACCAAGGCCGTATAACTTATCAGTGATAAATAGACATCCAAAACAAAACCAATCCGATTCAGCCTTTGGGACCTTCCCGATTTCCCTGGGGCATTTGTAGGAAGCATAAGTAAATCTTTGATCCCAGTTACCCAGGAGGCTGAGGTGGGAGGATCGCCTGAGCCCAAGAGGTCAAGGCTGAAATGAGTGGTGGTCGTGCCACTGCACTCCAGCCTGGGTAACAGAGTGAGACCCTGTCTCAAAAAAATTTTATTTAATTTTTGAAATCGATTCACTTTTTAAAACCCATTTTATACTCCCAATCACCAATTTAAGCAAATAAACTGACAGGTGTGCAGGTGTGGATGCCTTCCTTCTTTGCAAACGTCCTGGCTATACTGCTCCCTGCTCTGTAGACGTTGTCTCCTGCACACAGTCCCAGCTGCTAAATCTGCAAATGAAACCAGGATTCTAATGATTTGTTTTCTGTTTTCCTTAGAACGAGACCAAAAGTTCAATACAATGGCTATGCTGGGCATGAAAACAGCAATGGACAAGCATCGTTTGAAAACCCCATGTATGATACAAACTTAAAACCCACAGAAGCCAAGGCTGTGAGGTTTGACACAACTCTGAACACAGTCTGTACAGTGGTATAGCCCTCAGTGCCCCAACAGGACTGATTCATAGCCATACCTCTGATGGACAAGCAGTGATTCCTTTGGTGCCATATACCACTCTCCCTTCCACTCTGGCTTTACTGCAGCGATCTTCAACCTTGTCTACTGGCATAAGTGCAGCGGGGATCTCTACTCAAATGTGTCAGGGTCTTCTACGGATCAAACTACACATGCGTTTTCATTCCAAAAGTGGGTTCTAAATGCCTGGCTGCATCTGTATGAAATCAAGGCACACTCCAGGAAGACTGCCACGTCGCGCCAACACGTCATACTCAATGCCTCAGACTTTCATATTTCTGTGTTGCTGAGATGCCTTTCAATGCAATCGTCTGGGCTCGTGGATATGTCCCTCAGGTGCGGTGACAGAATGGTGGCACCACGATATGTGTTCTCTTGTGTTGTTTTTCCTTTTTAAACCCCCATGAACACGAATACTCTGAAAAAAATAAAAAGCTTTCTGGAAGAAGACACCTTTCTGATAGAGGCTCACACCTACAAATGCTTCACTCTGTCCTTCCGAGACCTGACAAGCTTTGAGGACCTCACAGCTCCCCTGTGTGTTCATCTCTAGGGATGTTTGCAATTTCCCAGTCAGCTGTTCTGTCGCAGAATGTTTAATGCACAATTTTTTGCACTAGTGTGTTATGAATGACTAAGATTCTGATAAAAAAAATAAATTATTTACACAGGGTTTATACACACTATCCATTGTATATAAGCATTATTTCATATTATCAAGCTAAACATTCCCCCATCAGCTTAGTTGGAGTGTTAGGGAAAAGTATTCCTAGATATGGCACAGATTTTAAAAGGAAATACAGTATTGAAGAGATTTATTTTATTATTGCTTCAATTAGCTCCATTTACGTGTTGAATTCATTGAAGAGGTCCAATGAGAAAAAAACAGAAGCCTCCTTATTTCACACGTTTTCCTCCTTTAGTACCATCCTCATCCAATTACTGTCTCTCTGATACTACTTAATAGCAGGGGGTTTGCAGAAATTTCTGTTTGCCATGTAAAACTGTGAATAGTAATTTATTTTAGATAGTCGATGAACTTGTGGGTTTTAGCTCACAATGCAGCCTTCCCTTTTGCAGTGTTTTTTTTTTGTTTTTTTTTTTTTTTGTCTTTTACTGTGCCATCGATCTTTGATATTGCATTGAAAGACAATATACCACAGTAGCACCTTGAACTCAGTGAAAATTGTTCAGGATCAAAATACCAAGTGTTCTTTTAGAGGGAAGGAAAAAGTACACACACTCTCCTCTCACAATGATATATTTTATACATTCATTTGTTATTTGTTTCATGCTTTATGATTCCAGATGGAAAGGTAATTTCAGTGACTTTTCAAGTTTAAATTCCATTATAGGTAAATGATAAGTTATGATGCAAATAAAATCTATAAGATCCCCAGGGCAAATAAAAATCAAAACATGAAGTAGAAGATGTGGCCGTGAGGTAGTTTATGTAACAAATTCAAAGTGAAAATCATGTTTACTTTTACTTATACTTATTTGATAAAAATATTTTTGAAACGATAGTACTTATTTTATTATTTGATATTTCAGTTCCTATTCAATTGTGGCAGATTTTCTCTGTTTCACATTTTAGATTGGCGTTGGTAATAGAAATGTCAGAATGTTCAAATTGGCCTTCACGTTGTCGGAGTGAACACATTGACACCTAGCTTTAAGACTGATTTATCTGTTGGTGTACTGAAGGTTTCCATGTAGGACTTCAAATGTGGAAAAGGAAAAGCAGTCAGGAAAATGGGGCATTCTTTGGAGAGTCACGCGTTTTGATTCGGACATTTCCGTAGAGCTCGGCTCCCAGTGTTGTGTTCCTCGGTCGAAAGGGTCTCTGCTGTTTGGGGACTCACTGGCCTCTCCTAGGGACTCCTTTGTCTTGTGAACCCCACGCTGTTGGATTCTGTATCATTATGCTGAATTCTCTGCACAGTTTTCCCTGGCCAACCTGCCCACATCCTTGGAGATTTGCTTTGCCAGTGGGAATCCTTACATTGCTGTTTCACAGTAGACGGGACGAGGTCAGCGGGAGTCGTGCTCCTAACACACACATTGAACGAAACAGAAGATGATTGAAAGTGTGAGGAGGCTCGTGTGCAAGGGAGAACAGGGTTACTATACATATTAGTGTATATATATACATACATATATATATATATATATTGTACATATCTAAGTTTGAGTCATTCAAACTAGGTGCAAAATGCTGACTTCAGAGTCTGAATTAACATCTCTGTTCCCATATCCCTGACCTGCTCCCTGGTCAACGATGCTATGAAATCCTGAAATGACAGGACATACATACATACAAGAAACCACATATCAAATTAGATATGATTTTCCTTTGTGTGCAAAGTCAAACTGTCCTAGGGTTGCCAGTTTGAAGCATGTTATTTAAATGAAAAAAAAAATCAGTGAAATTCTCGTGTGAGAATTCTGCCTAGTTTCTTCCTAAGGTTGTGTGCAGTGTTGAACGGCGTCTCCGCAAGGTGTTGGAGGATCTCATTTTAGGGCAGTCAGGAGCTGTGCTTGCTGAGTTAGGTCTAGAAGACTCTTCCCTGAAGGCAACGGGAACACGCGTGAGGGACGCGACCACACACTAACAGAGGACACGTGCTTCAGAGCTGTTTAAAACTGCTGCTTGTTTTACACACACATCTTGCCTTTTTTCAGGCTAGCTGCAATAATTTTTTTCTTCTGTAAAATATTTTGTAAACAACAACAAAAAGCTATTATAAAAAGGGGGTAAAAAAAAGAACGCTGGCATTATGATCAGGAAAACCCATTGTCATCGCCGACCCTCCCTCCCGTCCCACCACACGCTGCTGTCACGACGTAGGTGCGAAAGACCTTTTTGTACAGAGATATATTTTTTATGAAGAATTTGTAAAATTATTAAATATGCTGTAATTTTTTGATTAATGTAGGTACATTGTTAAAAAATAAATGTTTTTACAATACAGAACTGTAATTTTCCCAATAATGTAAAATGTACCATCTCTAGCTGATTTTCAGTTCCAATCCTATTACACATGTATTAATATTAAAGTGGCCTGTTAAAATGAACAGTATCTTTTTTTTGTCAAAAAAATTATAAAGAGGGTGTAATATAGCCTGTGCAATGCCACCAATCTTTAAAGCAAATCAGAGTTCTAATTAAATATTTAATTTTAGATTTCTATTTTTCTGTGTGAATTTATTTTCACTTTAATATGCGCACCTGAGTCCCTTGCAGGGGAGGGAAGGAATGGGAGTCTTCATAATGAGCCTTTAGGATATTCAAAATGAAGCTCCATATTTTTCCCACGACATTCACATCATCGTCATGATTAATCAATAGCACATTTAGCAGGAACCATGAGACACAGAATAGTAACGTTGAAGCTGACAGATTTCTTGATGGTTCACATTAAAAACGGTAAGAAAACTTGGTTTCCTCCAAACCAAAACCTATGTTTTTTTATGATTTCTTTTCAATTTGGGAGCTCTGTTTGTAAACGTTCACCACACTAAAAAAATGACATGAAAGAGAATTATAGACCTACTTAACAGAGCACTCCAAATAACACATTTAAAGAAGGCTCAAAAAAATCAAACCGCTTTTTAAACTCAGAACCAGCGGTCCCCCGTTCATTTCTGGGCTGACAGAAAACACAATGCTTTACACGTCCTTGGTGGCCCATCACGCCGAATGTCTTGCAGTTCAACAGAATGATACACTACTTTCTCTGAGAGTCAAGTTATTACAAAATGAAAAACAACCAATAATATTTCCAAAATAGCCCACGGTGGCTTCGCAGCGACCAAGTTTTGATGTCCAACTTGCAATCTGAGTCTTGCTGGCCAGCAACTGCATTTAGGTGCCATTTATTGAGGAAATACCGAGCGCGAGACACTGCACTTTGTGACTCGCAGACGTTGCAAAACCCCCATAATCCAACCGAGAGGGTTTTGCCACTTTGATAATTTAGATGAAGAAGCAGGAAGTTAAATAAGTTGGTTGGTTTACCCAACGACACACAGATAGGCAGAGCTGATATTACAGGTCAGGTTTCTCTTGCTTCAACTTTCTCATTTTTCAAGAAACCGTCACATTATGAAATGCATCCAATATTCCCTTTCTTATCCAATTTTTTTTCTGAATTTTTCTGTCATTCTACCTGTGAATCTTCTTTTGCTTCATTGAGTAAATAATTACCAAAGCTAAGAATTCAAAGGGAAATAAGTACTCTCTATTACTAATTTTCACATTCCACAGAATGCTCATACATAATACACCCTTGTGAGTTATTAACATATTGAGTTGAAGCTTTCGGGGGCAGCAAGAAAGTAGTGATCCCACAGTGTGTTTCACGCTACGGTTCTTTAAAATAATAAATAAAATCTGTCTTGCTCTGTGCCTCGGTTTGAGTGCTTTCCTAAAAAATATGGGGCTTCTATAATTATTTGATGTATTAAAGGCTGCAGAATAGGCGACCGTGTTACCATCCACAGCACGGACATCTGTGGCTATTGAAACCCAGTTTGCGTCCTCTTCTCCTGTGGGACTGGCACCTGGAGTTTCCCTGGGAGTCACTCCTCCTGATGACAATCAGCTTTAATGAGCATTGCTCACAATTCCTCGATTGTCCCCGACTGGGCGTGGGGGAATCACACTCATGTGGTTGAGCTGGGACTGACTCCTCTCCCAGGAATCGGGGCCTGACCTGCAGGGTCAGGTACATCTGGCTGAATTTACCCTCAGTCCGTCAACCCACTCCCTGCCAGGAGGTCAGTCTTTCATTCCACAGGGCCACTTGCATTCCCACGACCTGCTCACCGGCCTTTTCTCTTAATTCTGGGAGCAACCCCATATCTTTCTATACAATTGTCTTTTTTTCTTCAAGTTATCCAGGCTTAGTGACTGTTACTTGCAGTTGAGGAACTAGACAGCCATAGTTACAACGTAGACTGAGAAAGAACCTCAGAGATTCACCCCGGCTCACCAAGCCTCTGTGTGGCCAACAACTGGGGCTGCGCACTTCAAATCCACTGCCCTGCAAGCGTGAAACACCATCCTCAGCTCTGCTGTCTCTGAATATAATGACAAATTACTGGGCCTAAATGACAGTCACAACTGCTCAGATGGCTGAGAGAGTTGCTAAAAGCCTCCTTTGCTGCATTTAATCAAAACCCTTCAGAGGGGTTGAATGCTTCCAGGGGCATGCACCCAACCAGAGGGCCTGGAAGCCAGTGGCTTTCAACAAGCTTCATGTTCTTTGGAGGATGACGGACACCCACTATTCACTGCTTTTCACGACTAAAATATCTTGGGCTAAAGGACAGCAAGAATTGTTTTGCAATACTGCTTAGAAGACCTGTTGGTTTGCTTGTTTTAAGGCGTTATTCTTTTGTGGATATCACAGCAACTTTTAGTTTATCACACAGTTTCTAAAGGGAAAGTGCAAGACGACTCACTTTCCTATTTTTTTCAGGCTGTGTGGACCCCTTAGTCCATAGGATTATGTATAAATGAAGTATTTAATTGGGGCTGGGCGTGCGGGCTCATACCTGTATTCCTAGCACTTTGGGAGGCTGAGGCGGGAGGATTGTTTGAGCCCAGGAGTTCACGACCAACCTGGGCAACACAGGGAGACCCTGTTGCTGCAAAAAAAAAAAATAAATAAATAAATAAATTAGGCTATCGTGATGGCATATGCAGTCGTGGTGAAATGCAACTGTTTTTCCAACATCTTAGGAGGCTGAAGTGGGAGGATCACTTGAGCATGGAGGCCAAGGTCGCAGTGAGCTGAGATCCCGCCACTCCACTCCAACCTGAGCGACAGAGGGAGACCCTGTCTAAAAAATATATAAAAATGTACTTAACTGGAAAGGATAAGACTTATGCCACGGGAATTACCTGACATTTCTTCGCACTATTAGTGTGTTCAATGATTTCCGAGCATTAAAAAGCCACCCTGCATCTGGAGGTCTGGGGCAGCCCAGGACAGCACTGCTGTCTGTATCAGGTCCTGGCTATGTTGGCGGTGCCTTCCAAGCTTGGTGCATGGGGTGGAGCTCTGTTTTGGATGCTGTCCTGATAGACTCTGGTGTTCAATTCTGGCCAACCTTCCTGTCCTGGCATCTCAAAGAACGTGGACAGTATAGATCCACTTATCAAAATGATTAAAAATCACATTGTGTGTTGCAAAGGGATGCATATATATGTAATCCAGTTATTAGAAATGCATAGAACGAAATAACGTCATATTCAGATTAGTAGTGACTCCTAAGGTGAGAGAATGGGTAATGGATTTGAATGGTGCTACGTGGAGAGCTTCCAAGTTGTCTGAAATGGAAACTTGGGAAAGCTATTTAGAGACATTTAAGATGGATAGGATAATATTATCTACCTCATGGGGTTATAGAGAAAGCAGTGTGCACCAGGTCATGATTTAAGCATTTCACGTCTATTTTCACATTCTATTACCCAATTTCTCTCTTTCTCCTCTTTATCTATCATCTATATATTTATCATCCTATCATCTATCTTCTTTCCATTTAACACCTATCTATCATTTGTCTATTTTTCTATCATCCTATTGTTTATCTATGTATCTATCAGTTATCTATCACCTTTATTTACTTCCAATACAATGTGAAGAAAGTAGAAAAAAGTTTTAACTTTTACAAGTTGTACAAGTACCTACATGTTGATTTTTTTTTTATTTCCATAGGTTATTGGGGGACAGGTGATATTTGGTTACATGCATAAGCTCTTTAGTGGTGATTTGTGAGATTTTGGTGCACCCATCACCCAAGCAGTATACATTGCACCTTATTTGTAGCCTTTTATCACTCACCCTCTTTCCACACCTTCCCCCTGAGCCCCCAAAATCCAATGTGTCATTCTTATGCCTTTGCATCCTCATAGCTTAGCTCCCACTTAGGAATGAGAACATACGATGTTTGGTTTTTCATTCCTGAGTTAACCCACTTAGAACAATAATCTCCAATCTCATCCAGGTCGCTGCAAATGCCATTAATTCATTCCTTTTTATAGTTGAGTAGTATTCCATCATTCATATATATATATATGTATTCACAGTTTCTTTATCCACTCATTGATTGATGGGCATTTGGGTTGGTTCCACATTTTTGCAGTTGCAAATTGTGCTGCTATAAACGTGTGTGCAGGTAACTTTTTCGTGTAATAACTTATTTTCCTCTGGGTAGATGTCCAGTGGTGGGATTGCTAGATCAAATGGTAGTTCTACTTTTAGTTCTTTAAGGAATCTCCACACTGTTTTCCACAGTGGTTGTACTAGTTTACCTTCCCATCAGCAGTGTAGAAGTGTTCCCTGTTCACCGCATTCATGCAAACATCTACTATTTTTTTGACTTTTTTTTATTATGTCCATTCTTGCAGGAGTAAGGTGGTATCACACTGTGGTTGTGATTTGTACTTCCCTGATCATATGTTGATTTTTTATACTCTATGCCATAATTTATATTTGAAATACATTATATTTTAAATTATGAAATAATGAGCATTGAAGTCGTTTGGGTTTTTTTGTTTGTTTTGTTCTCTTTTTTTTTTTTTTTTTTGAGACAGGGTCTTGCTCTGTCACCCAGGTTGGAGTGCAGTGGAACCATCATAGTTCACTGCAGCCTCAGTACCCTGGGCTTAAGCGATCCTCTCCCCTCAGCTTTCCCACTAGTTGAGACTGCAGTCCTGCCACCATGCCAGGCTAATTTCTGTATTTTTTGTAGAGATGAAGTCTTGCCATGTTGTCCAGGTTGGTCTGGAATTCTTGGGCTCAAGTGATCCACCCTCCTTGGCTTCTCAAAGCACTGGAATTACAGGTATGAGCCGCTGTGCCCAGCCCGAAGTTTTTATTCCTTGCTCGATGTCCTCCTATCTCTGAGACCTCGGATGATCATAGAACCATTCTTGGATCACAACTTTCCAAGCTGCAAGTTGGAGATATCAATATCTGGTTTTATTTGTAAAGCGTGTGCCCTTTGTAAATAATGTTGGCTCATGAATATTTGGTAAAAATCATTGGAAACGATTCATATTTTAGCATAGTTTGACAATAACACCTCTGACTGCAGCCCCTTTCTTCTCCTCTAAGCTGTGCTTGTTTCTATCCTATGTCTGACACATTATGCATGAATACAAATAAAATTAAATCCTGTGTTGAAAAAAAAAAGTGGGACCTGAGTCAGTGGTAGAGTCTCAAGAAGTTCTACCTAAAGAAGGCTTCTGTGATATAAGAAAATGAAACTGCTGTGCAAGAGGATATAATTAGAAATAATTTGCTTACCCACAAGGATTTGGCTAAACAACAGAAAAATACATCAGAAAATAGTTCTTTTGAATGTAACACAGGTAAATTCAGGAAGCCTCAAAGTCTAAGGTTTTATTTACGTTTGAAAAGTTTGATGGTTGGAAAATAAGGAAAAGAAAAGGAGGTTTGCATTTCCTATACGTACTGAATCTCATGCTGAAGGAGCAAAGAAAAAAATAACAAATGCCTAGACTAATTATTTAACACAGCAGGCCACATTGACCTGAAAGATTTATATGGGAAGAATTTGTTGAAATAACTTTAATCCTACTTTCTATTTTGGACACAAGTGCATCTGGAAAGGTACCAACAAGACAATAAGAGTGAACATATTTTGAACTGCTTCTATACGCGAGACAGTATGCTAACTGTTTTGCACTATTTTGTGTTTCGCACATTATTGCCTCAATTAATCCTCTCACGTCACCCTTATGAGCCCAAGAAATGAGAGACATTGTGATAGATTCCACAGGGAGGAAGCATAAAATGAGACCTCAAACCCAGCCACTCTTGCTCTCGAATGCCTCTCGCTAAGTTAGAATTTTCCCACCATATTCACACAGTCCAGCCCAAGGCTCATCCTCAGCCCAGCACCCTAGGCAGACTCCTGCCTGAGGCACTGGGGCCCCTGCAAGGTCGCCTGGTCTGTCGGTTCCGCGCCTGCTCCAGTTCTGCTGATGAGGTGCTCCCTGTGGCCATCTGCAGGGGCTCTGGGACTGCATGGTTAACTTGGCTGATGTCATTGACTCTGCTCCCATGACCTTTGGCCTCCAGAGTCACCTTTTGTTCTATAGGCCTTTACCACCATCCTGTTTCCACCTGGTGTCCCAGCTTTTATTTCCAGACCATCTTATCTCATAATAGAAAGCTCACGATGAAGGTCTTAGAATCTGCCTCGCAGATGGAGTTTGAATACTGATAGGTGGAAAGTCAAGGACTTGTATAACTTTCCAGAATTCATATGAGCCCGTTATTCTTTTTTACCACATTAAAAAAAAAGACAGAAGAGTACATGAGGGAAAGAAAATGTCATCCCAGAAAATGTCTTGAATTCTTATGATTCTGAGATGGAGATTACCAAGACGATTTCTCCCTGTATTGGTAAGAACCTAGGCTTAAGAACTCACAGTTTTAGCGTCTTCTTTAGAAACCGGAGTCGATAGAAAGGGAGATAGCAAGGACTCCAGGGCGAGAAAAGCTCTTGAGCATCAGCTTCTGAGCTTGAAAGGGAGCATTAGGGGGCATCCTCTGAGTGTTCTGCGATCCCATATCTGGCTTTTAGAGATACATCTGCATTGTCTCAATTGATTTTGTTAGCAACCCTGTGGGGCTAGGTACTATTAATAACCTTAATTTCTAGAATAGAAAGTAAAGTTTTAGAAAGGTGAGTTATCATGTCTAAAATTATAGAAATTGTCTCTAAGATCTAAACTACAAAACTGATGAAAGAAATCAAAGAGTAACTAAATAAAGATACATTCCTTATTCATAGATAGGAAGCCTCATTATTGTCAAGATGTCAATCTATAGTGATCTATATTTAATGCAAATTGATCTATATTTGCACATCTAAATTGATGTATACTAAATATGATTCCAATCAAAATCCCAGTAAGTTATATGTGGATATCAACAAACTGATTCTAAAGTTTATACAGAGAGGAAAAGATTCAGAAGAGCCAATACAATATTGAAGGAGAAGAGCAAAGTCAGGCCGGTTGCGGTGGCTCACGCCTGTAATCCCAGCACTTTGGGAGGCCAAGGTGGGCAGATCACGAGGTCAGGAGATCGAGACTAGCCTGGTTAAGATGGTGAAACCCTGTCTCTACTAAAAATACAAAAAAAATTAGCTGGGTGTGGTGGGCCTGTAGTCCCAGCTACTCAGGAGACTGAGGCAGGAGAATCGCTGGAACCTGAGAGGCAGATGTTACAGTGAGCCGAGAATGTGCCACTGCCCTCCAGCCTGGGCAACAGAGTGACATTTCGTCTCAAAAAAAAAAAAACAAAAAAAAAACAGTCATGTTGCTTCCCAAACCAGTGAGGCCAAAGTAAAACTGACACTGTCTCTCTACATATGCAATTTTGAAGGCAGTTTGGAAACATGTTCTGATAATCATAAAGTATTCATATCATTGACCTGTTCAGCGCTATTGATGAAAACAAGTTCTAAATAACAAATCTGAAGGAAGAAAACAGAACACAAGTCTCCATACTATGTAGACAGATGGATCGATACTGACAGATATAGATATATTGATATATTACTAAATAGTAAACATTAATGAAATAAATATTTTGAGAGTAGAAAAACATCATATAATTTAAAGTAAAATGAGAGACAGAAACACCAGGCATTCATTACACATTAAATATGAAGACCATGTAGCAATGGAACATAGGTAAGAGGTACTGTAAAATTTAGAATTGATTTGTTTCACAGTCATGACTGGAAAATCATTGCATGACCCTGGACACAGACCAAGAGAAAGCATGGACAAGAAGCTTGCTGGATTTATTCAGGGGTAGCAGGTTATGAATGGGTTTTATTTCCTTCTTTATTTCATGTTTCTTCAGGTTTTCTGTAATGTCTTGAAGAAAAATGAGAAAATTTGGAAAAAAATAAATTGAAAAAAATAATGAAATGATCATCTTTTTCTACTACCAAATCTACTTAAAACACCTCAAAATTTGACTTTTAGTAAAAATCCTGCCCACCCTCCTTCCTCCTCAGGCGACTGGAATAATCACAAGATGCACATTTGTAACACATCTTTTTTACTTAGAGGTCGAATTAAAATTCACATGAACTGACTCAGGCTTCCAAGTGTTGGAATACTGTGGAGAAACTGGAATTTTCCAATATTTCTGGTGAGGATTTAAAAAATGTTGCAGCTACTTTGAAAAACACTTTGACAGTTTCTAAATGAGTTAAACTTATCTTCACCAGCCATTCCACATCCAGGAAAGAAGTAATTGTTATGTTGACAAAAAAGACTTATATGTGAATGTTCAGGGTATTTTCTGTGATGGCCTCAAACTGGAAGCAATGCAAGTGCTGACGGGTGAACGGATAAAGGAAATGTGTTATATCCACACAACCACACATCTACTCAGTAATAAAAAGGAGGAAACTACGAATAGCATGCAGCTATAGGAGAGAATCTGAAGAGCAATATGCTAAATGAAAACCAAGCATGTAAGACTCCCTATTACATATTCCCATTTATATGAGATTTCTATAAGCTTCTTATTCTTTTTGATTGATAGACATCTTCTGAACTTGGTTTTGATAGGGTTTCACAATTGGAAATTTACTAAATCTCATTGAACTGTACATTCAGGATAATCTAACAAAGTAAGTTTACCTTAATAAAGGTAAAAAGATTTTAAAAATCTTTTTAAAAATCAGATTAAAAATCAGATAATACAAAAAAAATCTTTAATAAAGCTTCTGAATAAAATTAGGTAAACCTTTTTATTTTTTTATTTTTATTGTTATTATTTTTGATCTACACTGGCTTGACTTTCTTGTATGAGAGGCAATGGCAGCAAGAAGTGGCAAGTGCTAACCAGTGTGGATGATGAAGGCCCTCCTATTGCAGTAGGGCTTCCATGCTCAGTTGGAGGGTATCGCCTTGCTTAGTCAGGAGCATCTGACTTGGTGTGTCTTCTTCAGCAACCACCACAAATGGCTAATTTGACATCAGTTTTTCTATAGAATTTTCCCACTTGAGAATGAGATCCAGCACGTAGGATTACTCCCTGTGAATTCACAGCTATATTTGTAAGTGAAAAGCTGAATGTATAATGTTCAAGCCACTGTCAGACAGCTGGTGTTCTCTTAGATCTTCGGACAGGTGGTGGAGTTGCCGTTTTGGCACCTCTGTCGTTCCGTGAAGTTTGACTTTCTGACTGCTCACGTTGCATCCACGTGGGAAGGAGGACGTCAACAATAGGTAGACAGCGAGCAGCATCTGATCCAGCTCCTGGTGGAGACAGCTTCCTCCTGTGCAGTTCCTGGAGATCATGTTATAACTGGGTTTGAATGTACCTTCAGGGAAAGTGATTCAAACAAGCTTTATTATGGGATGGCCTTCCTTGGGTGAGCTTAGTGAGATATTTTTGCAGTGAGAGAAGAAAGGATTCTTAAATTTTTCTTGTATGAAATGATCCAAATATAGAAAAGCTACATTGAAGCATGTGTATTATACCAAAAAAATGCTCCTAATGAAAGCTAAAAAGATTGAGGTGATACAAACATCTTGTATACACATTTACAATGTTTTTCCTATTGGAATGGCTCAACTGACTTTTCAGAAAATTAGAAATGCAGAAGAAGAGGCTGTTAGATTGAAGGAATTATTATTACTTGTTTGTAAACTCACTGACCTCAGCCTTGATCCCTTCATCTTTCTTTAAAATGCCATTGACTATTTCTGAAAAAGAAAAAAAAAGATATTATCTCCTGTATGGGAGAGATCTGGCGTCATTTTTTGGCTGCTCTTGTTAATAGATTGTAATAAAAACAGCATTGATATTTTAACATTGTGCAGGATCAAAAGTTTTTTCTCTGAAACACCTGACTCTGTAAGGTTCCACTTGGTTAATATTCACTTAGATCCTCACAAAGACTCATAGCCCCAACGTAAAATGACTTACCTGATAACTCCTCAATTACACAGATTCTTTGTGTATGTTTTCTTTTTTAAATAACCAAAGAAAACCTGTCCATATTCAAATCTTGTATAAACCACCTACCACCCTAAGATCTTCTTTACACAAATAACTGTGGAAAATAATCTCCCTCTATCTTGGTGTGTGGTGGCACCAGATGCGTTAAACCCTCCAGGAAGAGCTTCAACACAGATCGCTTTGTCAGAAAAGAGTGAAAGTCTTTAAAGTAATTTTTTAAAAGCCAATATTTGCTACACAAAGTTATTTATCACATACACACACACACACACACACACACACACCACACAACACAAACCCTTTAGTCCATTCTATGTAAGTGTTAAAGGAACTAAATATGGCTTGGGAAGGACTCTGTGCTTCTATATTTGAGTCCTTGTGGACGACCTGCAACCTAGCTTAATAGGTAGACAAGACTGAAAATCTTAACTCCAGTTCAAGTGATTCTCCTGCCCCAGCCTCCTGAGTAGCTGGGACTGTAGGTGCATGCCACCACGCCCAGCTAATTTTTATATTTTTAGTGGAGATGGGGTCTCACCATGTTGGCCAGGATGGTGTCAATCTCTTGACCCCGTGATCCACCCGCCTCAGCCTCCCAGAGTGCCGGGATTACAGGTGTGAGCCACTGTGCCCAGCGTATGTTTAATATGTTTTTAAGCCGTCAAGACGAATACTCAAATTTTGCATCTAGTCATGTTTTTCAAAGTGTAAGCCCACTACCACTCCTGGAACTTGAGATAATTTTAGATCTTACATGGGTGAACATTTGTAATAATTTTATATTTTAATGTATTGGAAAATGTAAGTATAAGCAGTTTAAGTTGAAAATAATGTAAAATGAATTGATTTAGGTTAAAAATGTTGGTTTAAAATTGGTAAGAATTAATATAGCAAAAATCATAAAAATAAAACTGAATGAAATTTAAAAAAAAAAAAAGAAAAGAAAATCTAACTTAGGAGCATGTCCCTGTAACAATCGCTAAGACTTGGCCAGTCCCAGCAGCCATAATTCAACCACTCATACACTTCTGAGTGTTCAAACCGTGTTCAAATAAGGCAAATGCCAAACTGTAACCAATCTAGCTGTTCTGTACCTCACTTCTAATTTATGTACATCATTTCTCTTTTTTTTGTCTAAAATCTCCTTCCACCACGTGGCTGTGCTGGAGTCTCTCTGAATCTGCTGTGATTCTGGGAGCTGCCTTATTCGCGAATCGTTCTTTGCTCAATTATACTCCTTTAAATTTAATTTGGTTGAAGTTTTTCTTTTATCATAGGTAAAAAAAAAAAACTCTCACAAATCCACTAATGACATAGATTTTATGCTATAAGCTGTTTTGAAAATGTGGATATGAGTTTTTGATTGCTTGGTTTGCTATTTAAAAAGTTGAAATGTCTTGCCATATGCAACGCTTTGATTTAGAATCTTGCACCGATGAGAAAAAGAATTTGACTGACCCAACTCGACCTCATCATCCAGGAATCTCCTGGTTGCATCTTGGTCACAGGTCACCTGTGGAATGATAAATTCTATATGAAGATCTGATTAGAGATTTGCTGATGTGAAGGACATACCAAGAAAATTCACTCCTTGTCCCTTCCTTAGAAAAATCCTCATCCTTCCTAGAAAAATGCCTGAGCATCTCAGTCAGGCCTGCATTCGCATTGTGGTCCCTTCTTCTTGGCCGTAGGCATTGCTTCAGGGATGGATTGGTGACCAAAATGAATACAGGGGGAATTCTAGACCTTTTCTGTAAAGTTTGAAAACAAAATATTCTCTTTTCTCTCCACAGGCAGCTCGAGGGATATCTCTAGGAGACTCAACAGCCACCTGCTCACCACAGTGGGAGGGAGTCAGGGTAAGAATGATCAGCCCAGAGGCAGGGGAGCTGATGGTGGTCTCAGTTCTGGAGTTCTGGATCCAGGACCACTCCTGTCTATGAGATGGTGAGGTTCCATGTCTTGCTAGCTTATTGTGGGTGGTAATTTTCTATTACTTGAAATTAGAAGATTCCTAAATGATACACACAGCAAATAACTTGAAATAGTTTTCCTGTCTTATTCAATTGTAATACAGAGCTTTATCATCATTATACAAGTTATTACGTATATTTTTAGAAACACGAAAATTGTCTGTGGAGAATATCAGGTGAAAAAAGTGGTTTGACAAAAATTGGAATCAGTGTTAGATTCTTGGAAAAGTCTCTCCTTCTGTAAGTTTTCTGTGGCCTGAGTCCGCTGGCCTTGACAGAAAAGGATAAATGTTCCTCTTGGAAAGAACACTAAAAGCTGAAGTGAAGACCTCTATTTATTTCTGTCTTAGAGAGAAATTTTGAGTGAATGTTCAATAGGCACTTAAATTTCAACTTTGCTAAAAGTGATGTTTACAGCAAAGAATGATTCCTTGCCCATTTTATATAACACAACCTAAATAGAAGGCTGTACTGGGGAAGGCGGATTACTTAACGTCCATTGCCCAGATCATAAATCTCCACTAAAGTCAAACAGTGGCCACAAAAAGGCTGTGGGTAATAAGAAACAGGGGAATCCCTCCAGCAGCCTCATACCTCATCGTGAAATAAAAAGCTCAAAGACATACGTGATGAGCAGCTCTAGCAAAAGATGACAAAGTGATTTCATTATCTGGGTAGCTTAGCAAATGGTCCATACCAAGTGGTACAATCTTTCTCCTACTAAAGAAAGGCTCCTTGTTAGAGCGGAGACAATAAAATGTCACTATACATCATTGTTGCTTCTTAACTGTCACTGTGGGTGGTATTGCTTTCTCTATGGTTAAATGTAGGCGAAATGACTAAGACATTCAAGCAAATACTAATGTGCAGGTGGATATTTTCTTGCTTGTTGGCCTACACATTGGAGGTCCCTGGTCGTCTTAGTCCACTGGGGCAGCTATAATAAAATGCAACAGAAATGGTAATTTGCAAATAATAGACATTTATTTCCATAGTTCTGGAGGCTGAGAGTCCAAGGTCAAGGCACAGGCAGGTTTGGTGTCTGGTGAGGGCTGCTCTCTGCTTCCACAGTGGTGCCTTGTGGCTGTATCCTCTGGAGAAAAGGAATGCTGTGTCCTCACATGGCAGAGTACATGAAAATCAGAGGCAGCTCTCTGAAGCTTCTTTTTTTTTTTTTTTTTTTTTTTGAGATCGAGTCTCGCTCTGTTGCCCAGGCTGGAGTGCAGTGGTGCGATCTCGGCTCACTGCAAACTCCGCCTCCCGGGTTCACGCCATTCTCCTGCCTCAGCCTCCCGAGTAGCTGAGACTACAGGCTCCTGCCACCATGCCCAGCTAATTTTGTTGTATTTTTAGTAGAGACAGGGTTTCACCGTGTTAGCCAGGATGGTCTTGATCTCCTGACCTCGTGATCCACCCTCCTCAGCCTCCCAAAGTTCTGGGATTATAGGCATGAGCCACTGCACCCCGCCTGAAGCTTCTTTTATAGGGGAATTAATCCCATTCATGAGGGTGCAACCTTCACGACCTAATTGCTTCCTGGAGACCCCACCTTCCACTTTCTAATGCCATCACCTTAGGGATTAGGTATCCACATTTGAATTTTGGAGGGACACACCCATTAATACCATAGCAGGGATGATGGAAGAAGTCAACCTACACTTGAGTAGTGGTTACACAGTGGTACTGAGCACCACTGTGTCCAGCTAGGCTGAAGACCAGCAGAGCATCTGAGACCCACTTGCATGCACCTGCGTCAGCTTTCTCACGCCCTGCATCACCTGCCCAAGGACAGCCACCGTGTCAGCATCACTATCCCCATTCCCTCCTCATTCCCATGGCCATTATCCTAGCTCAGGACTTTATGCTATCCCCCAGCTCAAGCACTGTAAACGTTTCCTCATTTGTCTCCTGAACTATTTTCTTCCCTTCAATATCCACCAACTCACTGAAGCTATCAAAGCTTTGTTGTAATTAAAATCTGAGTTTGTCACCCACTAGTTCAAGATCCTTCCATGACTCTCCACTGCTGAGCCATCTGTATTTCTCCTTTGCAAGCACCATAATACTAAGATTTTTATTTTGCTTTTTGTCTGGGACAGGGTCTGGCTCTGTTGCTCAGGCTGGAGTACAGTGGTGAGAACATAGCTAACTGCATCCTCAACTTTGTGGGCTCAAGCAATCCTACCACCTCAGCCTCCCATGCAGCTGAGAACACAGGTGCATGCCACCATGCCCAGTTATTTTTTATGTTTATTTTTCATAGAGACAACATGGTCTCATTTTTTTGCCCAGGCTGGTTTCAAACTCCTGGTCTCAAGGGATCCTCCCACCTCAGCCTCCCAAAGTGTTGGGATTACAGGCGTGAGCCACCACTAAAAATTTTTGTTCCAATTTTGTCGGTTTTTTTTTTTTTTTTTTTTTTTTTTTTTTGAGACAGAGTCTTCCTCTGTCGGCCAGGCTGGAGTACAGTGGTGTGATCTTGGCTCACTGCAACCCTGCCACCTTGAACCTTGAACGCCTGCCAGGTTCAAGTGATTCTCCTGCCTCAGCCTCCCGAGTAGCTGGGACTACAGGCGTGTGCCACCATGCCCAGCTAACTTTTCGTATTTTTAGTAGAGACAGGGTTTCACCATGTTAGCCAGGATTGTCTAGATCTCCTGACCTCTTAATCCACGCACCTCGGCCTCCCAAGGTGCTGGGATTACAGACGTGAGCAACCGCGCCCGACCCAATTTTGTCTTTTTAATTCTGGCTGGATTGGAAGTTCTATAATAAAAAAGATAATAAAAAAGTTATAATAAAAAAGTTCTTGAGTATCTTGTTCACTGTTTTAGCCCAAAACCTCATGGAGTCCTTAACTCAGAATCGATGCCCGCTAATCACTTGGAGGATAAATAAGGACGCTCCATGAGACACACCACAAAACAACTTGCAGACTGTTTTCATTCTCTCATTAAAACATGTTAATTCTTCCTATAAAGCCTGGTGCTAGCTTTTAAGGACACAGGTAGACGAGATGAACCAAGTAGCATGAAGTTCACATTGCACCTGAGAAAACCAGTGAGACACACATTCTGCCGTGGCGGGCAATGAACTCATAAAAATTGAGGTGGACAGGGAATGAAACAGCCAGGTAACTTCATTCTTGTCAAGGTTCTTGTTCTGCTGCAGAACAAACACTTCAGGAAAGCCACCATTCCTCAAGGCTTCCTTTGAATTGTATCCACAGGTAAAGGTGTTGATAAGGCACTAGAGGCGTCAGCAGACGACACTCTTCTAAAACATCTAGGGCTCCCGGGCTGATACTCTGGGCAATCGGTTTCTGTTACATTCTCCTTCTCTCTTTTAAGAAGTTTTCTTCACGTTTTTAGTCATGTGAGACATTGCGATGCCCTCAGATAAAAGGAAGTCAGAAAGCCTCGGAGACTCGGATGATATGTGTGGCTCTCTCAAGCTTGTGTGTGAAGGCACATGAGCTCTTGTTGCTTCTTGAGCTCTGAGATGATGGGGTCGTGCTGCTCCAACAGGCTTCAGTCCTGCGACCTACCTGGGTTTGTGTGTTCCTGCACCCTAGGATCTGGGGCTGAGAAGGGCCGGTGGGTGGGCACAGGGCAAGGATGTCTAAGGACCCTATCTGTTTCCAGTTTCCCCTTACACTAAACTTTCTGTTGCAGCTCTTTATTTGTTTAAAGGGGAGAGTGCCTGGGAGTCAGTGGGGGTGTTAGAGGAGTGAAGCTTAGGTGTGAAGGTTCTGAGGTGGAAACATCCTGATACTTACAAAGAAAAGAACAGAAAAGAAAAGAAAGAAAGAGAGAGAGAGAAAGAAAGAAAAAAGAAAGGAAGGAAGGAAGGAAGGAAAGAAAGAAAGCAAAAGAAAGCCTAAAACTGAAATATGCAAATGCTGAGGGAATTAGGAGCTACAAGAGCTGGCGAGATGGGCAGGTCCAGACCACAGGGGCCCCTGAGACACTTGTTAGAGTTTAAAATGTAATTGTTCAATGGGATGCATTTAGTGAGGAGATAACAAAGTTAGTTACAAAATAATAATGAGTTTGGAGAGAATACTTAGAAAACAATGTCAAGGTCAAGGAGCCCATATGACAGAAAAAAAACACAGAAGACATGAGCACACACTATCCAAATGTTGCCTTCATTTTGACTGAAGGAAAGAAGGAAAGGCAGGAGGCAGCTGCACTTGTCACGGCGGCAGTACTCACTGTTAATTTATTGTTCTCAGCCCCCAGTCTGCCTCCCGTTGCCCGCTGTGGGATTATGGTGTTGCATGCGCTGAGACTTCCTTGCCAGCCGGCACACTGTTAGTGTTGTGAGCCCAGGGGCCTGGGAGGATGCTGCAGGAGAAGGAGAAAGGGGATTTCTTCCTGAGCTCTTCTTAGAAGAGGCCTGCAGCGTGCACAGGGTGCTCAGGAATCGGCGTCCCTCCCTGTGGGCCCCTGAGCTCTTAAAAGAGGCCTGCAGTGTGCACACGGTGCCCAGGAACTGGAGCCCCCCTCCCTGGGCCCCTGGAGAGCTTCTGGGGTGTCCCCAGCACAGCGGCCACCTCAGCCACCTTTTCTGTGTCCTCTCCAATGCAATCACTGCCTCCGCCCTGGGAAGTGGCTCCTTCTGATTTGTCAGGGAGGGTATTGCCTCAACCTTACAGGTATTAATGAGCACCTAGATCTGTTCTCTCTTCCTGGATCTGTCTGAATTGTTTTGCTTTGCTTTGTTTTTCTCCCTAGCAAGTAATCCTCTTCATAGGTAGGAATTGTTTATATGAAACTTTTTCCTGTGTGGTGCTGTCTCCTGACTTGGTTCTGGCTCACACATCAGTGTTGAACTTACCCTAAGTTCCAATCACAAGTGCCTGTTTTCTACTGACACGCCAATTAGCCCCAGCATTTATAACATTGTTATAAGAACAAAAACATGCAAATGGAGTAAAAACCAATCAGAAATGTAGCAGCAATTGTTCTAGCTAGTTTCTTCTTGAAGGAAAATAGAAGGAAAAGCCTGAGAGATTTTGCCACATACATGAACAGAGGAAATGAGAGCAAGGTTTCCAAACATTTTGTAAACCCTCAGTTAACTGCAAAGCTC
Organism: Homo sapiens; assembly: GCF_000001405.40. Taxonomy (NCBI): domain Eukaryota; kingdom Metazoa; phylum Chordata; class Mammalia; order Primates; family Hominidae; genus Homo; species Homo sapiens. The sequence continues at coordinate 2,918,438 of NC_000008.11, read as the reverse complement.
AAGAGTTTCTTAGTCGGAAATGCTTGTGTTTCCACTGGCACCTCTTCAGACACAGCCAATGCTAGGGCATCAAATAGTCGGTGATTCACGATGTCTCACCTTTTAAGGTATCAGCATTCCTTCTGAGAAGGGAGCTTGCTTGAAAAATATGAGCACTCACAAATACTTTGGGAGTTGCAATTAACTATGTCTTATTGTGTCTTTGCTTTCTTCCCGTAGAGGGGGAAGTGAAAGTTTGAAGAATGAGGAAACTGCTGGGTGATTTTAACCAGGAGAATAAAACGATCCATGTGGGTTTTTATACAATGATCATCTATTCACCTATTCTGTGAAAGATTTGTTAGTTGGGGACATTAGCAGTTTCCGAAGGAACAGTTAGCAGAGGCAAGAGGTTATTCTATTCAGACCATGGTAACTGAGACCAACGATACAGAAGCCACAGCATAAACATGTTTTTTTGTTGTTGTTGTTTTGTTTTGTTTGTTTTTTCTTTCTTTTTTGAAACAAAACAAAAAAGCAGGAATCTTGCTTTGTTGCTCTGTCTGGAGTGCGGTGGCACAATCACAACTCACTGCGGCCTGGACTGCCTGGGAGCTAGTGATCTTCCCACTTCAGCCTCCTCAAGTGGGCACGCGCCAATACGCCAGGCTAATTTCTGTATTTATTTATTTTTGTAAAGACCGAGTCTCACTATGTTGCCCAGGCTGGTCTCGAACTCTTGGGCTTACGTGACCTGCCCACCTCTGCCTCCCAAAGTGCTGGGATTACAGGTGTGAATGACTTGGCCCAGCCAACGTGACTTTCTGATGGGCTAGTCTTGTGAAACGAATAAAAAGACATGTGACAAAAAGCTCTCCAACTTGGAGTCTTGAGCAACTCCATGAAAATTAGTGTGATTCACAGAGATAGGAGAAACAGGAATTGAGTCCTTTTTTGGCATTATGAATGAAAAACTACGAGGAGGTATTTAAAATATGAAACTCAGGATGAATGAATGGGCTGAAAAAATAAGGTTGGAGTAACCAGCACAGGAAGGATGACTGAAACTGTGGGAATGAATAAGAACTCACAGTGCCCCAGCCCTGCTGACATCACTGCTATTCCCTGAACATGATTTTCTTTCTCATATTTTCACAGTCCCCTGTTAGTTCTTGCCTCTACTTGGGATAATCTTTACCTACTTATAGAATTGTAGAACTGCTACCGAGCCTTCAGGACTCAGCTCAAGTAATCCCTTCTCTAGGATTTACTCCTTGACAAATCCTGTCTAGATTTAACTCTGCTCTTATAGATTAGCACTGGGGTCACTTTCTTTTACACCACTTCTTGGATTGCATGCTGCTTATATACGCATATGCATGTTTCTGCGAAGAACTCAAGAACTCAATGAGGAGATCTTTTATCTTAATTGTATCTTGGTCTCTGCTCCGACATGTAGCAGAGGCTCAATAAATTTTATTAAAACTTAGCTCAGGGTCTTCTAGTCCTGAGCATGAAAAATTCGCTGATATTAAATGCAGACTCTGTTGAAACTATAGTAAAACCTGGATAGAGGATATAAACAGCCATGTAGAAGCAACAGATGCCAATGAGTGCAGGGTTGTAATTCTTGACAGAAGGCATCACGTGGCTGCTGGGAGCCAGGTCTCCATGATTTCCTGTCTTGCTGCGTGTCTAGACAATAGGGGCGTGGATTGGCATTTGTTTCAGACAATCATTCAAAGATTGTTACACAGCAGAAAGTGCTCAGAGATAGTCTCCTCCAGAGCAAAGGTCAGGCAGGTTTATAGCACAACGTTATGTAAAAAACACAATCAGTTTCCCTAGCATTGAAGGGTTCCTCAGCTGTGAGTCAGTTACTCCACCTACCTGGATCTGTGTAAATCATCCCCCTGGGATTTGGATAGTAAGGGGAACTCAGGCACAAGGAAAGCTCATACTGATTTCTCTGCTGTGAGTAACCGAGATTTTTGTCTCTGATCCAAGGCTCTTGTGCCTCCTCGAAGACCAACATGGTAGCTTGGACGTTGAGTCAAATCAGACCCTTCACAGTTCTTGAAAGTTGTTGGGAAAGAGAAGATGAAATGCAGACAGAGACGTGACTCTGGAAGAGAAAAGGTGAGGACCTCACAGACCATGTTTAGAGATTTAAAAAGACTTGCTGAGATTCAACAGTAAATGCTCTAGCCCGGGGAATGAGTGCTGGGGCTGGGAGGGTGAGGCTCCCACAGAGTCTTGCCTGTCTGGCCCTGAATGTTTAGAGGCTGAGCAGCAGGAGGTAGGATTGAAACAGGTTTCCCTTACGGTGCTTTGATTGCTGTTCAGTCTCCCCTAGCGAGAGAAGAAATAAATGTGATCACAACATTGATGCAATGAGCCTCACAGCCCCAGCCAAAAGGCAAGTGTAGCTATGGCTGAGAAGCCCAGAAGTCCCTAGGTCTGAGGCAGATGATGTCTGCCAGAAAAATACAGAACTCTGGTTGCATCAGAAACATTCGAGGTTTGTTTGTTTGAGAAACAAGCAGCCCTCAGATGAAACTGAAGGTCACTGAGCCTGCTTACTGATGCACAATGCAGCCTTCCCCTCCCTCCACGTGCCTTCTTCTCTCTCCTCCTACCCTGACCTCAGCTGTGCCGTGGAGGAAGATGACTGGCGAGGGGTGTGAAGCCCCTATGCACCCAACCAAGGGTGCTGGGGGAGTCCAGAGAGAGATGGACACAAACCTTTTTTTTTTTTTTTTTTTTTGAGACAGAGTCTGACTCTGGTCACCCAGGCTGGAGTGCAATGGTGAGATCTCGGCTCACTGCAACCTCCACCTCCCGGTTCACACAATTCTCCTGCCTCAGCCCCCAGAGTAGCTGGGATTACATATGCACACTACCACGCCCGGCTAATTTTTGTATTTTTAGTAGAGACGGGGTTTCACCGTGTTAGCCAGACTGGTCTCAAACTCCTGACCTCGTGATCCACCCACCTCAGCCTCCCAAAGTGCTGCGATTACAGGCGTGAGCCACCACACCCGGACACACAGACTTTTATAGCTCTGTTGTGCACAGGCACTGAAGTCACCATCCTACTCATTCCACGATGGGAGGAGGCGCCTGGAGTTAACAGAGAGTTTTTAAGCTGCGTTTGCAATGGGAAACAGACACTAACATGACCTACTAGTGGGGCTTTTAGGGCCAATTCAACCACCGTTTTTGTTTCTGCATCTGCAGTGGTGCATACTGTGTGTCACCTTGATGGTCTAAGGGATACCCAGACAGCTGATCACACTTCATTTCTGGGTGTGTCTGTGTGGGTGTTTCCAGGAGAGATCAGAATTTGAATCCAAGGCCTCCTACACACAAGCTTAAATTCACATCCATGTCTACCGCCTTCACATCCTGGTCCCCACATCTCAGGAGGGAGTTTTGGTCCCTACATGAAACTGTTTCCAGGAAGGTGTCATCTCCTCTCAGCCGCTTCCTGAGTAGCAATCAGGACAAGAGGGGGCTCTAGAGACCTATTTTTAAATTTGTGGATTTCACTCTGACCATTCCTGCATTTTCATTTTCCACCTGGCAGCAACCGTTAGCCAGCCTGGCTGATGCCCCGGCTGGGAGCAGGCCAGACCACAGGGGGTGCGCGATTTGAGGCCAATGCCAGCTCAGTCACCTACATGCCTTTGCTGGGTGGACACAGTGCCCCGTCACTTGCTTGGTCGCCTGGCTGAATTCCCTGCCTGGCACGGCCCTCCACAGTGGTGGACACAGCCACAGGAGGGAGATCAGGAGGTACAGCAGTTCTGTGCAGGAGGAGCCTTAACAATGCCTGCAGCATCTGCGTGCAGTCGCCTTGGAGGACAGCGGGTGGAAGGAGAGACATCGACGCCCTTTGTTGTGTGTGTGTGTCTGTGTGTGTGTGTGTGTGTGTGTGCCGTTGGGGGCTACAGGCTCACAAGGAGCAAGAGAGAAGGTTTCTGTGGGATGGTGCAAACATCCCTTCTGCCTGGGGGCTGAAGATGCAGGCCTGTTTCGTTTATGAGAATGCTTCAGGTTGTAAACCTGTGACATAATTTTCTCTCTATGCATATTGCAATCAATACCACATTTAAAGCATACTAACAGATTTTCTTAAGGAAACAAACAAACAAACACCCGTTGGCTCACATATGTAAAAAGGCTTAATCCCTGTCATGCTTAAGAAAATACAGGCCAGGTGCAGTGGCTCATACCTGTAATCCCAGCACTTTGGGAGGACGAGGTGGGTGGATCACTTGAAGCCAGAAGTTCGAGACCAGCCTGGCCAACATGGGAAACCCTATTTTTATGAAAAATACAAAAATTAGCTGGGTGTGGTGGCTCACACCTGTAATCCCAGCTACTTGGGAGGCTGAGGCAGGAGAATTGCTTGAAACTGGGAGGCAGAGGTTGCAGTGAGCCAAGATATCACCAGCCTGGGAGACAGAGTGAGACTCCACCCGCCCCCCCCAAAAAAAAAGAAAATCCAAAAAAGTACAGTGCCATGATTGATGATGTTTTGTCTTTGAATTGAGAACTAAAAGTATGATACATAACTTCCGTCTTAAAAGTATGAACACAAAATATACTCTTAGACACAGCTAGTGAGATTGCAAATTGGTACAATTTCAATGCGAAATTTTCTTAAAACTAAAAATGCTTCCACCCATTAAGTAATATACTTTTCACCTACAACTGTGATTGCGCATGGGTCAATATCTTATTTAAAATTTATAACATTTGAGGCGGGTGGATCATGAGGTCAGGAGTTCGAGACCAGACTGACCAACAGGCTGAAACCCCGTCTCTACTAAAAATAAAAAAAAAAATTAGCCGGGTGTGGTGGCACCTGCCTGTAATCTCAGCTACTCAGGAAGCTGAGGCAGGAGAACTGCTTGAACCCAGGAGACAGAGGTTGCAGTGAGCTGAGATTGTGCCACTGCACTCCAGCCTGGGTGACAGGAGGGACACTCGGTCTCAAAAAAAAAAATTATAACATTTGTTAGATTTAATAACAACACTTTAGAAATAGCTGCATGTCTTCAATAGGGAACGGATGAAATAAATTATGGTATGGGCACAGAATTTAAGGCAAAACAGGCATCAAAATATTATAGAAGTTCTCTCTGAACTGGCATGAAAGACATTTGAGATGTATAATGTGAATGAAAAATGGAAGACATCGATGACTCCATCCGGAATCCTCAGAACTTGCTAAGGAAGGAGATGTTGTGTTCTCAGCACACACACAAAAGAAAGGAACTATGTGAAGTGATAGATTTGTTAATTAGCTCCACTGTGGTCACCAGTTATAGTGTATATGGACATAAAAATCAGGTTGTAGACTATACATATATATTTTATATTATTATGTATACTAAATAAATATATAGTTACACAATTTTTGTCAGTCTACTTCTGTAAAGCTGAGAAAGCAACAGAAAGGACTCTTACATTCCTGTAAAATAGAATTCTGATTTAGCAGCATATACAAGAAACTGCATTGCACGTCTCTAAGAGGATGTGGAGTAAACGCAAGGGTGAGCTGGGAAGCATCCTCAGCCACATGATGCTGGCATCTTTACTTATCTCGGTGAATCCAAGTAAACACAAGGGTGAGCTGGGAAGCATCCTCAGCCACATGATGCTGGCATCTTTACTTATCTCGGTGAATCTGAGTCAACATCAATTTTAAGACGTGCCATTATTTTATATGCCGTTACAGAAAGACATTAAAAAGAACAGTGCTAATTCCAATGTCATACATCTTGGATTGTAAGACATATCCCCCATAGTTCAACTGCTGCCATGTGAAAGTGTAAAAAAAGCACATTGGAGAATCTATGAAATCCTGTGTCTTCCGTTGTTTGTTCTTTGTATCTCTTGACCCTTATATTACTTATTCAAAGTCATATATTAAAGTCAGCTGTCTTATTTTTTACAGTTTGATTCCACTGAAAAGTAGTAAATATTATATATAATAAGTTAAAAGTATGCTAGGGACCCTAGAACAGGGGAGCTGTTGCATGGACGTAGTACAGTCAAATAGAAAGATAATGAACAGAACAGGAAGCTAAACCCTCTAACTGCTGGTATTGCAGAAAGAAGAGGATGTTCTACTATTCCTGCTAGCCATAAAGCTGATGTCCTTGGATGGCTACCAGAAAGGGAAAACAGTGACGCGTGCTCAAATGTGATACAGGCAGGGAGCTGCTTTGCGTCTTGAAATCTAATTATTGTAAATATTTTAGGAGTAAAGAATAAAATAATATTCATTTCATTAAAGAGAAATATGTGTAAAAATAAAGAAAAAGAAATGCCACTCACTACTGCATGTGACTATATAGAGCATAAAGTCCATTGGTGTAAACTTTCTGCAAAATAAATAGTGACGTGCCTTTAGATTTGGAATAGGGATTACTACACATAATATTTATGGAGCATTTATGATGTGTTGTAAAGTATTTAAGCTCCTTACATGTTAACCGACGATTGAGGATCCTCAGTGTATAAACAAATCACCTCCGCTTATTTTCCTGCAAAGCTACAATCTAGTTAGCTAATTAGAAATAAATGAAAATTTCTAGACCTGAAATGAAAATCTGACTCATGACTCTAGCTTAGTGGCTTAAATGACGTTGCATAGAAGTCATTGCCTTCCAAATGATATTTTGCTATTCAAGTGGAGAATTTCCATTATCCATCAATTGGCCTTTTTATTTCATTGTGCGCTTATTAGCTGTAAAATTTAATTATGCATTAAACTCTAATTGATGACATTAAGGGTGTCCAAATGGCTCTATCATTCAGTAGAAACAAATTGTAATTATTATGTGGCTTTGTTATGCTGTACAGCAAATAAAGAAGTCTATTCCATATATTGTGTGCATTTTACTCCTAAAAATTAGCAGGATCTCAGAATCATCACATTAATTGTACCCTAAGATTCAGATCTATGCTTGTCATTCAATCTTAGTAACTTATTAATTAAACATGTATTTACTCTATGTAGTCTGCCTTCAAGATTCTGTGTTTTCAGATGCCCTGACTGCATTTTAGAAAACATTAAAAATCTTGGCAGAGTTTGTTTTGTTTCTTTTGTAAATATCCACATAAAGCTATGCTCAATTGGAAGTAGATTTGAGTTGTAGGAAATATACAAACTCTTTATAGCCATTACAGTATTTTTATATTCTTCCCTTACTGTTTTATTTTTAATTTGGCTTTCATTTATCGTAGAGTTATACTTGCCTATAATTTAAAGAGTCCATGGGTTTTACAAGGTATCTCAGTTGCCCATACTCCGTCCCACAGGCTCGCATGTTCAATTCTTTTAATTAATTATTTTTTAGAATTTACCTCTATGATTGTAAATAATATCCTCTGATCACTATTTATTAATTTCCAGTTTGCAGCAATATATATTGCATTTCAGTTATGGAAAGGGGCAATTTGCCTTGCTTTCACTCCTTCCTCTCCCCATAATCCTTCCATTTCTCCTTCTTGCTTTGCTTTTATATCATCATTTTGCTTAGGATGATACTAACCCTCTTGTTATTATGTGACTGCAAATAGTCTCATCGCTGAGCCATATACACCCCAGGAATAATTTTCATTCCCTGAACAACCCTACTGCTGCTAACAATCTAATTTCTTCTACTGCCCCATATACTTAGTTTCTTTATTTACGGCACAGTATGAATTTTCTATCAATTTGGTGTTCTACCAACTTCCCTTTGCATAATAAATCTTCCCTAGAGGTTTTTGACCTGTTCCCATTTGCAAGATCTCCTTCCAGGCCTGTTTTACAGATGCAATCCTGGCCTCTCGTCCCTGGCACTCCAAGGCTGCTATCTCTATTTCCTGCACTGTGTTCCTAGCCTCCCTCAGTTTACCTCCACACCACTTTAGATTTAGTCTCCTGTGTGGGTCACTCACACCTCCCACAGCATCCTGTGTGTGAGCATTTAGGGGTTACATTTTTGAGGCCTTGCTTATCCAAAATTGTCTTTAATGTATCATCATGCATAATTGATGGCTTTGGGATAGATACTAATTTAGAAATATCTTTCTTTAAGCTGTGAAGACCATGCTCCATCTTCTAGCTTTCACTGACATTATTGACAATCTAATGCTATTCTGAGGTCTAAGAATACAGCATGTTTACTTCTGTTGATAAGCTCAGGTCTTATCTTTTTTCCAGTATTTTGGAATTTCATGATGACAGCCTTTGGTGTGAGTCTATTTTCACACTGTTGTGGGTTCTTAGTGGGCCTTTTGTATCAGTAACACACTCACTTCTGTTTTTCTCTGTTCTGTCTTGAACTTTTCAAATATTAGAACTTGAACTATTCTACTGAATGTATTCTTTTTCCATATTTTCAATTTTTCTGTCTCTTTTGTCTACTTTCTAGGAAATAGAATTCACTTTATATCCAAAAACCTTCAGCTGAGTTCTTTTTCCTTTTCTAATGGTTTCTTCTAAGGGGTGTGTGTGTGTGTGTGTGTGTGTGTGTGTGAGAGAGAGAGAGAGAGAGAGAGAGAGAGGAGAGTCCATGTGTGCACGTATATCGTCCTGTTTTGTACATTCTTTGACTTCTCTGAATATACCAGTGATATTCTTGTTTTGTTTTCTGTTTTCATTCCCCTGCACAGTCTCTAATTCCTCTATCTTCATTGTTTTCCCATTTATTAGCCTCTAATTTCATATCAAAGCCTTTTTCAAAGTGTGTGAGGAACTTTCTCTCTCCATTCATATTTTAGAATGGGACATCAAAAGATGATTGAGAATTCTTTTTTTCTTCATTGAGGTTCATAGAATATATGTTTCACTATAGATTGATGTGACTAAATTGTTTAGTGATCAATCCCTAATGTCAGCCTCTTCAAGTATCCATTCATCCATTTAACTATTCGTCCATCCATCCATCCATCCATCCATCCATCCATCCATCCATCCATATTGCCTAATCTACCTATCATCTATCTATCATTTTATCCATCCAACTATTTACCCATTCATCCATCTAATCTATTTATCATCCACCTAATCTGTCTATATGTCAATTAATCAATCAATCTTGTGATCTAACCTGTCTATTCAAACAGATTTGATTCGCCCAGGAAAGCATTACCAATCACCTGCTTTGAGGAATCTTTGTTACCAGTATACAGGAGTCATTAGGGAGATGGCTGATGTTCTCAGCATTCATTACTTGAACTTGTGCTAAATATCCCTATTTCAATCCGGCAGGTTCTCATCCTTAAACTGCCTCCTGATACCCAGTCATATTGCTTCTGAGTACCTGAATACTGCATTTCTGGTTATTGTCTAGGATGGGGGAAGGCAGCAGGGGTTTGCAGTGAACTGGGGGTCTCTTCCTAGAGTTCCCACTGGAAATTAAGGTTAAACTTATATGTGAGGTGATTTGCTGGTCATTCAGATGGTTTCCTGCTTCTAAACTTGTGCTGTAGTGAATGGAGAGGTTAGATCACAAGACTGATTGATTGATCTAATATCACCTTATTTCCTTTTCTTTTGTTCTTGTGCATCTATGCTTTTCTTAAACCCCTTGACTGTTTTTGTGAAAATATTCACCAGTGATCTAATCTTTTTACTGCGAACTAGAAAAAAAAACAGAACTGGAAATATAATAAATTGGCCAAAAGCACATCCTATTCAACCACCTCTTAGGCTATAAACAGAACATTTCCACCATCACGGAACCACCTCCAACCCCTGCAGATATAACTAAACTTCCCACCTGTCTAGATGTAACCATCTTCCAGGCCTTTAAACTCAATTAGTTTGCCTTTTATCAAACTTTACAATTATATTACAAGTATTTTTAAATTCAGGGGTTTTAAAGATCAGCCATGTATATTTGTGAAATTCAGCCCTTTATTCACATTTAGCTATAGGTAGTTTGTATGTGTTACTGTGGCATATCACACTGTGTCATACAGTATAATTTATATCTATGTATGTATTGTGTAAACATAAATTGGAAGGTCTATTGGACATAGACTCAAGATTAAAAATTTCAGGACCAAGGACATGCGTATGTTGGGCTTTAATAGATAATTTTAAGGTGTTTTCTAAAGAGATTATACCTTCAGTACTTTCACCAGCAGTGTGTAAGTGTTCTCAGTATTTAATATCTTTGCCAATACTTTGTATTGTCAATGTTTAAAAGTGATACATTTCATTTAAGTCTTTCTGTTATGTAAGTAACGCTTCCTTACAGTGGTTACAGTCTGCATTCCCCAGATTGCTAATGCTATTAGTTATCTCTTTAAATGTTTACTGTCTGTTTCTTTCTCACTGACGAAACCATGAAGGATAATACATTTTTGAGTGTGTGTGTGTGTGTGTGTGTGTGTGTGTGTGTTGGAGGAGAGGAAGAGTTTCTAATCGTGAGGTTTACTTTTAGCACTTTTGAAGCTTCAGTAAGTTGCCTTTATTCTTGTTTGGGAATTTTTAAAAATTTCCTCTAAATTTTCAAACTTACTGGCAGAAAATCTTTCACAATAAATTTGATGAATTATTGAATGTATGCAGGATTTACACTGATGTCATCTTTGCCAATTCTTGATTGTTAGTTGTGCCCTTACTTTCTCTTTTTTTATATAAATATTCCTACAGGTTCAGATTTAATAATCCTTTCAAAAAATGAACATTTGACTGTTAACCTTCTTTGTCTTTTGTTTTATATTTCATTGATTTTTGGTCTTATCTTTATGCTTTTTTTCTCTTCAGCTTTCTTTGAAGTTACTGTTTTTCTTGACTTTTGGAGATGAAAGACAACCTCATTTAATTTTAATTTCACTTTAAAAAAATGTACATTCCAGATGTTACAACTTCTTCTAAACATTATTATGTTCTGCACCCATATATTTCAATAAAGACTATTTTTATTATCGTATACTTTAAAATATTTTCTAATGTTTATTTTAAATTCATTGGACTTTTAGACTTATACAATCTATCCCTCAATTTCTAAATATATAGATTTTTAAAAATTTTCTGGGTTAATTGTGCTATAGTCAGATAACCTATTCTGTATGATTTCAATTATTTGAAATGTGTTGGGACTCACTTGTGGCCAAGAACATGGCCATTTTTTGGTAAATTCCTGAGTGTGCTTAAAAGCGTCTGCACTCCCCTAGGAGTATAAAACATCTACATATGTCATTTAATTCAAAATAGTTCATTCTGTTTCCAAAACTCCTATATCTTTACTGAATTTAAATATCTTTTTTCTTCTCATTTATGAGCACCATGTGTTAAAACCTTGCTACATTATGAATTTGTGTTTTTGTCTTTTGTGGTTCAGTACATTTTTATCTTATATAATTTTAAAGCTATGTTAGTAAGTGAATTAGAGTTGTAGAACAATTACATATTCCTGGTGAATTGAACCTTTTATCAGTATGAAATATTTCTCTGTCTTGTGAGAATGCTTTTTATTTAATTTATATTAATATGAGATAAGATTTTACAGTATATAAAATATACAATTTTTTATTGTATTTATTTTTAATCAGCTTTTATTAATGCAAAATTCACATAAATTCATATAATTTTACTGATATAAAATTCAGTGGGTTTTTTTTTGAATATTCACAATTTTGTGACTTCATAGCAACTATCTAATTCCAGAAGGTGTTCATCAGCTCATAAAGAAATCCCATATCTCCCGATCTCTCCCTTACTTCCCCAGCCTGTGGAAACCACCAATCTAATTTGTCTCTTTGGATTTGCCTATTTGGGACATTTCATACAAATGGAATCATACATTATGTGATCGTTTGTATATGATTTCTTTCACTTTGCAAAATATGTTCCGGCTTTATCCATACAGTAGCGTGTAGGAGTATTTCATTCTTTCTATGACTTCATATTTTATTGTATGTGCATACAGCATTTGCTTCTTCAACCACCTGCTGAAGGGCATTTGGGTTGTTTCCACTCTGGGGTATTATAAATAATTTTTCTATAAACTTACATGTTCTCCTTTCGTGCAAACATACGTTTTCAATTCTTTGTGGTGTATGTCTAGGAATGCTGTTGCTAGTTTTATAGTAAATCAGTGATTAACTTTTTGAGAAACTGCCACACTGTTCTCCTCATGGCTCCACTGCTTTGCGTTCCTGCAGAACGTGTGGACTTGCCGATGTCCTCATATTTTGTCCATGCCTTTTTTTAATCTGTCTTTGCTGTTGTTGTAGCCACCCTAATGACTGAATGGTGTTTTAGTGTTGGTTTTAATTGCATTTGCATATTTTCTTTGGAAAAATACCTGTTCAGATTCTTTGCTCTGTTTCTAATTGGGTTGCTTGTTGTTGGTTCTGTTGCTGACTTGTAAGAATCGTTTTAATATTCTGAATACAAGACTTATCAGGTGGATGGTTTGCAAATATTTCCTTTAATTCTCTGGGTTTTGGTATTGGTTTCTTATCACTATTATCGCTGACTTATCACTATGTCTTCCTGTACCAGAAGTTTTTAATTTTAAGGAAATATAATTTATCTATTTTTTTCTTCTTCCTGCTTTTGGTGTCATATTTAAGAAACTATTTCCTAATCTGGGGTCACAACGATTTTGATCATTGTAGCTTTGTTGTTAGTTTTGAAACTAGGAAGTGTGAGTTCTCCAGCCTTATTCTTTTCTATAGATAGATGTTGCCACTCAGGTTCCCTTGCATTTCCATACGAATTTTAAGATTAGCTTGTCCATCTCCACAAAAACGATGAAACAAACAAAAAACATTGTTGAAATTTTGACAGGGTAGGGACTACATTAAATCTATTGACCGAACTCTGAACTTTTGACTTTTTAAGAATACTAAATATATGTTTTGTTGTGTTGTGTTTTCTTGGCTCTTCACTGTGAGAGCTGAGCTGTGTTCCTGGAGTTAAAACCCATTTATATGCGGTGCCCCTAAGACTGATGCCCCATGAATTTATCACCGTTGCACTAGTCCACTCGGCCTCCAGTAATACATCCAAGTTACTATATGTCCTCCTAGCCATTGATGGCTCCATTGACCTGTGCTCCAGGAAATTGATCTCTGCTGTGATTCTTTGCATTCTCCTGTCACTCCAGACTTCAGGGTAGTGGTTCCCCCTTTAATCTAAATTCTCTGTTGGGGCTAAGATAATCCATTGGTTCTCAGTTTGTTCTGCTTCTTCTTGTGTTAAGGATGAGCATGGTGACTCCTAGGCCCTTTCTATGTCAAAAATAAATCTGAAAGTCTCCATTGCATTTTAAAACTTTGTTGTAAATCATGTGGGCTTTTGTTTTGTAATTTCCTGGTTATTTTGCATGCCTGCTGATCATTGTATATGAAAAAACTTTATTACTTCAGCTGACATATCTCCACTTAGAGACAATTTACATTTGCTTCTCACAGATGAACAGCAGCACCAATAATCCAGATCACCTCAATCCAATTTCAGGGATTAAGTTTATTGTAGCTAGTCTTCTTACTTTGAGGCCAGTCTACTTATGGGTTACCTACTCATAGGGTCCAGCCCTTTGGCATCTTGTCCTGATCCATCAGGAGTTACTGCTTCCTAGCAACCCAAGTACTTCAATATTGGTACCTCAGTTCGATGAAGCTCTCCAAAGTTTGGAGTCAGTTTCTCAGCTAACTCATCTGGAATTGGCAATCTTGAATAGGAGAATCCAGACAGTAGATTCACTATTGTTGGTTTCCTGATTTATTTGGCTGTCAACCAAAAGTCAAAATTATTACTTGAAGCTTTAAAAATATTATTGTAAATGGCATAATTTTCTAAATTAGATGTTCTTGCTGATAGTTTATTATATACATAAAAGAAATTGGCCCTTTGTCTAAAAAGTATTGAAATTTCCTAAACTTCTTCAATAATTTAAAATATATGTAAATTACTTGGGGATTTCCATGGGAAAAAGTGTATTTTTTCAAATAATGCCTTCTATCTTTACAATAACCATATCTTTTTCCTTATGTTTTACCACAATGGCCAGAAATTTTAGTACAATATAAAATATACATTGTAATATAGGGTATCTTTATCTTATTCCTGTTCAATATTTCAGCAATAATTATCATGATTACTAGATTTTTTCATGTTTATTCTTCATTAGATAAACAAGTCATATAACATATTTTTTCAAGAGGCTTGGTTCTACTTTTTATTCATAAATGGTACTGATTTTCATCAAACATCTTATATAGATTTATCAAGATATACATATGATTTTTTTCATTTAAAATTAATAAAATGGGTCCAGGAGCAGTGGCTTACTCCTTTACTCCCCTCACTTTGGAAGGTCAATGTGAGAGATTGAGTGAGCCCAGGAGTTTGAGGCTGCAGTAAGCTGTGATCACAAAAGCCTGGGCAAAAGAGCAGGTCCCCATCCCTAAAATAAATAAATAAATAATATGATTAACATAATGAATTAAATTAACTGTTTTAATATTATATTAACTCACATTTCTAATCTAAATCCAATTTATTCATGATCTGTTATTATTTTTATCTACTGCTAGGTTAATCTTACTAATACATTATTTAACATTTTTGTACTAATGTTCACAATGAAAACAGTCTATCATCTCTATTTTTAGGTACAACTCTAATTTGATATGAAGCTTTTGGTAGCCTCATTAAATGATTAGACTTCCGTTTCCTCTTTTTATTATCTGTTAGATTTTATTAATACTCATATGATCAGCTCCTCGACAATGAGGTATTAGTAACATATAAAAGCTTTGAGCTGGTATTTTCTTTCTGGGAAAGTTTATAACGTCTCATTTCTTTTAGGGTTTTAAAATGATTTATATGTTCTCATTCTTCAGTCCATATTAGCAAATTATGTTTTTGTAGACTTTTAGGTAGAATTTTGTATATTCTATTTTATTCCTAATATTATTTCTCCTTTTCTTTAAGCTTGTTAAAATTGCGTTTATATACGAGATCATCTTAAAGTTTTGGCTTTATTGATCTTCTATATTTTATATTTTCTATTCTATTTATTCTATACTTATCTCCATTATTAAGTTCCTCATAATATCTTTGCATTCATTTTGCTGGTTTTCTTTCTAAAATTTCAAGTCAGATTCTTATGTTACCACAGCACTTGTTCCTTCTAATGTAAGTAATTAAGGCTTAGAAAATGTTTTCTAAGAATTATCTCACTTAAACTGTATGTCATATGTTTTGATATGTATTATTTTTATTATCATTCAGTTAGGATATTTTCTCATTTTCTTTGTGATTTTTGGCTATTATTCTCCATTATGAGCTATTTAATAGTGCATATGTAATCTATAAGTAAGTTATTCAGAACTATACCTCAAGAATAAATTTGAGATCTCTTTTTTAGTCCTGCCTTCCAGTTCAGTAGTATTTAAAACTATTTCCCGTCGGTTATTGTATCCATTCATTGAATATATTTTTAAGCATTATTCGTTGTATTCTGATAAGCTCTAGTTATTTGTCAATTATACTATGCCAGTCTTTATAGATTTCTTTCCAGCCTTAATTTCTTGGTCTACTTCTGGGGTGTGTGTGTGTGTGTGTGTGTGTGTGTGTGTGTGTGTGTGTGTGTATCTGTGTGTGCTTAATTTCCTGCTGATTCTCAATCAGTGTTTTGCTGACTTGCATTTTGTGGATTTCTATTGCATGCTGCTCACTTTTTTCCAGACCTTAATCTGTAAGAATACTTTCAGGCTCAGGCCGAAGTTAAGTTTTCCTAGAAAGAATTTATTTTTCTTGTTCCAGTTACCTGAGTCACTATCAGCAAGGCCATTTAAACTCCCCACTCCGTTTGAGGTACTTCAGACCCAACAGGTAGAGTGAATCCTGTGAATTCAGATGGAGTAATTACGTGGGGGCAGTCTTATGTTCAGAGATTTTTTCTCCATTCATTATGTATCCTTGGAACAGGTGAAGTTTCTGTTCTGCATCTGCCTGGTAGAATTTATTTCTAGTTTACCCTTAGAGTGAATGTAAAGTCCTTTTAAATTCCAGTTTAATGGAGACTTATGCTCAGGTTCCCTAAGCTTCAAGATGTACCTCTTTTGTTACGATTAACTATCAAAATGGACATGCTCTAGGACTCTAAGATTTGGCAAAGTCCACATTCGGCGCCTGCCGTCCTCATGGAAGCTTAACGTACGGGACGTGTTCTACTTCTTATTATGTATGTGACATCATACCAGTCGCTGAAACACTTTAGGCTTCAGGTGCCGAACCTAAAATGTAATGAAAGTAGTAGGCCATCATCTTATTTTTATTAAATGAACAATTCATGTTAGTCTACATTAACTGGCAATGCACGTTAATAATAAAATTTAAGATTTAATAAGGCACTTGATAAACGTTGTTGTAGTGTTTGTGGATTGTGATGATGGTGCTTATGATGACTATTACAATGATGATATGGTAATGACTTCCTAGAAATGAAATAGTGTGTAGAATTGAAGTGTCCCAAATACATACTCTCCTTAGTTCATTATTTAGTTCAAGTTGAACTGTGGGTCAGAAAACACATCAGCGATAAAAATCCAGCTTTACTATTGTCATAGAACAAAAGAATCAAAGAAAAATACATTTGAAAATTATAAAATTAAAGAAGGCTATATTAGAAATTTCCAGAGAACAGTGCCACTTTTATTTCTCCACATTACAAACTTGACACTTTGCTGTATTTACTTTGAGGTGCTAGTATTTCTTGGTTAGATTTTGAAATGTATGTGCGCAAAGCCATAAGCACAGGCATCAAAGTTCTTTCTAATATATGAATTCATCTTGTTAGAAACGCAGAGTCTAAATACTTTTAAATCACATTATATTTCTGTTTTAGGGTTCCAAATAGTAGAAATACTTTCCTGGAATAAATTCTTAGGTGCCAAGTATTTCCAAGAGCAAAAAAGGGGACAGTCTGTAGTTGTTTTTTTGTTTTTTTGTTTTCTTGGCATGCATTGGTAATTTAGTTTTAGTTAACAAGATAGAATGGTACTTATAAATCCAGAAGTGAAAACACAATTTACTCTATCACAGAACTGCAAAGCAATTACAAAATTGGGACATTTCTCAGATAGCTCAGCTACAGGCTGAGGTTTCTTTGATTGGCATCCATCCATTTATTAATCCCTGCTGTTCTGAAGCTGCTGTAGAGCTCTGGTATTCTGTTTGTTCTCAAACAAACGGTGCTCTATACACTAGGGGTAAAAATGGGCATGTTGGCTTTGCAATATTGCATTAACATAAAGTGGAAACACGGGAAAGTCCTGTGACTTTCACATAATGTCATCCAATATACGTGCTGGAGTACGACTTAGACATCAGTTTTTTTAAGATTTGATTTTGTCTGTATGCTTCTGATTGAATTTACAGATGTTCTTGGCGCAGTAATGATCTGCCAATAGCCCTCTTTTCTTAGAGCCCATGCCTTCCCAACTTCTTCATCTGATCTGCTGCTCATCCAAGGAGTACTCTTCTAATTTTTAAGTGACTCAATGTCAAGTCGTGGTTGCTAGGAGCCTCCTCAGACGGTGAGTCCCAGGTTCCCTCACTTGACTTCTGCTTTATTGCTAAGATCAATCACCTCCCTCAGACGTATTTTGCAAATAATTAAGCCCAACCGTTTTTTCCTGGTGGCAATAACTCTCCAGCCAATTTTTGCTTTAATCCCTCTAATTCTAGGATTCTCTCTTGTTCTTACCAGCATCGTCACCTAACAGCAGCAGAAGACTGGGTTGTGGTCCTAAACTGCAGCCCTGATCACTGCTTGGCATAGATGTTCTGGGAGGCCCAGTATCTGCCCAGCTACCTTGCCAGACATTTCTAGCTCTAGGAGTGAGTATTTCTGTACTCTGCTTTCCTTCCTATCAGTCCACCCCGGGAACCTTTTATTAAGTATTTCTCATTGTACTTTCATGCTCAACCTGAAAACAGTTCCTCATCACCTGTACCTGCCCTTTCCCCACTCTCTGTCCTAACCTACCCAGGACCTTCCCAGTCACCTTCTCTATGGTAAAATGGTTACAAACTCTTGGATGTTATATGACACTCAGAACGTTAGTTTTTTTTATTTCAAGGTGTGTTAATATACTGGCAGTAGTGACAGATGTCACATTAGAAGAATGATGTTCACACTAAAATTTTTATACTTGTTTAAATTTTTAAGATGTAATTTTCTAAAGAGCAGCTTTAGATTTCCAGTCAAACTGATCAAAAGGCACAAAGAATTCCCATCTACTCCCTGCCCCACTCATGCACAGCCCCACTGATGCACACCCATTATCAACATTCCTCAGCAGAGGGGTGCATTTGTTCGAATCAGTGAACCTCCATTGACACATCGTTGTCAGCAAAGTCCATAGATCACATGAGGGCTCACTCTTGGTGTTGTGCATTCTGTGGGTTTGGACAATTGTATAATGACATCGATCCATCATTATAGCATCATACAGAAAAGTTTCACTGCCCTAAATATCCTCTGTGCTCCGACTAGTCATCCCTCCCTTTCCCTAAACTCCTTTGCATCCACTCCTTTTTCTGTTTTGATAGTTTTTCCTTGTCTGGAACGTCATGTAGTTGAAATCGTAAAGTATGTAGGCTTTCCAAATTGGCTTCTTTCACTTAGGAATATGCATTTAGGTTTCTTCCATGTCCATTCATGGCTTGATCACTCATTCCAGCCTTCATTCATTACCTAATTCCAAAGCCATTTCCACATTTGTAGGTGTTTGTTACAGTAGCACCCCACTTCCTGTTTTTCTTTTGAAACAGGATCTCAGTCTGTCAGTCTCAGACTGGAGTGCAGTGCAGCATCATGTTTCACTGTAGCCTTGAACTGCTGTGATCAAGGGATCCTCCCACCTCAGACTCCTAAGTAGTTGGGACTACAGGGATCCACCACCACGCACAGAAATTGAACATCTTATTTTAAGTTTTTGTAGAGACAGGGTCTCACATAGTGCCCAGGCTGGTCTTGAAATGCTGCTATCAAACTATCCTCCTGCCTAAGCCTCCCAAAGCGCTGCGATTACAGGCCTTGCCAAACCTGTAATCACAGAACACCACAGCTGGCAGCATCCTACTTCTGAAAACAAATTTTATATTTGTTTGCAAGTGCTGCAATAACAAAGTACCACAAACTGGGTGGCTGAAACAACACAACCAACATAACCTACTGTGCCAAAATTAGGGTATCATATCATGGAGAAACCTAATGTATAATAATTTGTTACAAAACTACAACTTTTTGATTTTAAAATAAATATAAAATATTTAATTATTTTAGATATAAAAAATACAACTATCCCTTAAGACTAATGCTTATTTTAACATGCATGCATTTGCCACACTTCAATGGTGCCATATTACATTATGCTTCCGTACACACTCGCTAAGCTTCCTAAATATAAGCACTTGGAGAATTAAAGGGTTCAGAGTTTCATAGTCATTATCCATTTAAATTTGATTCACAGTACCTAAAAATATAAAGCTTATTTTTTTTTAGCTCTACATTTCTACATAAACAGCAAAACTTATAATGTGCCTTTTAAAAAATTATATATGTGTGTATGTATTTATGCATATATGTATGTATCTATGTAATATATGCATGTGTACATATAAGACTATATGTTGTGTGCGGGTATATGTATATGTATTATGTGACATATGTCAAGACATCCAACATGTTTCAAAAAATTGAACATCCTATTTCTGTATGGTATGATCTATTTATTTATAGGGTTAGAATAAAAGTTCACTGCAACGTTTACAGTAGATTATGTATCTTCAAGTCAATGTTCTTAAAAAAATAACTTCAAAAACAGTAAATGCAAAAAAAGCTACAAATTCTCAATAAAATGTTCTAAAAAATTAGCCAGTGCAAATGATTAGTTTAGGAAATGTCTAATTAGGCAAGCACCTAAAATATGAACCAGTTAATAGTCCAGAACATGCTTAATTGTCTACTTCAGTTTAAGATGAATTAGCCATGGATAATTTAACAGTAGCTGTTACCATATGTAAAATTTCCAATTAAATGTAGAGATATACTACCACTCCATTTTGTCTGTGATTTTTCCTTGACTTAATACTGCTTTAAAAGAACTCAATTTTCTAAATACAGCTTTGACATTTTCTGATTTCAATCAATTGTTTAAGTCTACTTGCTATGCATGCTTAATCTAATGAAAATGAAAATCTTTCTCTAGTAATAATGCCTTGGCACCTGGCAGTCTATCAACGAGGTACGTAGATATTTGTTATCTTCCCTATGAATCTTTAACATTTTTGACGACATGTTATATAGCTGTTCTGTAGACGAAAGTCATTTACACATGCAAATCACTCCTCTTTCATTCTGTATCCACAAGAGAAGCAAGATGATGAATTATTATAAGTACACTTAAATGTAACTTAACTATAATTGATTGGCATCTATGATCTTTTTAATGTGATGGATCCCAAGATGTTATACTGAAATAAAATATTATCAATATTCATGAGTATTGCTTTATTTTGAAGAATTATTATTGAACAAAAATTCATATCTAAAAGAAAAATGAGAGGCCATCTAATTCAATAATAATCAAACACTGGTAGTATAGCAAAATCCTTTAAATAAAATTAAATCTTACAAACATGATGGGAGAAACTGGCTACTGTCCTCTTCGTGTGCGTACATCTACTGCACCCCAGCTTTTCTCAGAAGATTTTAAGATCCTTTTGGGGTTCCCCTGATGAATAATGACAGTAGCCCCTGAAAAACAGTGCTACGCGTTTGTTGTGTTGTGTTGGGATGTGTGCATTTGTGTGTGTGTGTAGGAGTATAAGATATGAACTTTCTTCTGGCTGAGAGAGAATGAAGACAATGCTTTTCAACAGAGTATGAGGCACCCATTGTATCTCGAAGGGCAACATATTAATGTATTGCATGCTGATAGGGGATCTATTCTTCAGTACGAGTTTTATTTGTTATCTGTGACAAAACAAAGTATCTTGAGTTGTATGGTTGCTTAATAGATGACCAAGTTTAGCGCACATCTGTTGTATTAACTTTTCCAACCACTTTGCACTTTCATTTCCCCCTTTTCATTTCATTAAGAAAAGGATACTTTCCCACACCTGTATCTGCTTCTTGTGGGTCTATCAACTGCAGTTATCAATCCCATACCCTATAGAGTTGGGGTTGTCACCTAAACCAAGCCAAAAAAAATGTAGCTTTTTCAACTTTTGTAGTCAAATTTGGAGGAAAGATAAATCAGGGATGATAATCTCCTTTGGAGTTCAGGCTCCGAGGCTGTGAGCTCCGACCCCACCACTTGGAGAAGTTGGGGTGTTGTGAATGTAGGTTGCACGTAGCACAAGGTGAGTTACTGGACCCAGTGGTCAGAGAAAGCATACCATACCTAGATGCCAAGACAACTGCTGCTGCTGGTAACATCACTCCCAACCCCTTGGGAACGTTGACCACATTGTAGAGAAGCCCAACGAGGCCTTTAAGCAGAATGTAAACGGTTTGAGAAAGCAACCAGGTGGCCTGACATGCCATTAGTGACTTTATGTTTCAACCAAAAGAAACAGAGATCCACCTTGCCTTGCTGCCACCTAAGACTACCCGGTGTGTAAGTTCCCCCAAATAAACCTTTGACTCCCCACCAGCCTAGAGTGGTCTGCCTCTTTCTTTGATCTGAGCTTGCCCTTCATTTATGGAAAGCAATGTTTGGTTCTAGCAAGGAAGTTTTCCAGCATGGGAACATTGATTAAAAACAGTGCTCTATGTGTGTTGTGTTGTGATATGTGTGTGTGTGTGTCTGTGTGTGTAGGGGTATAAGAAAGCAGAAGAAAAAAGAAAGACACGAAGACAGGGTCTAAATGACCTTGAGCAAGCTAATCTTTAGGAATGATTTATCCTTTCCTATTCATGATGGTACTTTCCTGTATTTTAGCTCAATCTTTTTAAAATCAGGCTTCTGTCACTTGCATCTAACAATACGGAATTATGCACCCAGGATAGGAGGTGGGATTTCTGCACTTCCTACAAGGGGAAGATAAAACAATTGTTAGATGCCCACTTCCCTCCTTACGCATTCTCTACTTAAAGGGTATGAAGTATGTGGATGAGGACAAAGACGCTGATATGGCTGAGGCCCGGGGTACCTCTTTCTTTTCATGACAGAGGAAGGCATTGAGTAAAATCACCTTGTACAAAATTCCACGAAGATTTCCTGAGGGAAAGGATGAGGTCATGAGTATTCAGAACTTTGCCTGAATTATAGTATAGTTTCTATTTGTTTGTTTTTTTAAGGTTAACTGTTTCTTGAGTTAGAAATTGGGTGTAACCATTAGTGGCCACAGTCTTGTATTTTGCAAGACTTACAACAAAAACAAGGTGTTAAAGGAAAGACCAAATGCCTTTTCTGTCCAGCTTGGCTTCGGATCCTGAGAAGAATGACACACGGGAATCTTAGATAACACTAAACCTCAGAATCACCTGTGGCTGTTAGAGGGAAAAGAGCAGAGACTTGCAGTCCTGGAGAACAACAGAGGACCTTGCAGCGAGGCAGCGAGATAAAGCATTCAGATGGCCCTTGGAATTCAGCAAAAATCCACACTTTAAGACAGGAAAGCAGGTGCAGCAACATTTGGATTACACAGGAAGGTATCATAGAAAAAATAGATTAAAAACTCAGCTAATCTGTGCATGGAAGAGCCAGATAAGAGGAGTTGAAATCCTTCTCAGAAATCGTTCCCCGGGGAAGACCTCAGGTCCTCTGAAGAGCCCCTGAAGCTCCATAGAACAGTTTGGAAAACACTCATCCTATCCAATAAGAATAATGGAAAAGTGAAAAATCCACAGCTTTAAAGAACTTAAGTGAACAGCCAAAGCTTACAACTACACGTGACCCAATAGAGTAGTTCGCATTTCACGATTCCTAAGTGGCAGGCAGCTTATGTTGAGTTTCAGTTTAAACTAGTACAGATCATTTTGTTTCCAGTTCACCAAATATACAGGAAAGTGCCAAAGCCATCGAAACAAGCTCTAGAAGCTCAG
This sequence comes from Homo sapiens, assembly GCF_000001405.40. NCBI lineage: Eukaryota > Metazoa > Chordata > Mammalia > Primates > Hominidae > Homo > Homo sapiens. Next base: position 2,895,363 of record NC_000008.11, on the reverse strand, counting down.
ATTCAAGAAGGACTGCGAAGCACTAAGGACATATTTTGGAGGTCCAGGCTGTGAAGCTGAGTCTTCTCGAAGCAACTGAATTCACCTGGGCATAGCATCAAACGTGTCATTCTTTATCGAAGTTCCGTTTTCTAGTTACCAGTGTTCGCGGCTGTCTGGCAGAGTAGAGTTCTTTGTCTTCTGGGTTCTGGCATTCTGCAGTGGCTGCTGAAATGCCTCTTCAGAACAGTATAGGTTTTTAATGCACTCATTACAAAGAATCCTGGTGGTTTTCTGAATAACCGTGTCTATAAACTCACGTTCATCTTCAAGAAAACCACACACGGGCTGCTCACGTCTCTGGACTCCAAGAGAAAGATGGTTATAACCCTGGCAGAGTCTTTACCCGCCCTGCGAACCTGCCTGTTGATCTGCTTCCCACTCCTCTTTAGACTGTAAGTTCTTTTGAAATACAACCTTGTATTTATTTGTGCTTGTCCTCCATTTCCATGTCACTGGGTTGGTGTGTCATAGACAAAACCTAGTTAATTTTTAAAAAGACAGAAGACTACTTGGTTGGACAGAATAATTGAATAATCTAAAATTTTATATATATATGTTTGTGTGTGTGTATATATGCGTATATATTTTATTTAACATATGTATGTGTATATACATATATGTATTAAATGAATATGTATTTTATTTTATGTGTGTATATATGCGTATATATTTTATTTAATATATGTATGTGTATATATGTATTAAATGAATATGTATTTTATTTTATATACATATGTGTGTATATATATACGCACACATATATATACACACACCTATATATACGTATATATGTAGATGTACCTAACATATAAAGAGAAAATAATATGCATTGGTTGGACAAAATAATTGAATAATCTCACTTTTGAGGCCTCTCAAGCAATTATTTAATATCCATTCAAGGAGTGAACACAATCAGTACATTTTATTTTCTCCTTTAAAATAAAATTGACAAATATTTACGAGGCCTATTGCATGATGAATGCCTGTATTGGGGTTTGGAAATCCGGCGGTGAAGAACCCAGAAATTGTCCTACTGTTTCATGAGGAAGAAGCCACCCTCAGCTGACCCCAGGGTCAGCGCTGCCCCTCGGAGTTGGGGCCCTGGCTGTCTCTGAGGTGGGGTCCTGGCTGTCTCTGAGGTGGGGTCCTGGCTGTCTCGGGGGTGGGGCCCTGGCTGTCTCCGAGGTGGGGCCCTGGATTTCTTGGAGGTGGTGTCAGAGGTGGGGTCATGGCGGTCTCAGACGTGGGGTCCTGGATGTCTTGGAAGTGGGGACCTGGCTGTCTCGGATGTGGGTTCCTGGCTAGCTCAGATGTGGGGTCCTGGCTGTCTCGCGGGTGTCTCCTGAGATGAGCTGATGGTCCTAATGATTTTAGCAGAGCAGAATGTGGGAGAAAAGACTCCCCCACCAGCGGTCTATTCCCAGGCTCTTTCCTTTGCCATTTCTACTCCAAGCTCACCTAAAACATCACTGAAAACTGTAGTACATGCTTTCCATTGATGGAGAGTTAATTCTGAGTACACAGAGAGTGAAACGCAGATGTTTCCCTCAGCAAATTATGCCAGGGAACCAGCTCATGTTTTTAGAATTGGAGCATGTAGCATGCTAATCATTTAGCCCACATGATTTGAAAATAAATTGATAACTTTGGGAGGCTGAGGCAGCCAGATCATTTGAGGTCATGAGTTCAAGACCAGCCTGACCAACATGGCAAAACCCCTTATCTACTAAAAATAAAAAAAAATGAGCTGGATGTGGTGGCATGCACCTGCAATTCCAGCTACTCAGGAGGCTGAGGTGGGAGAATTACTTGAACCCGGAAGGCAGAGGATTTACTGAGCCAAGATCACGCCGCTGCACTCCAGCCAGGCTGGATGACAGAGCAATACTCTGTCTCAATAAAAAAAAGAAGAAGAAAATAAAAAGAAAGTAAATTATTAAAGTGAATGCAAAACAAACTGAGGTCCAGAAAGTTTAAAGGCCAATCCCAGGGTTAACCCAATAGGTAGAGCTGTCCTTAACGTCCACACGCATTCTCAGTGTTTTACATATATAATCTATTATAATCAAATTGGGAAAACCGACTGATTTCTATTGACCAAATATATTCTATATAAGTTATGCAGGCAAGAAGAAACAAAAGTATACAAAACAAAAACAAACGAAAACCTCTGATGTTTCTTCTTTTACCTGTCAGGAATCTGGTTTTTTTTTCCTTTAATATTACAGAACCATTCTCTTTTCTCAACAAAGCCCTTTACAAAATAAAGAAAAAGACACTGGAAAGAAACATGCTCCTGTGCTCTGCAGTCTGTAATTTATTCCCTACCCCTGGTGATTCAGTTAGTACTTTGTATCCACACAGTGTGCGGAGGATTTGTAGCTCACGAGTTAAGGTCATTTTTAAAGTTGAAATATAATGTATGTGCACGTACTGACACGGTTCCATGGTGGGACTGATGTTTCGGGGACTGTGGACATGACGTGCGGGCACCATGTCATTTATCACTTCAAAAAATGCAGCTCAAGAAAGACTTTATCATATTTCGACGATGTGTGGTTCTGGATAGAATCTTGTTCTGCCAACAGACACCAACTATGATATCTGCAGTCCTTACTGCAACTCGTTACGTCCTGGAATTGCTTTGCATACCTTCATTCTTTTAAATCATATTACGTAGAGGATATTTTAAAGGAAACATCACAGAAACATATAAGATTATTTGATAGCATCACGCTTGTATTCCAAATTATAAAAGGTCATTTTGTTTGTGGAAAACTTTACAAAATGCTTCCCTAATTTATCTAGTAGAATACACATATAAGACCAGCAGAAAAATGACAATAATTCTGAAAGAAGGGATGTAAAAGTAAGTTGATTAATTTGTTTTAGAGGTTAATAATGTATGTTAATAGTGGTTAATAATTTATGTTAATAGTGGTTAATAATTTCTGTTAATATGAATACTAAATGCAGCATATCCCAGCAATGAATAAAAAACAGTAGCGAGGGTCGGGCATAGATAAATTAGTAGGACATATTTTGAAGTTCTAGAATAAACCCTAGCAAAAGTGAAATTCTAGCAGATGATGAAGGTAGCAATTAAAGAGTTCATAATCTGGAATATTAAGTAAATAATGAAGAGCTGTTGACTAGCCACGTGGAAAAATGAAGCTGGGGGAACATATTCCAGCTGCATGAAATATTTCGTTATAAAAACAAAAGCAAGCACAAAAATCTATAAAAATAAGAGATGGATATACAGAAAATGTGTTTATAAACAATTCTAGATTATGGTATCCCCCAAAGCTAGGCTCTCACACATTTTTCTTCCCTTCTTTATCTATTCTCATTCCCTGAGTGTTTTCATCCAATTCCATGGCTTAAAAACCATACCTTGACCGGGAGTGGTGGCTCACGCCTGTAATCCCAACACTTTGGGAGGCCGAGGCAGGCTGATCACCTGAGGTCAGGAATTTGAGACCAGCCTGGCCAACATGGCAAAACCCCATCTCTACTAAACCTACAAAAATTAGCTGGGCGTGGTGGCCGGTGCCTGTAATCCCAGCTACTCCGGAGGCTGAGGTGGGAGAATCACTTGAACTTGAGAGGCAGAGGTTGCAGTGAGCCAAGATCAGGGCATTGCACTCCAGCCTAGGCGACAAGAGCAAAACTCCATCTCAAAAAGGAAAAACAAAACAAAACAAAAAAACCCACACCTAGTTGGATAGTTGGATGACTCCTGAATTTCCGTATCTAGTTCTTGTCACTCCCTTGAACCTTGAACCACAGAACTCCTCAGCACACTGTCACTCTCACTTAGATATGTGACGGATGCCTCACCCTAGGCTCTTCCTGGCACTGGTTCTCCAGGCTGTTGCCCCCTGCTTTCCTCTGGATTTCTTTATCTTTTGTAGGCAAAGTTTGCAAAGAGATCCAACCACACGTTCGCACAGAGAGGCGGCCTTCACGCATACTTCATACCCCTTCCCTTTGTCTACCACTTGTATGTGCTCATGATGCCAGAACTTCTCAATGGGAATAGCCTGTTTGCACAAGTCCTAATATTCTTTCATTTTCAGCAAAACCCATTCTAATTAATATTTCTCCCCAAACCGGTAGCACTCCCAGTCTGTTAAAACTTCATAAATGGCAGCTCCATTCTCCAAGCTGCTCAGGCAAAAACCTACTTCTTGCTCTCGTTCTCATCAGCCCCAGCCTCACATCAGGGCATCATCTCCCATCTGAAGGAATGCAGTTGCCTCCATGAGTCTTGCTGCCGTCACTCTACCCTTTATGGTCTTTTCTTTCTATAGCAGCCAAATCCGTGTATTAAAAATGTAAATCTGATTCCATCACTGCTCTGTTCAAAACTCTCAAATGAGTTTCCATTACATTTGGAGTAAAACCCAAGACTATCTCCATGACTTACAAGACATCACATCATCTGCCCCCGACTTTCTCTCTGAACCCAACTTTTCTGGGCAACCCGGTCATTCTTCCCTCTGCTTTTCCACTCCTGCCTCCTTGCTCTTCCTCAAAAACCCAAAATATGATCTGACCTCAGGTTTATTTTGCTGTTCCATCCACTCAAAAAAGCCTGCCCCTACATAGCCACATGGCTGGCTCACCTCATTCAAGTTTTGCTCAAATGTCATGTCATCAAACAGGCCTTTCATGATGGCCATGGTCTTGAACTATCTCCTTTCAACTTCGTATAATAAACTGAAATGATAAACCATCATTTTGTTTTAGCCACTCAGCAGGGGTTTCCATTATGATTTGCCAGATGTAATTCTTAATTGGTAGAGTAGATTTATCATAATTAAAAGTGTGTTTTGGATTTCTTTTCCTGATTTCACCGTTTTAAATGCAATTTCAGATGTGAGCAAAATTGATATGTTCTCCTGGATTTGAGAAAGCACCTTCGCCATTGGGAACAAAGAGGAATTATTTAATCATCATGCTCTGGAAATAATCAGGATAAACAGCTAAAATGAAGCGAAAACAGGACAAAATAATTCTTCCATCTGCTTTAAGGTGGTTTTTCTTCCTATTGGATGGAGGTATGAACAAGTGCAGTGTGTTCATTCTGCATTCTGGTCTTTTCCCCTTAAAATTCTAAACTTAGAGCATTTCAAAAATAACATGAATGTGGCACTTTTGGCAAGAAGTAACTAGCACAGAACTGTGTGGGGATGCAGGGCAAGTGTTGTGCACGGGGCCTGCTGCTGGGGACAGCACCTGCCACTGGGGCCTCGTGCGTTCGTCATCAGCTGTTGCGATTGGCCCAGCATCTAGATAGTATCTGGAAAATTGAATGTGACCCTTTTCCGTAAGGATTTTTGAAATCTTTTAAAACAACAACTTGAGATGGAAATGTGGTTAAAATGCGGATAACTTTCACTTCCACTCGCCAAGATTGTGGGGTGGACTCATGAGGGGCAGCTGGACTTGCATTCAGAGTTCAGGGGCTTCCTGTGGTCCTGTTGGCTGTTTGGCTCATCGGTTGTCAATTCTCAGGGAGTTGTTTTCCCCCAGTCTCCTTCTAGACACTGTTTTAAAGCATCTGATTGGGCTCTTGAGAGAAAGATCATGGGTTTGCATTTTTTTAACATTTTACACAGTTCCTGGCACACAGATACTCTTTTATTTTTTGAATTAATTACCTGCTCTCCTAGAAGAAACTCCTTCCCTTTGGTTACACATCATATATATGTGTGTGTGAGAGTGTGTGTGCTGTGTGTATACATATAGGTGTGTGTGTATATATATATATTACATATATACAGGTTATACGTATAACAAGGGGTCTAAATTTACATATAATTCTAAGCCAATTGGCCTATGCCTTAGAGTGGCAAAAATATTGCCTTTTAGTATGAGTGCATGGTCTTCGTTAAGTTTTAAACACGTATGCATGTTCTTTATATTTCTCTTGTTCTTAAGAAACAAGACAAAAGCTGGAGAAAATGAACATCCAATATGTGAAATACAATTATATTCTATAATTAGTGTTAATACATTTTTATAAGAAAATATATATCCTGCAAAATCAACTTTTTTTTTTTTTTTGAGACGGAGTCTCGCTCTGTCGCCCAGGCTGGAGTGCAGTGGCGGGATCTCGGCTCACTGCAAGCTCCGCCTCCCGGGTTCACGCCATTCTCCTGCCTCAGCCTCCCAAGTAGCTGGGACTACAGGCGCCCGCCACCACGCCCGGCTAATTTTTTGTATTTTTAGTAGAGACGGGGTTTCACCGTTTTAGCCGGGATGGTCTCGATCTCCTGACCTCGTGATCCGCCCGCCTCGGCCTCCCAAAGTGCTGGGATTACAGGCGTGAGCCACCGCACCCGGCCAAAATCAACTTTTTTTAAAAAAATTATTAACCCACGAAAATAATATTTAAGTCCCCAGAAGTGGGTATGATTTGAGGTTGTTTCCAGGTGCTGGGTTTCAAGAGAGTAGGAATCATCTAATCTAGTGCTGTACAATCATTCCTGAAGAAAAGTAACAGTTATTGCTTAGAAATAATTCTTAATCATAAACAAAAAGTAAAATAATAAATTGGTTGGATTTTTTCAACCTTAGGAATTTGCAGCGTCTTCACTGCCTCAACAGGCGTGTACCTTTCCATGCGGGGGATGTAATTTGCAGCAATCCCCAAATGGAGAAGAGTCTTCACTGCCTCAACAGGCGTGTACCTTTCCATGCGGGGGATGTAATTTCCAGCAATCCCCAAATGGAGAAGAGTCTTCACTGCCTCAACAGGCATGTACCTTTCCATGCAGGGGATGTAATTTCCAGCAATGCCCAAATGGAGAAGAGTCTTCACTGCCTCAACAGGCGTGTACCTTTCCATGCGGGGGATGTAATTTGCAGCAATGCCCAAATGGAGAAGACAATGTCATTCTTTATGTTGAGAATACCCCATAGGGCTGGTGTTCAAAGAGAATGCTTTCCAACACTCTCACGTGAACAAATCTAATCCCTTTATTGATAAGGTAAATAAGGCCCAGAGAGGCATTTTTCAAATGTCTAAAGTCACATCATTAGAATTGGAGAACATACAAATTGGCTTCCTTCTGTTTTGTGATCCCTTCACTACAGCAAATAGTACAAAATATCTATTTAGCAATCGCTACCTGTATGTACGTATTTATATTATATTTATATATTTATCATTATAATGTATTATTTTCTTTAGGACAGGCAACAATCCGAACAATATGGCCATAACAATAATCTTACTGCAATAAAAATATATATATAGTAGTATAATATTTTTGACCTTCTGCCTTGATTCGCAAGTCCACAATATAGTTTGAGGGACAGAATTATCTTTAGTAACTTGCATAGTTACTGCTTTTAAGAATAGATTTCTAAGGCAAGATAAAGGTAATGAGCAGAAACTGAATTTGGGGGAAAGACAAGAGTAAATTTTGATTGTATAAACAATATTTAGCACTATCACCTAAGCTCCAAGTCTGCCACTAAAGTTCGTCTTTCAGGGGAAGAATACGGTTATTTCTCTGGCGAGTCCATATTGGATATTCTAGAGAAAACATGAGCACAAAAGTCACTATTGTGAGCTCCCCAATTAGAGCTGCGCAGGGCTCTGTTCATCATGCTAACTTTAATGGAAGTTCCACCCAGGACGTCACGATGCTGAAAGCCTATTCGCACCTCTGGACGGGTGGCATCATGCAGTACCATGGCCTGCGAGGCTTGCTGTGATTATGACATGTCATTTTTACCTAACAGGATACAGTCATACACTGCATTTCATTTAACTCCACGTGGACTCAGCCTCGGCAGAGGGGCATGAATTTTCTGAGACAATAGCCCACCAAGATGTGGCCTCAGAGCCCTTGAAGGAATGATGTGTGAAAGATCACACTACCTGCTCAGATTATGGAAGACTCTGTTTCCAATGAGGTTCCAAACTTTCGATGAAAATCTCACTTTCTATTTCAGAGATTCTCACTTGATTCCTAAAAACAAAAGCCCTTAGCTGTGAAATAATACTGTGTTTAGCATTGTTAAATAAATCATGTGCATAATTGGTAAAATGATCTATAAAAGTCAAATCGATGTATTCTAATGCTTAAGATAGTGAGATAGAAACTTTAATCCTGGGTGGAGTTGTTTCCGGACTATTTAAAGTCAGGAGGGAAACTATGAAACAAAACGCACAAGTCTCTTTCTCTGAATGTTCAGGATTCCATGACAGTGCTCTAAAAGGGCATTGCAAAGTTGCAGAACACCCGAGGTCGATGACTCTCCTCTGCCTTGCCTCTGACCCACGCCAGAGAAAGAGAAACTTTAGGCCGAACTTAAAATGTGTAAGAAGGCAGCTTCAGGCTAAACTTAACAGGTGGAAACTGACAGTTCAATATGACCTGGAAATACTCTTTTTTTTTTTTTTTTTTTTTTTTTTGAGATGGAGTCTTGCTCTGTCACCCAGGCTGGAGTGCAGTGACATGATCTTGGCTCACTGCAACCTCCGCCTGCCAGGTTCAAGCAATTCTCCTACCTCAGCCTCCCGAGTAGCTGCGATTACAGGCGCATGCCACCATGCCTGGCTAATTTTTATATTTTTAGTAGAGATGGGGTTTCACCATGTTGGCCAGGCTGGCCTGAGTGATCTGCCTGTCTCGGCTTCCCAAAGTGCTAGGATTACAGACGTGAGCCATCGCGCCCTGCCAGAAATACTCTTTCCTGACCTTCTTAGACATGGGAGTCTATGTGCAGGAGGACAGGTCCCGCCGGGCTGCAGGGTCGTCAGCTGGGAGATGGCTAGGAACGCAGATGCTCAGGCGTCCCCTTCCACCTCACCTGGCCTGAGCTGCCCTGTAACAAGCTGTCCAGCTGAGGCAGGGACACATCGGAGTTAGAGAGGCCTTGATCTCAGGAGGTCAAGAAACAAAGCAAACCAACTAAATGACGAAGACTATTTTGTGGAAGAAACATTATTTAAAAAAAAAGTCAAACCATAAGGATCAACAATTAAATGGACGTGATTGTTAATATATCTTTCTCATGAAACTAAATGAAAACAAACAACCCACAAACCCTAGAAATGTCTGTTAACATCATTTCTCCTCTGAACACATCTATTTCAAAACTGAGTCTTCCCCCGGATCTCCGTGTTAGATCAGCTGACAAGCTGCCATCGCGGATGACTGTCTGATGACTGTGCTTTTGTTGCTGACTCAGAGTGTGCTGATTACTGCACCAGCCTTCTCACGGAGTCCTCACAATGCCATGACGGTGAATGTTACGTCTCCGCTTAACACAAAAGCAAACCAAATGGCAGGAAGGAAAAATAAGTTGCAAAGTCACACATCTGAAATGTAGCGCAGGAGGCTTCCAAACAAAGGTTAACTGATTCCAAAACGTTTCTTTATACCTCTCCTGTCTGCGACAGGAGGGAGGCCCAGTTTCCTAGAGAGGGACCTAGCAGTCCTCATTGAGGCTATGGCTCAGGAATGCGTTCCCCAGATAAGATCAGGATGGAGCCCTCACCAGCCCGGTGTGGCCCAGCAGTCAGTAGGATCCAGTTGGTTTCTTTTATATCTTATAACTGCAATCCCTTTTATATGTTAAACTCCCTCTAACAAAGCAAATGGTAACAGATGGTTCATTTTTTAACACAAATTCCGTTGAAAGATAAGGCAAAGAGAAGAAACCCAATTTACTGATCTGATTTGCAGATTAAAGTAACTGTCGTTGGCTGGATTTAACCTTTTAAGACCATTCGTCTCATAAAAACTGCACGCCAGAAATAAAGAGCATCTTCAAACGGAAAACTTCCAAGCATTTTCCTTGTTATAAATTCACTTTTCAATGAGTTTTTCTAAAAGATCGTATCTGCTTGAAGGCTTCCCTTCTTTCGCTAAAGGAATGAAAAAGTTAACATCGCTAAAGAGAGGCTAAGGTTATGAACAAGGTTAATTCAGTTCAGTCTGGCTTTGAATGATTTATTATTGTCCACACTTTCTTTCAATGAATTTTTTTTAAAAAGGAAATTTACTAGGGATTTCAACTGCAAAAAAAAATATCTCTTTATAGTTTCCCTACACATTTGATTTGGATTTTTCTTTTTTGGAGGACGGGGTGGGTGGACAATTGTTTGTTTGTTTGTTTGTTTGTTTTTTCAAATAAATGATTGACCTGCTGGTGATTGAGTGTGGTGACTCACACCTGTAATCCCAGCACTTTGGGAGGCTAAGGCGGGTGGATCACAAGGTCAGGAGATAGAGAACATCCTGGCTAACACAGTGAAACCCCGTCTCTACTAAAAGTACAAAAAATTAGGCACGGTGGCAGGTGCCTGTAGTCCCAGTTACTGTGGAGGCTGAGGCAGGAGAATGGTGTGAACCTGGGAGGCGGAGCTTGCAGTGAGCCGAGATCGTGCCACTGCACTCCAGCCTGGACAACAGAGCGAGACTCTGTCTCAAAATAAAATAAAATAAAATTAATTAAATTAAAAAATGACTGACCTAAGGGAGATCCCCATCTAACTTGTTTCAGGGAATAATTTTACCAAACTAACACCCCCTGCTCTACCACAAACACACAGCAAGTAAAGAAACTATATAAATCATGGATGTTGAGATCTTTGTATTTGTTTTTACAGCTGTTAGCTTAAACTTTGTGCTAGCCTTCCTTTAACCCTCCCTCCACATCTAATCCTTCAAGATTGGTTTGCTGTTCCACAAAACATAGCTTTACCATTTTACCTTGCTCAATACACACCCCAGACAAAGAGACAAACCTAGCCAGGCAGCAGGGCTGCCATAGCCTCAGAGTTGACAACATTCTGCCCCATTTTTTGATTATGTAATTGGGTTAGCAATAGTACAATTCCATAAGATTCTTGTAAGGAATGAATGACTTAATGCTTCCAAACCAACTGAAGCAGGAACTTGAGCTTAGAGAACTCTAAATATGATTTGGCTTTTGTTGTCATTTTGATGGCTTGGTTCTGAGTGACCCTCCACCCCACCACTTGCCTTTCTCCCGTTTCCTATCCCATACAGTGCTCGTGAATCTTCAGCACAGCCATTTGTTTTGAGTATTCAAACACATAAAAAGATATCTGGCAACTTCCCACTTCTTATGACTTCTCAGACACCTTGTAACGGAGCTTCCCTTGGAGGTGGACAAACTTCTCACTCACAAGGTATAGGACTAAATACCCTCTTGTTAGGTGGCTTTTTTTTGTCTCATCATCAGATGTAAAGAGGCATCTATTATCCCAGCCAATTTTCTTTATGTCAAATGTGAAAATAAACTTTTCTTATTTAAAAAACGCATGTGTTTATTTTCTATTCCTATGTCTTCCCAAGAGAATCTGAGCTCCTGGGGCTTGGGGCCAGGATGCACTGGACCAGGCTCAAGTTTACTCTCTCAAACAGAAAGAGCTGACTGATTTGCAGGAATTTTGTGAAACAGTTGTTAAGCACAATCATCATTAAAAATTATATCACAAAAATTAGCCGGGCGTGGTGGCATGCGCCTGTAATCCCAGCTACTCTGGAGGCAGAGGTAGGAGAAACACTTGAACCCGGGAGGCGGAGGTTGCAGTGAGCCGAGAACGCACCATGGCAGTCCAGCCTGGGCAACAAGAGTGAAACTGCGTCTCAAAAAAAAAAAAAAAAAAAAAAAAAGAAAGACAGAAAAAGAAAAAGAAAAAAAATTATATAAATGAAAAACTACATAAACTATATGAAAAACAAATAAAACAAGTACTCAGAATTCATGTCTTCCTGATTACGTTGCTATCATCGATGTGTTTGAGCCCATTGATGCCGACGGCATCTGTCGGATGGAAGGAAGCACCGTGCAAGGCTCTTCCTTCTGCACAGCCTCTTCCCAGTTTTGCGGTCAGTGAAGTCACGTGCATGGCTTGACCCTGGCCATGGCGTGAAGATCAACAGCACGGAAATGACAGAAATCAGCAAATACCACAGTCAGGGCTTTATTGTTTTGTTGTTTGACTAGAATTAGAAGAGTCATGAAAAAATGTTAAATAGATTTAAAATATGTCACGTTTATAGTGTGTACATTGTGAAAAATATTTAAAAAATGGAAGCAATGTTTTTCCAGTGTTCAAACATCATTAGCTTTAATCAGGGTTCTGCAGAGAGACGGAGAGCAACAGAGAGAGATGGGCAGGGATTGATTCGAGGATTGGCTGACTCGATTATGGAGGGTGAGAAGTCCCAGGACAGGCCGTCTGCAAGGCGTAAACCCAGGGAAGCTGCTGGTATGGCTCGGTTCAAGTCCAAAGGCCTCAGCACCAAGGAAACCAAGGTGATAACTCTCAGTTCGGGTCAAAGTCCTGGGAGTCTGCAAGGCCTCTCATGTAAGTTCTGAATTCCAAAGGTCACAGGACTTGAAGTTCCGATGCCCGAGGGCTGCCCTTACTCCAGAAGAGAGAACAATTTTCTGTCCCTCTACTCTTTTTGTTTCATCTGGACCCCAGCTGATTGGATGGTGCCTTTTCACACGGAGGGTGGGTCTTCCCTTCTCAGCCCACCCACTCACAGGCCAGTCTCTTCTGGAAACATCTGCAGACAAACAGACCTAGGGCAACCCAACCATTCTAACCAAATGCCAAACCACCTGGGCTCCCACTCAGCAGAAGGAGGATGGGCTCAGTAATTACTGAACCACTGAGATGAGCTCTACCAGCCATCTGAGTACCTCTTAATCCCATCAAAACCAGCCATCACATCATGCAGAATGAACGATCTGAGTACCCCTTAATCCCATCAAAACCAGCCACCACATCCTGCAGAATGAACGATCTGAGTACCCCTTAATCCCATCAAAACCAGCCACCGCATCCTGCAGAATGAACGATCTGAGTACCCCTTAATCCCATCAAAACCAGCCACCACATCCTGCAGAATGAACGATCTGAGTACCCCTTAATCCCATCAAAACCAGCCACCACATCCTGCAGAATGAACGATCTGAGTACCCCTTAATCCCATCAAAACCAGCCACCACATCCTGCAGAATGAACGATCTGAGTACCCCTTAATCTACTCAAAACCAGCCACGACATCCTGTAGAATGAAGACGGGTTATGTCATTGACAAAGTTGTATTGTAAGTCATCATTCCTTCCCTTCCCTTCCCTCCTTCTTTCCTTCCTTCCTCCCTCCCTCCCTCCCTCCCTCCCTGTTTCTTTCTCTTTCTTTCTTTTCTCTCTTTCTTTCTCTTTCCTTTCTTCCTTCCTTTTTCTTTCTTTGTTTCTTTATTTCCCTCTTTCTTTCTCTCTTTCTTTCTTTCTCTCCCTCTCCTTCCTTCCTTCCTTTTTTCTTTCTTTCTCTTTTTCTCTCTTTCTCTTTCTTTCGTCTGTCTTTCTTTCGATGGAGTCTCACTCTGTTGCCCAGGCTGGAATGCAGTCACACAATCTCGGCTCACTGCAACCTCCGCCTCTTGGGTCCAAGTGATCCTTCCACCTCAGCCTCCTGAGTACCTGGGACTACAGGCACACGCCACCACACCTTGCTAATTTTTTTGTATTTTTAGTTAGTGATGGGGTTTCACCATGTTGGCCAGGCTGGTGTCAAACTCCTGACCTCAAGTCATCTGCCCACCTCGGCCTCCCAAAGTGCTGGGATTATAGGCATGAGCCACCGTGCCCAGCCACAGTTCTATTTTATTCTTTAACATACCTGACAGTATCAGTCAGCATTGCATAGAAATTACAATCCTATATGCCTTTGCCAACTGCAACCCCAGGTTGACTACAGATGCACAATTTTGGAAAAAAATCAATGGAAATGTTATTTAGCCATACATTTTCTCTGAGAGAGCCAGTTGTTAAACATTTACCAGCACATATAGGGTAGGAATATTGTCTGGCTTTTCACCAGTCTGCTTTTTGTCTAAAGAAGTCCTGGATACACTGGTTCAGTGTAATTAATGTTTGTTCCATACATGATTGGAATTTGTAATATAAGTTGGATGAATCAAAGACATTTTAACCAAATTTATCTATTAAAGTTGCTCAAGGAACATGACATTCTAATTACTAACTGATCTATCATTTCCAAATTTCCTTTCTGGAAAACTCAACTGTCTATATCTCAAATATTTTAAAACTCACCTTCTTTAGGTAAACTTTAAAAAAAAATGTGTTTTACCCTATATAATGACACAGTCTCTTTAAATTATATGTACCATGGCCTAAATATTGAGTCATTATATATTTTCCCTGAAACTATGTGCCAAGATTTTTACTTTATCTTTATCTAGCAGACAATAAAAAGTTTATTTATATTGAAAAAAATATTTTTTCCCTAAATTTACAGCTATATACACATTGATTTCACGTTTCCAAATTGTGTGGGGTTCTTTTCTCTCCACTCTAAGATTCTACTTTCTACCTAGAGGAACATATTAGTGTCAAGAACTGCAAGCTCACAAGACAAGTTATCTTGTCATAGTTTCATGGGTGCTGGGAGGAGACACGAAACTCTTGGTCAGAGACAAGAACACTGTGTTATTCAGAGCAATTAAACTTAGTGGAGTATCCACGGTTTAGTGTGGTTTCCCTGAGCCCCAATTCCTGCAGAGAGACAGAAAATGAACCAGATCACACCTGTACCCACAGAAGTTTGCATTGCAGGAGAGAAATCCTGAACTTAGAAAACTCGAATCATTTATAACGGGCAGTGAGCATGCCTGCCTTTTGCTCCTGAGCAAGACACTATCTTTATTATACTGGACATTAAGTGTATCTGAAGGAAGATACTCTCTCTGTCTTCTAAGCACGTTTATGACACGAACATGATTGAAAAGATAACCCAGAATTATGAGCTATCCGTACCTCACAGGTGCAGACTACAAGAAACCCATGGAGAATTATATCCCAGTAACTTGTGGGACAGTAAACAACAGAAATATGCTTGAAACAAGCTAAAACAAAAATGGAACTTATTGGCTTCACGATGCAGACTTTGTTTGGTCAAGGACATTGCATGATAATCTCAGTGCCCATCTTCCTCTCTCTCTCTGTGTTTCTCTTCTTTCTTTCTCTTCATTTCTGGATTCTCTTAATTTGTGTGTGTTGAACTTACTCTCTCTGGAATCACATCAATTTTCACCTTGTAGCCAAAGAGAGATGGATCTAGATCCATGTCATCCTGGGTCAGGATCTCGGAGGAAATAGTTTTCTTTTCCCCAGTGTCTATATATTAATTTCAGATATATGGCCCTGCCTGGAGTACGTGCCCAATGTCAGAGCCATGATGTAACCATGAGGTACGTTATTATGATTGGCCAGACCTAGCCCATGCTATTCCCTTTGTCTCTTCCGTAGGGATCTAATTCAAAAAACAGAAAAGTGGCTGGGCATGGTGACTCACACCTGTAATCCCAGCACTCTGGGAGGCCTAGGCAGGCAGATCACCTCAGGTCAGAATTTTGAGACCAGGCTTGACAATATGGTGAAACCCCCATCTCTACTATACAAAAATTATCCAGCCATGGTGGTATGTACCTGTAATCCCAGCTACCTGGGAAGCTGAGGCAGGAGAATCACTTGAAGCTGGGAGGCGGAGGTTGCAGTGAGCTGAGATTGAGCCACTGCATTCCAGCCTGGGTGACAGCAAGACTCCGTCTCAAAAATAAAATAAAGTAAAATAAAAATAAAAAACAACAACAGTAAACAGAAAAAAAATGTGAGAAAAAATTCTGTATGCCACAGTCCACTGCAAACAAGGTTTCTTCTCACTGAAACTCAGCAGTTTGTTAAGAGCTACCATAAGTAGATACAATATATTTTTGGAATAAGCATAAGAAATATGCTGGATGTTGGAAAAAAACGATAAATAGATATGCACACGAACTCCTCTTGCTTTAAAAAAAGACAGCCAATTTTTCCTGTTTTCCAACATAATGCAATGTTTTAAATAAAGATTATTCCATAAATCTGCTGCATCTCATTTCTTTCCTTGGTGGTTTTAAAGTCTTACCGTTCAATGTCTTACGTTTCCTTTCTTTAAATACTTTTTATTTCCAGCATTTGGGCATGCTTTGATATTTTTACTGCCTTTGTTATTTACATTTAGGTATTCAACTAGCTAGAGCTGGCTTTCAGCAGGAGTCTGGAACGAGTTTCTACCAAGAGCCTTTGTGAGCTTAGATACTAAGTATTGAGATTGTCTTTTATACGGGAGGGGCTATGATTCATTAATTTTCTTGTCTTCCCTCTCTTATATCTGCCCCCTCCTCAAAAACACACTAACACACATATTCACAAACATATAGACACACACACAAATCTACCCACTTGCATATACTCAACACTCATCTTGATTTACCTACAGAGAAGCTGTTCACTCTTTCAGCTGATGATTTTTCTTTCTAATCTGTGGGGGTAAAATCATCCTTATCAGCCGGGTGCAGTGGCTCACGCCTGTAATCCCAGCACTTTGGGAGGCCAAGGCGGGCGGATCACCTGAGGTCAGGAGTTTGAGACGAGCCTGGCCAAAATGGTGAAACTCCGTCTCTACTAAAAGTACAAAAATTAGCCGGGCTTGGTGGCGGGCACCTGTAATCCTAGCTACTCAAGAGGCTGAGGCAGGAGAATCACTGGAACCTGGGAGGCACAGGTTGTAGTGAGCTGCCGAGATCGCGCCACTGCACTCCAGCCTGGGCTACAAGAGCTATACTCTGTTTCAAAAAAAAAAAAATCATCCTTATCATCTACATCCCTTTTACATTAACTGTATGTCCCAGTGATCTCCATTATGTCTATTCATAACACAATCCAAGATTTCATTCTGCAATTAATATTGAATCTGTTGTGTTGGGCTGACTCATGTATGAATAGTCACGTATATTGTAAATTACACGGAAACCTACCGAGTAGAAAGATCTCATATTGAACCTCATTTACATGGAGATCAGTTATCAGAGATTACAGAAAAGAGCCGCTGGCCAGGTAGGTGTTCAAACCATGCTAATTTCCTCCCTCCTTTGGGTTTAAGCTGGCAAAAAACACTTGTCCACATAGACTGCAGATATCCTGCCCTCACCATCAGTATCAACAACCTATCATGACTTTCTTCTTGGTCCACTTAACCCAACCTGTTCCTACTCAAGTCCTCAACTCCATTTGGAGTTTGTCAATATTGAAGATTCCATTTGTTTCCTTGATATGGTTCAGCTGTGTCCCCACCCAAATCTCATCTTGAATAATAGCTCCCATAATTCCCATGTGCTGTGGGAGGGACCTGGTGGGAGGAAATGAATCATAGGGGTGAGTCTTTCTTGTGCTGTTTTTGTGGTAGTGAGTAAGTCTCACAAGATCCGATGGTTTTATAAAGGGCAGTTCCCCTGCACAAGCTCTCTTCTCTGCCACCACGCGTTTGCTGTTCATTCACCTTTCACCATGATTGTGAGGCCTCCCAGCCATGTGGAACTGTGAGTCCATTAAACCTCTTTCCTTTATAAATTACCCAGTCTCGGGTATGTCTTTATTAGCAGCCTGAGAACAGTCTAATACAGTCCTCTAAAGCAAATTCCTACTGAACACACTATAGATCAAAGGCACTGTTAATGTTTAAAATATTGTCTCATTAGCCTACCTCCTATTTATGAACTTTAACTTGCTATTTTCTTGCTGTTGGATTAAAATGATTTACAATATATATCTTTTTTTAACTTCCAATCTCAAAGCCTTTAAAGTAATTGCTTTCTCTGCTGCTAATTTTGGCATCCGTATGTGATTATAAATGGTTGGCAGGAAGAGGGTGCAGCCCCCTGCAGTCAAGAGGCAGAGACATGTGCTTGAAGCTTCTCAACAAGGTATTGATTTCCACTAATGCATTTTTATCCATTTTTTTTTGTTCAGCAGAATACAATGATAAACACATAGATCTTTTTTTATGCAGACAGTTGAGTACTGCGGTGCGCACACACACAAACACACACACACACACACAGAGTGCTGGAATCTTGAATCAAACAAGTATTGGAAGTCTGTTTTCTAACCAGACCCCATTCAGCAAGAGTTTGTTTTCAAAACGCTTGTGCATTTAGCAAAATTGGTTCCATACTCTATACTACCACAAAAATTGCTTAGAAAAAATATGTTTGATATTATTTATGTAATTGTAAAATATATATTGGTCTGGGAATAGAAAAAAAAATCTGAAGACAAATTTCCAGTAAAATTGGAAAAGGCTGGGAGGGAGTCCCTCCCTGCTCAGTAACAATCTTGCCTCTGACAGTACCGGGGCATGTGCCTTCAGTGTCTCCTACTTTATCGGTAAAGCAGGGGTAGTGGTGGATAGCACAGCCTCCTGCATCATGAGGCCTAGACGTGACACATATAACACACGTGGCTTGGAATGTGTTCACAAGGGTTACATAGTAACTGAACAACTGGTGTGTAACTATTTGTTTAATTATCTGCTCCCTGCCCCATAGAATGTGATTCATCATGGCCAGGCTGCACCTGCCCGACTCACTGCTGCGTCTCTGTCTTCTGGCCAGGCTCCATGCACATTTGTCGAATTTGTTGTATTTAAACACTGGAATAAAATTATATTTCAAAGCCATGTTTAAAATTTCACATAAAATGGATTAAAGCTTAAATTTGTATACACACATACATACAAAGCTGCAGTGTGTATTTGTAAAATTGGTTAGTTCCTAAACCATTCAGTTAATCACAGGCACCATTTTCTGAATAAAATTAATTCCTCCTTCCCTTTGCAAGCTTGGCACTAAACGGATGCTAGAACTAACTGAAGTAATGTGCTGGCTTAAAGACATGAAGAAAAGACAACCAGAAGGGTGAACTGTTCACACAGCCTTTGAAAATTTACTGCTCTGATTTTAAATTTATACTAAATTTTGGTGGTTTTCCAGTTTGCTTTCCAATTTTCTCTTTTCTACTTAAAATCATAGGTGCAGACTGAAAGCTTACAACTGTTACATTAAATCCAGATGGATTGGTTTCTTTGCAATAATCGTAACTCGTCTCTTCCTCCCACGTTTTTAATATTAAGAAGGTGTCTATACAAATGCCCTTAGCCACATTTATGGTGGTTTCTGAAGAGGAAAAGTGTTCCATGAAAGATGCTGGCCCAGAGTTATCAACTGGAAATCAGTCCAAGAAAAGATAGTTTTCTGTGTTAATAATTTTTTCTCAGTGCGATTGAATTCTTGCAATGGTTACACACAGATGACTTTGATTGATTTGAAACATTCTCTCCTCTTCTTCCCCTCCTCCTCCAACTCCTTCTCCTTTCATCCTTTCTTGGATTCTTGTGAGAGCCTTCTTCTGGGACAATTCCCATTCTAGTTCCAGCCTCAGCACACCTGTCTGGTATTAGGCTGTGATTGTTCTCATCATTGAAAAAATAGGGAAACTGAGTTATCAAAGATCTTATTGGTTGAATTGCTCTGAATATCAGACTGCCTAGCCCAACACAGGTAAAAGAGAGTATCTTATGTAATAACAGAGTCAGGTTTCTGATGATAAAATGAAGCCACAATTTCATTAATATACAAAATGATAATGAGTGAGTAACCAAAAGCCCTCCAAAGCTTACATCCTAGAGTCCCAAAATCCCAGATGCCAGGACTGGGCATGGCATGTTCTTTCGTTCCTTATAAACAGGTGATAGGATAAAAAGTGAGCACAGAGAGGACTAGGACACCCTGTCCAGGCTCAAACTAGGTCCGTGATCAGGTGAGTGTTATTCCAACTGCCCTTAAGGAAAATCAGATTCTTCTCAGAGATCACGGTTAGTGCTAGTCATTTATTCTCCTCTCTCTCCTGGATCAGAGCCACGGTCTGTGGCTGAGCACATGACTGTGTGAACTAGGATTCTTTTGCCAAAGTCAGTTGCAGTGGAGAGGAGCTGCAGGGCCACTTTCTGAACAGTCTGTATGTGCATGAAAATGGTTTCCACTGTGTCGCAAGAAGCAGGAATGGACCCTTTGTCCCTTATTTCTAACTGACAGCTGCAAAGAGGATGTTCAAAGGGCATCTTGGACCAGGAGGAGGAAGCCCATTGTGAGGATGGCAAAGAACAATAAATGGAAGGCCCGTGGAACCCTGAGCGGCTGCCCCATCACTGTCCTCTCCATCCTTTCCATGCTTCCCATGGTGCATGGCTCTCAGGCTCTCCAAGCACCATGAGCTCCTGGCGCGTATGGCCTGGCCCCTGAGTGTGGAGTCTGTGGACTTTAAATGTGCCTTTACTCAGCCAGCATCTCCCTGGCTGGGTGCGATGTTGCGTGGTGTGATTCCTGACTGCGATCCTGAGGGTGAAACTCTCTTCTGCTTGCTTCTGCCTTGGCCCTTGGGTCTTCTGTCCCACCTTTCCTGCCATCCCCTGGTGGTGACATTAGTGGATCCCATGTGAGAAAAGTGTCCATCAAGAAAGTCAGAGGAAGAAGAAGTCTTTTTTTTTTTTTTTTAGAGAGGGAGTCTCACTCTGTTGCCCAGGCTGGAGTGCAGTGGCACAATCTCGGCTCACTGCAACCTCCACCTCCGGGATCAAGCTATTCTCCTGCCTCAGTGTTCTGAGTAATCTGGGATTACAGGCATGTACCACCATGCGTAGCTAATTTTTATATTTTTAGTAGAGACAGGGTTTCACCACATTGGCCAGGCTGTATTGAACTCCTGACCTCACGTGATCTTCCCGTCTCAGCCTTATAAAATGCTGGGATTAGAGGCGTGAGCCACTGTGCCTGGCCAAAGAAGAAATCTTAGAAACTGTTTAGTTCAGGTCTTTCCAAGAAACCTTGTGTGGGTTTTACAACTGTGTCCCAAGAGCAACTACAGAGTGAAGGGGAGAGAGACGTGGAGAACAGGCCTCCAGCATCCAGCCAAGGGGAGTGGCAGGCACACTGGGATTTGGTGTATATGTTGGGCTTTGGGAAATGTGTTATTTCTTTTTCTTTTCTGAAGAAAGCCTTCCATAGTCCAAAAGTCTCAAAACCACCAAAATCTATTCATTTCATTTTACAAATGAGGAAAATGGGTCTGGGAGAGGTTGACAGGCTCTCAAAATCACAATGGTAGAACATGGCAGGGCCAGATCCAGGTACCTCATCTATTGATTTTGGGGGCTTCGTCCCACAAGGCCAACATCCTACCACATGTTCATCTGAATGAAACCCTCCCAGGCCAAAGAGAATATATGAGCTATGGCTCTAGAAAGACAGCACCATAAAGCCTGCCGTAGCCTGGAGAAGAAAATCATAGAAATGGACTTCCCGTCACTTTCATCTACTGTGACCTACACCAACTGTGAAAATAACATGAAGAGGAGAGCCATAGTTTTTGTTCAGTCACACACTCACGATGTATGCACATGTTTCTGGAACACAACCAAAATGTCAAAATGCCGTTGAGAATTGCACCTCACTAACTAACGTGGGCTTTGAAATTTTAGAAATTACTTATGCCAGGCAGTGGTTAGTAATGCTAGAATGTTCGCTAGGTTGGTCGAGTTCTAACAATCTCCCAACAGCAAATATTAACTTCATTAATTTAGCTCATTTGATGTAATTACTATTGGTTTTTAGTGTAAGGCATAATCTCAAATCAATAGAAACTTCATCGGTTTTGCTCGAACGCGGGACCCTCCTTTATGACCACGATTACCTTTGGTGATGGAATTTATGATTCAGATACAAAGACCCTCTAACAAATTTGACTAAAGTGCTTTGGTCCTGAAATGTCATCAGTGTATGAAAATCGTTATCCTGTTTTTATTTCTCCTGAAAGTATAATAATTATTACTCTGGTAAATATTAATTATATAATACAAATATTATCTTTGCAAATGTGAAAAATAAATGCATAATTGACCCTGCCCCTGCCTACTGTGTTGAGGATTGCACTCTATTCTCAGCATTACTCTTGACGTCATATAAAGGATAAAGTTACGGAATGTCAATCAGAGACGGTTTGCAAGGCTGTGTCGCTCCAGGACTCATTCCTCCTCCACCTTGTATTTCCTCAGCTCCCAGAAGTTGTATTTTCTTTCTTTCTTTTTTTTTTAGACAGAGTCTCACTCTGTCTTCCAGGCTGGAGTGCAGTGGCATGATGTCGGCTCACTGCAACGTCCGCCTCCTGGGTTCAAGTGATTCTTCTGCTTCAGCCTCCTGAGTAGCTGGGACTACAGGCACTCATCACCACACCTGGCTAATTTTTGTATTTTTAGTAGAGACGGGGTTTCACCATGTTGGTCAGGCTGGTCTCGAACTCCTGACCTCGTGATTCCCCCCACCTCGGCCTCCCAAAGTGCTGGGATTACAGGCATGAGCCACCAAACCCAGCCCAGAAGTTGTATTTTATGTGGCATAACAAAGCTATCACATGAAGGAAAGGGACACAAAAATATGTGACTATGGTGTAAAAGAAAATGAGTTACACTGTAACAGGATGAGCACTGGTGTCCCCGATCCCAGTGGTTATGACACGGGACCCCTGACCAGGCTTCTGCTTCCCTTCGTATGGTGGCCAGGATTTTCCAGCATCGGGCACGACCTGAGAGAGCTGAGGGACATGAAGAGGAGATCCGCCTCGTCCCTTAGGGCAGGGCATGCACACTTCATACTATTTGTTTCTTGGGTCAGAAGTAAAAAAGAAGAGGAGGCAACTAAGTTAGAATCCAAGTCATTGTTTCCAAGAAATTTTGAACCTAGAGCAATTTATTGATGTGGCTTGGCCTCGTTAACACAGACCCCCAGCTACCAGCTAAGGATTGCCTAGCATTCGGAGGCATCCCTTACAGAAGCAAGACTTTCGTCAAACGTTTCTGACAGAAGTCTTGTATTCTGAATATTTAAATAATTTCTACCAATCAATAAGAAAAAGATTTGAAAAATATAAAAAATGGACAAAACATCAGACCAGATAATTCAAAGAAGAATATAATATCCAAGTGTCCAGCAAGCATTGAAAGGAGCTCAACAGCGTTACTTACAAAGGACGTGCACTTTAATGTCAGAATGCATTATCTTTACAGATCCGTGAGAACGGCTACACTTGGAACAAGCTATCCAACCAAAGCAAAGTTGTCGATACAAAGAATTGAAAAGTGTGGAGGATCTGCAGCTCTGATAGTTTGCAGATAAGGGCAGAAGCTGGTGTGCCCGAGCCCTTTAGGCGGTAGGCATTACGTTGAAAGTGGGTTTATCCAATGTTCCAGAGACTCTCTTCCTGTGTGCATGCAGCAGAAAGAACTGTAAAAGTCTGCAAAGGACACGTATAAGAAGGCTCACAGAGGCTTCAATCCCTAATGCCGTAGCAAAGGAAAAAAACAATGAAATAAAATTTCCCCATCAAAAGGAGAATAAAAATAAAGTGGTTTATTCATAAACAATGGAACATTATAAATAAGAAAGATTAAACCATGGATGGACACAATTCTAAGACATCATGCTGATCAAAAGAAGCCATCCATGAATGAGCAACAATTGTATAAAGCCATTTGTATGAGGTCAGGAGCAGGCAAAATCCATCTGCTGAGAGTTAGAGGTCGAAATAGTGGTTAACTCCTATGGAGACTAGAGTCAGTGACTGGAAGAAACGAAATCAAGAGGGAGCTTGAGAGTGCTGGACATGTTCTGTATTTTGATTCATGTGGTGTTTTCACAGCTGTGTATGTGTGCTCAAATTTATCCAAGCTGCACGATTTACAGAAGTACGCTTCATATATTTTACTGTGTTATTCCCTAGTTAAAACTATTAAAAGAAACAAATCTGCATCATTTCATCTGGTGACATTTTGAACAAGATATTCTTGTGACCCACACACTTTTGTGCCTATAAAATTGTTGGGTTCCTTTGTATTTTGTGAATTACTTTTGAGATAACCGCATTAACAATCTCTCATCCTTAAATGAGATTTTGATGCCTATGTAGCTTCTAACAAGTGTGTGCTAGTGGTAGATAGGAATTTTTTTTCATTTTTTAGCTCTAATGACCTGCCTGCATGGAACTGTAGCCTCCCTTCCAGGTTCAGAGCTCTGTCTCCTTTCTATTGTGTTGAGTCTGTCATTCCAGGGCCAAATGCCTCCTGTGGGAGCCTGTGTCTGCTACATCCCTGATTCTGAGACTGGACCTTTGGAATGCCCATCAATGTCACCCACCCAGCTGATTAGACATCTGGGTACAAAGTCTGCTTCAGTGTTATCTCAGTCTTCTGATGCCATTAGCCAACTCTCATACACAGTTATGTATCCTTCTTGTCTTTGCTTAAGCTTCACTGCTCACTTAGGAGTGATGCCTCCATTTTTAGTTCTGTTTTCCCAGGGACAGTTGGGACTTCATGCCTGAATTAGCTGAAGGTCTGATAGTCACTGTATTACCCAACATGCATTTATGTAGTAACTAATAGGATAAAGGAAGACATTCAAAAAATTAAACATGGGTCTCCCCTGTCAATTTTGACAGATGATGGATCAAATCACTTTCCTCAGAACAAAATTTAAATGCAGACGAAGCATGTAAGAAATATTTAGTGTCTATGTTATATGTTATTAATTCCCTGATAGCAATATCATAAAAAAGTTTTTGGTCACAACTTTAATACTAAAAATAAATGTACAATAAGCTATTCAGGATCCTAAAATAATAGTTTATGCTGGGCCATTTTTCATCTTGAGATTGCTCACGCATTTTAGATTCCATTATTATTTACTTCATTTATTTTTATGAGGTATTTTAGCTTGTCAGATTAATGTTGATATTTGCCCTTTGAAATTTAGTGCACTACTCATGAACTTTGTGTGCATAAAGCACTGTTTGTCACTTTTCAGCTTTGACGTTGAGTGGAGAATAAAGAAATTCGTGAAATGAAGTTGTAAAAACTTGTTTTTGATAGAGTCTCTTGATTTCTATGATACATGATTTTTAGAATTTTGAAAGAAGTTTTACGCCCTGTTCAATAAGAGATAAGAATGTACTTGAGGTAGTACGGTGTGCATACATGAAGGAGGCGATGAGCAATGCTGCAGGTGCTAGCAGAACGAATAGCACAGATAATTAGGACCATGAGTTGACATGCTGCACACATAACACCACTGGGGTGTCGGAAAAGGATTCTGAGAAATAGTAATCATTTCTATGGTTTTAGGTAGAAGGAAAAGCAAGGAATACATTCCAGGTGGGAGGAGCTTACATTTTGGTGATCATGGGCTTACAATAGGAACGGGTCGTGATTTTGAAAACAAAAAGCGCAGTTTGGTTGGATAAGAGACAATTAGTGGTGATGGAAAAAGTGATATATTTGGAAAGGCAGATTAAAACTAGATTATAAAAATTGCTAAAAACCGAGAAGTTTCTCATTTAGAAAATGGAAAATCACATTTATTTATTTATTTATTAAGAAGTCAACATTATGAAAATATTCTCATGTTAGGGTAACTCTCTTTCTGACTTTACAAGACATTAAATATACACCCAAGAGCAATTATAATGAAAAGACAGAAAAATTAAGCTGGAAGCCTTCATATTATTTAGTGGCTTTTGAAATAATCTGCACTTGAGGTGATGAGGGGCCAGCTAAGATAGTGATATCGAAATGAAAAGAAGAGTTGGGCTTCAAAGACACTTGGAAAGGAAGTTTGATAGGATTTGGAAACCCTCTACATAAGACATGGGGTGGGGTGAGAGGAAGAATTACAGTTTCAGCTGGACACTAGAGGAAATGAAGATAAATAGAAAGAAGAAAACACCAATTTGGGAAAGAGGAAAGTAGCAAGTGTCTATAAGAGCTAATTAATTTATAAAGTACATCCATGTTTAATAATTTAGCACAAATATATACGTATATACATTATATACGTGTGTGTATATCGATATATACATATATAAGCTCTTTGCTATCTATCAATAGATATATGTATCTATATCTATTGATGTAGATACATATAGATATATGTATCTATATCTATTGATGTAGATACATATAGATATATGTATCTAGATACATATATCTATTGATAGATATATAGATATATAAATTCTTTGCTACCTATTGCTAGATAGATACACAGATAGATATAGATAGATAAATCTATGTATATATAGAGATAGATAGCTAGATAGATAGATAGATAAGCTCTTTGCTGAACTTAAGCAAAGAGAAGCACACATTAAATATCCTGGGGTTTTCAGCCCAAAACATAGTCTGCCTGACCCCCCAACCCCATATATGTGTGTGTGTGTATATATATATTAATACACACACGAGAGAGAGAGCGAGCGAGCGAGAGAGAGAGAGAACAAGTACTTGGTATTTGTCAATGCACGGTCTGTCAACCTTCCTCCATGCCCAGTGAAATGGCCTTCTTTCCTCGTATTGATGGACACATTGGATGGACCCCAGGAAGATACAGTAATTCATGCGAATCCTTACAGTGGACATTTCTCCTGTGACATGGGTCCTGAACATTCTATGTTTGGGGCATTTCCCTTGTTACACCTCCCCAAAGAAAAAGTCATGAATCCTGAGACTTTATTTTGAGTCTTCAATAATCAGCCTGAAGCGTCTTCAGCTCTAATTCAGAAACCAGCACATGGTTATCCCCAAAATGGATGATCGAGGTGACCCAAGCTCAGAGAGTGTGGGGTGTGATTCCCGGTGTTCAGTACCAGCTGTAGGACTGACTGTATCTCTTCCCAGAGCGGGCTCCACAGGGTCTGGGCTTGTGACCCTGGGCTTTGAACATGGCATATCACTGTGTAGCTTCATGGCTTGACAAATGGACCCTTCTGGAGATCTGTGACCTAATGCACATTAATACATTCCCTGCCTTCTTAAACTAGATTTAGGATACTCACTGATACAGAAACTGGTACAAGAGGGTTGAAAGGCAATAAATCCTTAAGGACATAAATAATGAAGGCTGTCAGCTGGGTTGAGTATAAATGCACGGTGGATTCCGCCAGGCTGTGTAAATTTACTCAGGATAATGCTGACTAGAACAAACATAGCATAAGGAATAAAAACAATGAACGTGGTTGAATAACAGTAAGGTCATTTTAATAATAAAACTAGTCATTAGCCTATCTCACTTCTAAATTAAATTCTATAAAATAGATTACTTTGACCATAAGTGGCTTTTTTGTCTGTTGAGAATGAGGATGGCAAAGAGTCTTTGTCTCTTGTGTGAACTCCTTGAGGATCTCTGCCCTGAGAGTTACATGTGGCATCCGTTATGGTGGAAAGAGTTCCCCAAAGGTGTCTAATCTCTGTCATCGATTGGGAAAGACACAGAATGAAAAAGGCACACCTCATTCTGACTCAGACGATCAGGATTTAGAGAACTGATGTGGCAACACTAAAAAGGAGCTCTTTAACTGCAAGCAACAAGAAGACAATCAGAACACCATCAAATCAGCAGAACTATACAGAGAAATACTGGAATATGTGTCTATAATCTAGGTGGGCCCTCATCGTCTGCACATTCACACACTTTTCTGGGATGAGAATCCAGAACTGTGATCTGATTTTCTATACGATCCCTGGTCCCTGGATGTGTAACAATGAATGTCCTGAAGCCATCTTGGCCTTCGTTATTTGGGAACTGACGCCTGCACACAAACATGTCACTGAAAACCCCGGCGTGGCAACTTGCAAGCTATTCATTAAGCCCATAGTTCTTCCTACTTGGAAAAAAGTGACATCGCATCTCCTGTCTCCTGTCACATCGCGGGGCCAATAGAATGGAGAAGAGGACGTGCAAAGCACCCCCGGACCATGAGCTGAAAATAAATGAGCCCCAGAACCTATGGCATCCAAGTCCTGTGTTGTGACTCACAGAGGACCTTGCTGTTGAAGCAGGACCTGGACCTCACGTGGCTAAGATAGAAACAAGTACACATATTTTTTCTTAATTGTCTTAGATTTGGGGTTTCATTTGGAAAGCTGTTACCTTTCCTTGATGAACACAACAGGGGGAATCTAGGCTGCTTGACTCCCTGCAGCCTCCCCTTTTTTTATTCTTTTGGCGACAGAGTCTCACTCTGTCACCCAGGCTGAAGGGCAGTGATGCAATCTTGGCTCACTGCAACCTCCGTGTCCTGGGTTCAAGTGGCTCTCCTGCCTCAGCCTCCCGAGTAGCTGGGATTACAGGTGTGCGCCACCACACCAAGCTCATTTTTGTATTTTTAGTAGAGATGGGGTTTCACCATGTTGGCCACGCTGGTCTTCAACTCCTGATCTCAAGTGATCCATCCACCTCAGCCCGCAAAGTGCTGGGATTACAGGCGTGAGCCACCAGGCGTGTCCTGCAGCCTCCCTAAGTGGTATAAATGCACATGCACATGTCCCACCAGCCACACCAGTTGAGGCAAAACTGGAAATCATTGCATGACTGATGTCCAGCCAGTATACTCTTCTGTTCCCAAAATGAATAAAATAAATTTACTAAAGCTTTTGTTATGCAATGCTACACGGCTCAAGAAATGTTTTTGGTTATCAGAAGTAATTTGCATGCTGAAATACTTGCATAAGTAGCAGACACTACTGAGGTTAATAGAAGAAATTGGAAGTCCTTCATAAAATTCCAGCACTATCTATCATAGTACTTTGTATTTTAAGTCAGGTATAAGACCACAAGTTTTGCTGGACAGTAAGCTTTGGCTCATATATAGTAAATAAATGAAATATTATATCAGTTTATAGATAGTATTATTTACCAAATGATAATATTGAATATTGTAACTATATTTGACAACAATTTGCTACTTTACTGTCTTTTATTTTTGCAATGAAGTTTGCATAAAAAATTCAATGTATATTCAGGAAAGCAGATATTTGTATTCTAGAAAATGTATATTAATATTACCAGTATTTCTATTGAAAGTATAATATAAGAAACACTTATAGGATATTATCTGATGATAAACAGTGGAATCTGAATACAAAACAAAGATTGTGGAAACATGCAAAAACTTTTTCTAAATAGTTTACAAACTCTATTATTGATAGAAACAACTGAAAAACTTATCATCTGTTTAAAATTATTTGTAGACTAAAAACGAGAATAAAAATAAAATATATATTCTTGTGTATCTTTTTATGGCCAGATTCGTTTTAATTGTCTCTTCAATGTCAGTCACTATGCATCATTATCCACATTCAGACTACCGTAACACTCAATCTTACCCT
This sequence comes from Homo sapiens, assembly GCF_000001405.40. Taxonomy (NCBI): domain Eukaryota; kingdom Metazoa; phylum Chordata; class Mammalia; order Primates; family Hominidae; genus Homo; species Homo sapiens. Next base: position 2,866,142 of record NC_000008.11, on the reverse strand, counting down.
TTTCTGTTGATGCCTTAGGACATGGTTCTCTCTTTGAATGCACTTACGTAAACATATTTTATTTTATGCTGAAGGTGATATGTTTCTATTATTCACTTAATATAAGTAGACAGAACAGCTTTAATTGCGAAAGTAAACAGTTTTATCTACCAAAACTAAAAGTGTGAGAGACTAATATTGTCTGTATTTAATAAGCCATGTGGATATATCTTTCTATTTGTCTGTAAATCTGTAGGAGATTTGTTCTTATAAGACTCACTATTTGTCATATGTCAACATGGGGAGATTTTAGAAACATATATTTGCAATATGTTTTGCAAAAAGAAAAATCTATCAGCTTTTGGAACCACTGGGAAATAGAAAATCACAAGCAAATACTACAGGCTACTAATTTGACAGAAGTGTTGTCTTAGATGATTCCATTTCTTCAAAAGATGTGAGAAAATCATAGTTATCCAGAAAAATGCCAGCGGAATTCCCATTATTGTCTGTGTGAGTTTTTCATACAAATTAGTGAAGAGTGGGTGGGTGAAAGTTGGTCTTCTGCAATAAATATTAATTTAGATAAACACTGGCTGACAAACTCCTTTTACTTTGGTTATTTTTGGATCATGTCAAAAACTTTCTTTAAATTTCTTGAGTACAAAAATATACAAATAGCCAGCCTCCATGAAGTAAATTGGAATCATAAAACGTTAAAGTATACATATATTACCAATTTCAGGTGATGAAGACTATGACTTTTCCCCCCAAATCAGCTACCATAAATGGCTTGTTGACCCTGTCTTCCATAATGGAAGGTATATAAAGACTGCCCCCCAAAATTGCTGAAGGAGAATTAATACACTAGCTCATCTTTATAGAAGCATTTAACTTGGTCTACATCTTGTTGTGAATTTGCTTCTTAAAACTGCATATTTATTAAATACACTCAAGATAAGTCATAGCAAATGTGTTATTGAAATGTTATGGACCAGTTATGAGGGTGCATTTCGACGAGATTTGATACCCACACATTTTCTCTCTCTCTTTTTTTTTCTTTTTGAGACTGAGTTTCTCTCTTGTCGCCCAGGCTGGAGTGCAATGGCACCATCTCAGCTCACGGCAAACTCCACCTCCCAGGTTCAAGCAATTCTTCTGCTTCAGTCTCCCAAGTAGCTGGGACTACAGGCACCTGCCATCATGCCTGACAAATTTTTTGTATTTTTAGTAGAGATGGGGTTTCACCATGTTGGCCAGGCTGGTCTCAAACTCCTGACCTCAGGGGATCCATTCACCTCAGCTTCCCTAAGTGCTAGGATTACAGGGGTGAGCCACTGCGCCCAGCCTACCCACACATTTTCTAATTGTGATGTACAAGGTTACTTTTCCTGAGAGGATTGGAATATCTTGGGGGCATTATGATTGTTCCCTCAGTTGGTACAAACTACATATAATCAAGTTGCATTTGTTTTTTCTTTTCCCTCCAGCACATTTTTTTCCTTCCCAAACTAAACACTTTCAGAAACTAAGATTCTAATCAACCAGTTTTGATTGTATTAGTGGGTCAAACTCTTTAATATATATCGGGGAGAATTGCTTACTAGGATTTTGTTTATTTATACAGTTAAAATGTGAATAAAAAAATTATATAGTTAAAATGTGAAGATGGGCGTGGTGGCTCATGCCTGTAATCCCAGCACTTTGGGAAGCTAACACGGGTGTATCACCTGAGGTCAGGAGTTTGATACCAGCCTGACCAAACATGGAGAAACCCCGTTTCTACTAAAAATACCAAATTAGTCGAGCGTGGTGGCACATGCCCGTAATCCAAGCTACTAGGGAGGCTAAGGCAGGAGAATTGCTTGAATCTGGGAGGCGGAGGTTGCAGTGAACCGAGATCACACCCTTGCACTCCAGCCTGGACAAAAGAGTGAAACTCCATCTCAAAAAAACAAAAATAAATAAAAAATAAAAAAAGTGAATATACATTTGTTACAAAGAATATAGATGCATATTCTTCCTTGATACCTAAGAATTCTTTTTTAGGAGAAATGCAGTTCCTTCCTCAGGGAAATCAGAGCTATTTTCTTACGTACATTCTTCCTAAAAGCTGTAGGATACAAGTTTTGAGCTGCTGTTGATTATTGGATTATTGCGTATTAATTTGATCATATATTACTTATATTTACCTAGAATTGCAAACATTATTTCATACTGCTTCCCCTGAAAATCACAACAGTTTCAATGATTAGAACTTGACCACAGGACTAGCCATGCAAAAGTTGCAAAGATTGTTGGCAAATTTCTTCAGCTTTTATAGCCTCAGCTTTTTAGTCTTTAAAATGGAAATAATAATAATGGCATACACTTGCTAAGGTGTTTGAGAAGGGAATAGGGAATAATAGATTTAACAGCTTATTCTTAACCACAAATATCTGTCTATAAAATTATTATGTGTAATTTACATGGATAAACTGGAGAATTTGACACTGAGGAATAATTTGAGCAGCATTGTCAAGGTTGAAGCATCTTACGTTTGCATATTGTAAACAGAGCACAGTACCATCCTGTTGCATATTTTAAATAATGCAAACAGCAGATGCACGTTGTCAAACAGCATACTGTTCAGCAAAGTTTTTCAGGTAACTCTACTATAACCCACGATCTTCTCAGAGACGTTGATTATTTATGTCAAGGTCAGGAAAAGGCAATTGCTTGTTTCAAAGCAAAAAATAAAAACTACCAGGAATGAACACCTACGAAATCCAAAGGGGGAAAATCTCATCTTCTGAGTCACATAATTACGATACTCTCTCAGGCAGAAAAAAGTCAGAAACTTTTTCAGTAAGTGCTTGAGGACTTTGATAATGTTTGTTGGTTGGAGTTTCCACTGAGGGTTGGTGCGTTTTAAGGACTTTGATAATGTTTGTTGGTTGGAGTGTCCACTGAGGGTTGGTGCGTTTTAAGGACTTTGATAATGTTTGTTGGTTGGAGTTTCCACTGAGGGTTGGTGCGTTTTAAGGACTTTGATAATGTTTGTTGGTTGGAGTGTCCACTGAGGGTTGGTGCGTTTTAAGGACTTTGATAATGTTTGTTGGTTGGAGTTTCCACTGAGGGTTGGTGCGTTTTAAGGACTTTGGTAATGTTTGTTGGTTGGAGTTTCCACTGAGGGTTGGTGCGTTTTAAGGACTTTGATAATGTTTGTTGGTTGGAGTTTCCGCTAAGGGTTGGTGCGTTTTAAGGACTTTGATAATGTTTGTTGGTTGGAGTGTCCGCTGAGGGTTGGTGCGTTTTAAGGACTTTGATAATGTTTGTTGGTTGGAGTTTCCGCTGAGGGCTGGTGCGTTTTAAGGACTTTGATAATGTTTGTTGGTTGAAGTTTCCACTGAGGGTTGGTGCATTTTAAGGACTTCGATAATGTTTGTTGGTTGGAGTGTCCACTGAGGGTTGGTGCGTTTTAAGGACTTTGATAATGTTTGTTGGTTGAAGTTTCCACTGAGGGTTGGTGCGTTTTAAGGACTTTGATAATGTTGGTTGGTTGGAGTTTCCGCTGAGGGTTGGTGCGTTTTAAGGACTTTGATAATGTTTGTTGGTTGGAGTGTCCACTGAGGGTTGGTGCGTTTTAAGGACTTTGATAATGTTTGTTGGTTGGAGTTTCCACTGAGGGTTGGTGCGTTTTCTCACCTGTAGGACTGGCTCAGGTCTTTCTCCTGCCCTCTAACCTCCCTTGTTTAGAGTATACTCATCAGCGTGATGCAGCCTGCAACCCACAAAAGTTCCGAGTTCTCTTTTGCTTTACTCCCTGCATAAATATGTTCCTATAACGTGGCATTCTGAAACTATATTTCTCTAAAACATTTTAACGTTATGTGTGCATATAACCCAGGGCTTGGAAACAATTTTAGTTGGCTGTACCCATTAACTTGCCCACTCAAAAGAAACTATTTTGATAAACCAGAACTCAAGTATTCTCTCTCACTGACCTGGTATTGAAATGTCCTGAAAACACCAGATTTTCAGCAAAACTGAGTATATATTCTTGGCGAATCCCATGCTTGTGTGAGTGAGCCCTCTGACCATCTAGTGCAGACTGGGATGCAGAAGAGACGGCATTTTCAACCAAGTTTTACTAGGGAATTTTTTTTTTCTAAGAAAAGGAATGCTATGCAATACACACTGTATTGTGTGGGTAATTAAAAATCACCCCAGCCCGTCTGTGGGTAATTAAAAATCATCCTTTTAACCTCAGGATCTAAATGTGAAACCCATAGTCCATATGGTAAGAAACAAGGTAGAATGGTTCACACACAGCAAGCGTAAAGAACAAGGAAACACACGACTTTTCCATTATAAATTCGGTTGGAAAGTCACAGGAGCAGCTTCCCTTCCCCACTTACCTCTAGCCTGAGGCGTCACAAGACAGCCCCGATGGTGGCATTGGCACTGTGTCTGCCTATTCCAGAGGCAGAAATGCCCACTGTACCCCTTTTCTTGGAATCACTTTTCCAACCCAGGTCCTAACAGTTATGCCTAAAAGGGAGACACATGTGGGCAAAGGTGCAATGAGACATCCGAGGACACGGAATTCCCTTGCATTAACAGGTGTGGTGGCTGTGGATTCTATTCAGAACACTTGAGCTTCTGCTAGGATGAAGCCTTCTTCCCACCTCTGAGCTTTGAGGTCCACGTGATTCTCCTCCAGCCGATTCCAGTCCAGTGTCCTAGGGGGACCACAGGCTCTGCTTGCCTGAGTCCAGAGAGTTCTGTATTTTCTCTGCTTCCCTTTGGATGCCTAATTGAAATGCGGAGTTGCTAAGAAGGGATAGAGTGAAAATCCCGGGCAACTCAAAGGTAAGAAAAGGAAAGCCTGCCCAGTGCCTAATAAACACAATCATTCTTCCTGCCTCTCCAGTTAGCCTCACGCCCTGCAGCATTGTTTGAAAAATGGGTGATAACCTAAGCTGGAACTTTGTTTAATCACCCAACCTACTCACAGTAAAATCCTATTTTTCTTGGAATAAAAACATAACTTGTAATGAACTGAAAAATTCCTTTCAAGGCATTTTTTTAAAGAAAATGGATAATATTATATGTGTACTGAATATGTTAATATGCAATTTCCTATATGGGCATACTTTTTTTTAAACACTGTCAATAGTTGGCATCTCAATAGTGCAATTTCCCATAGAGTTATTGTTTGTATTACCTTAAGTTTGGAATTAAAATATGCTATACATCAGTGACTACCAGCCTTTTGTGTGATTCACAGTAGAGTAAGTGTTTTTGTAAAAAAGGATACTGATTCAAAGGTGATAATTTTTTTTTCTTTTTTTTTTTTTTTTTTTTTGAGATAAAGTCTCACTCTGTTGCCCAGGCTGGAGCGCGGTGGCATGATCTCAGCTCACGGCAACCTCTGCCTCCCAGTTTCAAGCAATTTTCCTGTCTCAGCCTCCCAAAAATTCTTATTTTACCAAATAAAAGAACACACACATGCCCACCAGGTACAGTCGAATCATTCATTCATTCATTCATTCAATAAATTTTTTTTAGTAACTACTATTTTTTCTTTGCTGGGAATACAGCAATGGAGAGAAAAATAAAATATCTGTGGATTATGGAGCCAACATCCAGGTAAAATATAGTCACACACCCAGAGAAGTAAGGATAGACACCGTTCAACAATTGACTTCATTGTGCTTTATATTTAAAAAATGCTAAAGCAGTCCTATTATTGCCGATTCCCTTTAGACTTCTGACTGTTTCAGAGATAAGCTGTAGTCCATGGGCAGATGTTAATGAACACTGAGACGCTTGTGAGGACAGACAACCTGTGGACTATTCTAATGAGTGTGTTTTGAAATGCATATATGTAATTGTGCTTTTGGTTTCTATATATTTTTACCATGCCTCCTTCACATATTTCATGTTTTATTTACAATTTTCAGGGTTATGATGTTTTTGAGGTTGTCATCAGTTCTTTTTCTCCACATTCAAAGGGTCGTATTCAATATGAATTATCTGGACATATGCTTCAGAGATTCGAAGCCTTAGGCGAGAGGACGAAGCCATTGAGTATTTGTCAGGTGCGTGGATTCCAAGTGGAAAACAGCAACTGGTCCACGAAATGCATTAGTCTTTGGCAGAATAACGTTGAAATCTTTTCTTTGTGATAAAACTTTTCAGTATGTATGCTTTTCAGATAAAATGCAATGCTAAGATATAACCAACATTTGATTTTCATTATTTTTGCCTTGTAGGTTTGAAATCACAGAGCTGAAACAGATACCTAAAAATTGTAGTGTATCTTCAGTTTTATTTACTTCGAATTCACCTCATTAATCCCCAAACACCAAATATTCCATAAGTTCCTAAACATTGTTTTGTTTTGTTTTGTTTTGTTTGAGACGGAGTCTGACTGTGTCTCGCAGGCTGGAGTGCAGTGGCACCATCTCGGCTCACCACAACCTCCGCCTCCTAGGTTCAAGCGATTCTCCTGCCTCAGCCTACTGAGTAGCTGAGATTACATATGCATGCCACCATGCCTGGCTAATTTTTGTGTTTTTAGTAGAGATGGGGTTTCACCATGTTGGCCAGGCTGGTCTCAAACTCCTGACCTCAGGTAATCCACCCGTCTCGGCCTCCCAAAGTGCTGGGATTACAGACGTGAGCCACCGCGCCCGGCCAACGTTGGGCATTTATAAACCAGGTCTGGGCACCTGCCTGAGCCTGTTATGGAAGAAAATTTTCTCTTGAGTTGTTGCACTTCAGCCTTGTTCTGCCCTTTGATGTTTGCCCAGGAGAAATTTCAAGGAAAAACAATGACAACTTCGTCTCTAGTCATGTTACTTTGAGCCTTCATTTTTTAAAGTCGAGTCTACTTCTACTTATGTTAGTGGTTAATTTCAGCGTTTTCCGTAGCAACAGCGATTCCCTCATAACCCACCTGCAGGTTTTGTATATAAACACTAGCTACACTGTGTTAATCCACCATGTCTGTAAATTCTTCTGCTTTGAAATTATTTAAAAGTTGGATTAGCAATCCTAATAACTAGATTAAAAAATTCATCGACTATGTATCAGCAAAATTTATTGTCTGCTTAAAAACAGCAATTCTAGTATCACCTTTGGACTTAAATAATTATCTTTTTTCCTTAATCACCTGTCTTTTCATTCACTGTCTCCTGTTTCTGGTGTAACTCACAATCTAGAACCACACACAGTGGTTTTGTACACCTTCAGACATGATAGGTTTCTGTATTCATTCTTATTTACAGGAGTTGTTTTTGGACTCAGGTAACTATTTCACAAACAGAACAAAATGCAGTTCTTATCTTGGTTCCTTCGTGGAATATCTCTGCAGCCTTAGGCATCTTATTTCATTATTTCATTTCACTAGGTCTCAGATGCGTCATGCATTAAGCTTGTAAGGGTGGACAATGAGATCTTTAAATTCTCAAAACCTGTGGTTTTATGACAGTAGTTCTGAAAGACAGTTAGGTGCTAAAAATAATTTTATCTGAAATAGCAGCAATGGCATGGAACATGGAAGTTGGCTCTCTGGCCCTTCAGTTTTCTCAAAAGGCTATCAGTGGAGTGTGTGGGACTCTGATGAACGTTTTCCATGCTGGGGATGGCAGGTCGGTGGCAACGCTGCCCTGCTGCTAAATCATCCTCTCATAATATGCTCATCAATGTACCGTCTGTCCAACTCTTGGATTCTCCTTGCCTTCCAGCTATTTGAGTTATACATTAAAGTAAACAAATATGCATGGGTTACTACCATCAGTGAATATAGGAATCATCATATCTCGCCTTATACTTCTGTAAAAGTCAGTGTTTCCTTTGTCCATGCCCACCTCACATAGCAATTCTCTGTCTCCTCTGTGTTCAGAAGTCTCCCAAATTCATGGACACATTACTATTTTGTTTTTCCTTCAGAATCTTGCACTTCCTTATTCTAGTAGGAATTTATTAAATATGGGTCCATTCCCCCAAAATGGAGAGACATCACAAAAAGAGATACTAGGCCAGAGTGCCACCTATTTGCCCAACACTTTATCTCATGTCATCTAGTCACTGTTTATAAGATATATCCACAGGGAAGCGTTACTATCAAAATCCCAAAATGGTCACGGTGAAAGTAGATGCATTTTCACCTCATACTATTCACTCCTGTGCGGCTTCCTAGTCTCATTTTGAGAAATCTTCACTTCAATGCCTATACTGGTCATACTGCTACACATTTTTAAATCCTTTTTTAACTTCAAAAGCAGACTTTTGAAGAAATGATTCAGCATTACGCACATAGCAGACGGGTTAAAAGTCAGGAATCAGAGGACATGCCACTTTGGGTAAAGAGCTTCTCTTGCACAAGGCAGCTGTGTGATTTTACAACTTAATGTCCTCATCTGAAAATGGAGATAACGAGAATAGCCCCTCCGTAGAATGTTGTAGAAACATAATAAGTTAACATGTAAGTATTTAAAACACTGCTTAATACATGCCATGTGCTAGGTGTTACCTATCATTTTTGCTATTGATGTTTCTTCTTCTTCTTTTTTTATTTTTATTTTTTTTTTGAGACGGGGTTTCACTCTTGTTGCCCAGGCTTGGGTGCAATGGTGCGATCTCAGCTCACCTCAACCTCCGCCTCCCGGGTTCAAGCCATTCTCCTGCCGCAGCTTCCCGAGTAGCTGAGATTACAGGCATGTGCCACCACACCCAGCTAATTTTGGATTTTTAGTAGAGACAGGGTTTCTCCATGTTGGTCAGGCTAATCTCAAACTCCTACCTCAGGTGATCCGCCCACCTTGGCCTCCCAAAGTGCTGGGATTACAGGTGTGAGCCACTGCACCTGGCGATGTTTCTTAATATTAGAATTTTCCCCGCAGAGAATTGAGCCTGTTCTTCAATACCTTTCACTAACATTTCTACACATCATCTTATGATGTGTAGAATATACACATTATATATACATATATACACATGTATACATCATCTTGGCTAGACTTTCTTCATGTGATACCAAATGCTACCACAAGAATTTCTCTTAGTCGTTTTAACCTTACAAACTTCCATGAACTCAACCATTCTGAAATTACTATAAAGTATTTATGAATAATAAGAACTTTTTTAAGTTTACATTTCTTAATATTCTTTCAGTCATGTTGTTCCTATTAGTTTTAATTTACTCAAATAAGAATCCTATCATTCTGGCGAGGCTCGGTGGCTCATGCCTATAATCCCAGCCGTTTGGGAGGCTGAGGCGGGCAGATCACCTGACGTTAGGAGTTGAAGACCAATCTGGCCAACATGTTGAAACCCTGTCTCTACTAAAAATACAAAAATTATCTGGGCATGGAGGCGTGTTCCTGTAAATCCAGCTACTTGGGAGGCTGAGAGCCATGAGAATCGCTTGAGCCCGGGGGGCGGAGGTTGCAGTGAGCTGAGATGGGGCCACTGCACTCCAGCCTGGGTGACAGAGTGAGACTCTGACTCAAAAAAAAAAAAAAAATCCTATCCTCTCCCTGTACTAGTTTAGCAACACTGGGCAAGATACTATTGTAAATATCAGTTTTCTTGTCAGCTTAAGGGGATAATCACAAGTATTTATCACTGGTTTCCTTAAAAATTTAATGACCTAATGCATGTGCTTAGCATAGTGCATGTCACATAAAGAGTACTGAAAAATATTAGCAATTTTTCCCCAAAGCATAACACATAGTCATATCCTGGAATGATTTCAAGCTTTTAATAATATTTTTGGAAATCATAATTATATTCCTTAGCTGCTTAAAGAAAATAAAAGTTAATCTAGCAGAACATCAAACTCATAAGTTCAATGAGTTATAATATTAAAGTTGGAAGGAATCTCAGAAAAATTCTAAAATAACTTTTGGTGATATATGAGGAAAGTGAAGGTTTTCATTTCATAAGAAGATGTAAGATAAATGTCACTGGAGTCAGTATGCTGTTATTCATATCATGCTATAAATACCGTAGAATTATTTTATGAAATAAAAAAAGAAACTCAAATTTATTAAATACCTTTCTATGTGAGACATTATCTCTTGAACTATGCCAGTTTTTTTATTCTCATAACAATCTATAAGCTGAAGGCCACGTCTCATTCTGCATGTTCGACAAATGAAGTTAAATCTACTGGTTTTATAGGTTTCCTCTCTGTCTCTCTTTCTTTCTCTCTCTCTCCCTCTGTGTATATCTATTTATATATACACATGTATATATCTATTTATATACACACATGTATATATCTATTTATATATACACATGTATATATCTATCTATATATACACATGTATATATCTATCTATATATACACATGTGTATATATCTATCTATATATACACATGTGTATATATCTATCTATATATACACATGTATATATCTATCTATATATACACATGTGTATATATATCTATCTATATATACACATGTGTATATCTATTTATATGTACACATGTGTGTATATACTTACATATACACAGTTGTATATACACATATATACATTTTATACAGATGTACAAATATATATATGTATATTTATGTGTTTGTTTGTTTTGTAGAGATGGGGTCTCACTATGTTGCCCATGCTGGTCTAAATCTACTGAGCTTAAGTGATCTTCCCACCTCAGTATCCTAAAGTATTAGGATTATAAGCATGAGCCACCAGCCAGATTTTATAGCTATGAAAGCAGCTATACATCATAAATAAAATGTGCATCATAAATAAAATGCAAACTATATTTTCCTACAGATGGACTAATATGGTTAACATTTGAAAACAATGAGACGAATGAGTAGGAAGATGTGGAGTGTTGGTACTCATATACATAATTCATTGGAATGAAAAATGATACAGCGCATGGCAGAAGTCAAAGGGGAAGCAGGCACCTTCTTCACGAGGTGGCAGGAAGGAGAAGAATAAAGGAGCAACTTCCAAACACTTATAAAACCATCAGATCTCTTGAGACTCATTCAGTATCACAAGAACAGCATGGGGGAAATCACCCACATGATTCAATCACCTCCCTCCCTCAACACACAGGGGTTTCAGGTGGAGATAAGATTTGGGTGGGGACACAGAGCCAACCCATATCACTGAGTCTAGTATTTACGTAAAGTTAAGACATATAGACCAAAGGAGTACATTTCACGGTCCAAGAATAAACCCTTATGTTTATGATCAGGTCATTTTTTACACACATAGAAAGACAATTCAATAGGGAAATAATAGTGTTTTAGCAAATGGTTCTAAGTTGCTTATACACGTGGAAAAATTAATCCTAGATCATTACTTCAGACTATGCACAAAATTAACTTAAATGGATCACAGATCTAAATCTAAGGATTAAAATTTTGAACCTTCTCTAATACACCATAGAGTAAAAGCATTGTGATTTTGAAGCAATATGATTAAGACATAACACCAAATAAACCATGAGTGAAAAAAAAATGGACTTCATTTAAATTAAATATGTTTGCTTTTCAGAAGATGCCCCTAAGGAAATGAAAAGACAAGCTAAATATTGGTGGACAGTACCAACAAATCATATATATGTCTGATGATGTTTAAAAAACTTTCAACTCAATAAGTAAAAGTAATAAAATTAAAAATAAAAAAGTTGTATAATAATTGCACAATAGATTTACATTTTTGCTTATTACTTGATGCTGCCAGTCTGGTCTGAATTCTGTTCAGCCCAGTGATATTGCTTTTGGCACCTTGTTTCCATTAAAACATTGTATTGACTATATCCAACCCAATATGTGCAATCAAAAATAAAGCTAAATTGTATTGTATATTTATAAATGCATGACCATTACAAATTTATATATAAATAATAGAAATCTGTGAAATACAAAAAATCTATCTGCATATTCATAAAACTATACAGATAATATACAAAAATATATCTGTATTTTATGTGTGTAAATGTATTTATACATACAAATATAAAAGTTTAATAAATAAATGTATAGTAACTAACAAAACAACAATGATAAAACATATACATCCAGCTGAATATATATATGCATATATACATAAAACTTATGCATAGTAAATCACATTTCCAGCTAAATATATATGTGCATGTATATGGGTAAATAATAATAACGAATAAGATGATAGTAAAGCAATGTTTAAAACTCCAAATTTAGACATAGAATGCTATACGTCATGTTCACACTACCTCTGCACCCTTATTTGATCACCCCGCCATAGGTCAAAGCTATCTGGGCTTTGCTGTATAACTAGAGGTGTTTGCTAGTTCGCCGGCCTCTTCCTAAGTGGGAGGTTGACTGGCTTTGCTTGGCTTTGAGCTTTACGGAAATGGAACCCCACTGTACATGCTCTGCTTCCTTTTTTTTTTCATTTTGGCTTCCACTCCTGAGCTTGTATTACTGTGCTGCAAACTTGGATGGACTGCTGAGTATTGTATCCAAGCAATCGTATGAAAATGTTTTAAAATCTATTGTGATTTTTGTTTTGTTTTGGGGTAAGTAAACTTTTAATTTTAGAACAATTTTAGATTTGCCCAACATTGCAGAGGCGGCCCAGAGAATTTCTGTTCATCCCTTGCCTGGTTTCCACTCTTGCCTCATTGCATCCTAGGTCTCTGTGGGCAACGGCTCACAACCATGGGTCCGACAATGGCAGTTCCTATGAACTACACTTGTAACTTCATTTGCATTTCATGAGTTTCCCCCGTAATGTCCTTTTTCTCTTGCAGGATCCCATCCAGGGGACTTTATTACATTTGGTCTTCATTTCTCCTTAGCCTAGTCTGTTTCATGGTAGTTTTGCAAATGTTCCTTGTGTCTGATGACGTTAGCAGTGTTGAGGAGGTGGGTGGTATTGTGTAGAACGCCCCTAATTTGGCGTTTGTCTGATAGTTTTTCTCCTTATTAGACTGGGGTTACGGGCTTTCGGGAGACTAAAGAGGTAAAGTGCCCTTCTCAACATGCCATGCCAAGAGGATGCGCTATCAGCGTCCCGAGTCACTGATGATGCGGCCTTGGTGGCCTGGCCGCGGCAGTGCTGCTCGAGGCAAGGCTGTGGTTTCCCCCCGCTCACGTGGTGCTCTTTGGAAACAGGTCTCCAAGCACTCAGGAGGCCACAGCAGGGAGTAAATCTCCACCTCCTGGAACAGAGAGCAGCTCATACATTATTTGGAATTCTTCCTATGGGGGATCTTTTTCTCCCCTAGTTATTCATTTTGGCAATCATGTATTCATATCTCCATGGACTCATGCGAATGTGTTTCATGCTTTGGTTCATAATCCAGATTATTCTGGTTTTGGCCTCTGGGGGCTCTGTCCAGTTGGGCCCTACAGCCTTTGACAAGCTCCCCTCTGTATTAATCTGTTCTTGCATTGCTCTAAAGAACTACCTGAGACTGGGTAATTAATAAAGAAAAGGCATTTCCTTGGCTCACAGTTCCACAGGCTGTACAGAAAGCATGATGCTGGCATCTGCCAACTTCTGGGGAGATCTTAGGAAACTTTAATTGTGGTGGAAGGTGAAGAACAAGCAGGCACTTAACATGGCCAGAGCAGAAGCAAGAGACGGAGGGAGTGGGGAGATGCCACACACTTTGAAACAAGCAGATCTCAGGAGAACTCACTATCGCGAGGACAGCAGCAGGGGGAGGGATGGTGATAAGCCATGAGAAAACGCCCCCGTGAGCTAATCACCTCTCACCAGGCCTCACCTCCAGCACTGGGGATTACAATTCAACATGAGATTTGGGTAGGGACACAGATCCAAACCATGTCCCCATCCCTTTATTTTTTGAGCACTTCCTTTCAGGCACTGTAAGATGCCCCAGGCTCATCTTGCTCATGTCCTGCCCCAGAGGTGGAATCAGGCATTTCTTCAAAGAGCGCTGATTCCTTATACTGGAGAAGAGTATTCAGAACCAAGATCTGAATGCTAGTTCTATTCTGTTCTCAGACATTTTGCATATGGGTTCAGGGAAACATCACACACACATTTTTAAAGTTTGAAACTCCACTGTTTGAAACATTACTGATCTTCATAATGCTACAAAATAAAATTTGTATTGAATCACTTGAACGAGGAATAGATAATGTATCAAGTATTAGAGTAATATTACAACAGAATACATGTTTAACTCTTAGTACACTGGAAAATGTAATAGATCTCAAATTCACTGACTTTTTGTCTGTTTTCAATTTGATATTTCAATAAATAAATTGTGCTAATATTTCTATTTTACCTGAATTAAAGTAAATAGTGTCACTGGTCCACTGAATGCCCTCTAACAATAAATTATTATGTTTTAAGTAATATAGGGAAAAGGGGAAAAATGAAAATACATTTTGTTTTCAACACCAAGTTAACTTTTTCACAGAAACATAATTCTGTATTAAGGTTTTGAAGTGGGAGATTTATATAACCCATTGTGGATCACTGAAGATTGCTATTACTATATCTATAGTTAAAGGAGGTGTGACAATAATTTAAAAGGCACTATATAGAAGTGAGTTCCTGAAGGAGCTAGAGTCCTAACATATCTTAATCTTCTATATACCACACATTTTCTACATACATTATATTCATGTTTGTGTATAAAAATAAACACACCCATTTAGAACTGTATGTTTTATGTAACAATTCAGAGGTATATTGCTTTTACTATTGTTTTAGTGTGCAGTGAATAGCTTCCACACAATGTACCATTTGGGAAGTAAGTTAACTTTTTGGTTTCATGACATTCATTATTTGGGGAATATTCATTACTTTGTGGTTATTCCATCTGACATTTCTTCCATGCCATTTTTTTTTTTTTTTTTGTCTCTTCATTTCCCAGAGTTTTACTGTGTTGCCCAGGCTGGAGTGCAGTGGTGCAATCATAGCTCACTATGGCCTCAAACTCCTGGGCTCAAGCCACTCTCCCGCCTCAGCCTCCTGAGTAGCTGGGACTACAGGTGTGCACCATCATGCCCTGCTCCTTCTAGCATTTTATTTCCATGCCTATTAGGCCACAAATATGAAATTTCTTTTAGCTAATGACAATAACTGTGTAACTCCTTACACTTTGTCTCTTTCTTTAACTACCAGGAAACCAGGAATTCTATCTGCAGCTCAGTTTTAGAAATATGTTTTAGTTTCTTGCCCTGGAACACCTTTATTCTTCTGTCGATTATTTTTCTTTTTCTTATTTTACAGTCTCATGGCTAATGGCTTCTATTGTGCTTTTTTGCCGGAAATGGGGTTTCCACTGGGAGTTCGCATTGAATAAGCCCAGGTAATCCTCCTGGAGGATAAGAGATGATGTGGAGAGAACCCTAGCTGGGCGCCAGTCCCAAGCAGCACAGGCACGAGTGTGGACACCTTACACCACCCAGTCTGGGTGGAGAATTGAGGTTACTGCCATCCAGTGAGCTGTTTTCCAAGGACTGCAGCAGAATAGCCAAACTAATCTCAAACCCAAATTACTGGCCATAAGCAAAGCGAGCAAACAATATAGCTAGTACTTTAAAATATTTAGATTGAGATATTTTAGTGTAACTTGTTTCTCAGAAGTAGATAACTAATAAAATAATTCAGGTGTGAGAAAACACAACTGAAATCAATGGTCAAGGGAAACATAATTATACATTTATTATTACTGGGTGTGGGAACAGTACATTGAAATTAATAGCAAATGAGGATTAATTCATTCTTAGCAATTTTGAGGACAATAAAATATTTTCTGCTTATAAAAGAAAGACTATCTGCCTCTGATAAAAATGTCAGTTCCATAAGAAAGGCTGCCCCATGGGGACATTGACTGTTTCCCAGACATAACAAAATTCTGTTTTTAGAGATAGACCCACAAGTATATGGGGAAAAAAATTATGTGATTTAGGATAAAGAGTACACAGAAGTTCAGTAGGGAAAGGTTGATATATTCAATAAATGATGCTGAGTGAATTGGATATTAAGTAGAAAAAATGAATATTGACCCCAATTACACATAATACATAAGCATCAGTTACTAGCACATTATATACCTAAATGTAAAGGTCAAATAATAATAGTTCTAGTACAAAATAGAGAAGAATATCTTCATGCCCTTACGGTATAGAAAGATTTCAATAATCAGACAAAGAAAGCACCAATCAAAAAGGAAAGTTTCGAGAGATTGAACTTTACATTTTAGAACGTCTTTTCATGAAAGAATTAATATGAACACAGTTAATATGTGTTCATAATATGAACAATTAATATGAACACAGTTGGGTACTTGATGATACAAAGAAATTATCTTTTTCATATTGCAAAATGATGTTTTTTAAAATCACTATATTTAGAGATGAATACTGAAATATATACAGATGAAATAACTGAAAAAAAAAAAACTATGCCAGAGAAGGAAAAATGGATGGCATGTGTATTAGTCCGTTTTCACGTTGCTGATAAAGACATACCCGAGACTGGGCAATTTACAAAGGAAAAAGGCTGAATGGAGATCTCACAGTCTACGTGGCTGGGGAGGCCTCACAATCATGGCAGAAGGCAAGGAGGAGCAAGTCACATCTTATGTGGATGGTGGCAGGCAAGGACAGAGCTTGTGCAGAGAAACTCCCATTTTTAAAACCATCAGATCTCGTGAGACTTATTCACTATCTCGAGAATAGCACTGAAAAGACCCAACCCCAGGATTCAATCACCTCCCACAGGATACCTCCCACAACATGTGGGAATTCTGGGAGTTACAAGATGAGATTTGGGTGGGGACACAGAGCAAACCATATCAGCATGATCTACACCAGTGTTTAAAAATTAAGTGTATGGAAATTAAACAACCAACAGTAGTAGGAGGCAGAGAAAAGTAAATATGACTGGTATAGACATCTCCATAACAAAATTACATACTTTTTCTCATAAAGTTATTTCTAGTACATATATTATTTTATTTTTTACAGTTAATCAATAATCTATGCTGACTTTCACTTGGTGGGCAATGAAAAAATACACAAAATTTTGAAAAATCAAAGTCTGGGATGGATGCATTTCTCAGGAAAGAAAATGAGAAATCATAGCCAGGTGTGGTGGCTCATGCCTGTAATCCCAGCACTTTGGGAGGCCGAGGCGGGTGGATCACGAAGTCAGGAGTTTGAGACCAGCCTGGCCAAGATGGTGAAACCCTGTCTCTACTAAAAATACAAAAAGTAGCCAGGCGTGGTGGCAGGTGCCTGTAATCCCAGCTACTCAGGAGGCTGAGGCAGGAGAATCGCTTGAACCTGGGAAGTGGAGGTTGCAGTGAGCCAAGATCATGCCACTGCACTCTAGCCTTGATGATAGAGTAAGACTCCGTAAAAAAAAAAAAAAAAAGGAAAGAAAGAAAAAGAAAGAAAGAGATAAGAAAGAAAGAAAGAAAGAAAATGAGAAATCATAAATTCAAGAAGAGAAGTGTAGAGAATATGCAGAAAAGTTGGGGTAATACTACATACTTTTTCAGGAATTCTAGAGAAAAAAGTCATCAGCACTTCTTCATTTTTTCCTTGCCAGGCAAAAACTGAAGGGCTAATGTCAGGGGAGAAAACCTGTCTCTTTTTAAGGCTTAAGATGATTTAATACCAAGCACTGGGTGGAGCCTGCATCTGCTGTGCCAACCAGGACTTTGGTCAGCAGGAAAGGCGATGACAATATCTCAACATATTGCTCTTGAAATTAAAAAAAATAGGGATAAATGGGCTGGGTGTGGTGGGTCACGCCTGTAATCCCAGCACTTTGGGAAGCCAAGACCAGCAGATCACTTGAGGTCAGGAGTTTGAGACCAGCCTGGTCAACAAGGTGAAACCCCGTCTCTACTAAAAATACAAAATAAAGCTGGGTGTCATGGCGTGTGCCTGTAATTCCAGCTACTAGGGATGCTGAGGCAGGAGAATCACTTGAACCTGGGAGGCTGAGGTTGTTGAGGTTGCAATGAACCTGGGAGGCTGAGGTTGCAATGCCATTGCATTCCAGACTGGGTGATACAGTGAGACTCTGTTTCAACAACAACAACAAAAATAGGGAGAAATGCTGCTTGAAGCCAATTGATCAGGAAGTAGTGGTGCCTCAACCCAATTCACTAGCAGAGGGTAACATTCCCTCAAATCATTTCCTTCTTCCCAAAAGAGGGCAAAAAAGCAGCATCACTCTTAACCACCTGTTGGCTACTGCCCCAGGGGCACCGACCGCACCCACCATATGGGTGGTCTTACAGCCGTGGCTGCCATAACACCCTACCACAGACCCCGTGACTTAAACAGCACAGATGTATTATCTCGCAGTTCTGGAAGCTGCAAGTCTGAGATTAGGGCGCCCACACGGTCAGGTTCTGCCTTCTTCTAGGTTGCAAATGGCCAACTTCTCCCTGTGTCCTCATCTGGCCTTCCTTTGGTGTATTTCCTTTGTGGAGTCACCAAGTCTGTTGGACAACACCCTATGGCATCATTTAACCTTAATTACCTGCCTAAAGGCCTTGTCTCCAAATACAGTCACCCTGGGGCTTCAGGCTTCACCGTATGACTTGCGGCAGGACACAATTTGGTCCCCAGCAAGGGTGCTGACAAAGCGAAACACTATCAGTCGGCAGAGAAGGGACTATTCCATGAGGATATTCAACGCTGGTTCTGCAAAGTATCACCAAAAAGCCCGCTGAAAAGACAAAGCCAGGTTCACTGCTTATGCACCCAGGGCCAGCAGTACTCCCACAGGGAATCCGTGCTGAACCATTAGGTAAAACACAATTCAGGATATTTATTGAGACTGAAAAATCTGACTTATGGTGCATCTTTCAATTCAGGATATTGGTTAATTTGGGGAAAGATTATGATATAATTGTTTAGAATTTGTGGCCAGACAATGCCAAGAATTTTGAGGCCGAATTGTTCAGAAAGTCTTAGACTGTTTTAAACTGGCTTTTGATTTTCCTATTGAAGAACGGATGAGTCTTTGGAGTAAGCAATAAAGTTAGTTGCAACTTTATCTTCTGGTGCAAGCATCTCCTAGGATCCTAAGCGAAACACAAGTAAAGTTATGTTCTTGAAAACAGGGAATTATAAAATCATGTTAATAAAAATGGCAAGCTGCGTGGGTGGTTTCCATCCTCAAAGGAGAACCGACTATCTACAGAGGAAGGAAAGACATCTGGAAGAGGTGGCTTACACTGAAGAGGGAGAAAAAAAAAAAAAGATATTTTACACAACAAAGGCAAACTCAGTAAGATACAACTGCAGTGCCCAAATGGCTTTAAGAACTGAAGAGAAAAACAAATTTAACTAGTACACTTAGAAATTCCATGAAGGAAATGGGAAAACTATGGGTAACGTATGAGATCCATTGAAGCCTCGTATGTATAATTCATCCAAGAACAGTAGACCCTAAAGAAAACAGAAGAGACCCCAGAATATGAATGATGATGAAAAAATATTTAACAATAAAGTTGGTGTATTTGTGATAACTGATGACAAAGAAAATTCACATAACAAGTTATTACAAATGAGAAATAAGATAAACAAAATAATTCAATAATTTGCATTGCTTAATTGTGGAAATCCCAGTAATTCAAAGCATAGTGAAACTCTCATGGTGGAAATAAGGAGTGAAGGTAAGAACACAAAAGTTGACTGAAGGAATGTGAAGCAGGTCAGTGAGTCTCCCTCAACATCCCCTTCTCCCCTAAGGGAGCCGGGGTGTCAAGAGAAATTAAAACAGAACACCCCAGACTCTGGGCGTTGGGTGCAGGCATGCAATACGGTACTCAAAACAGGTTGATGGGCTGAAAGTTAATATCCTGAACTACAAAATCCTTTGTTTCCGCCTTCCAATGGGGCCTCGGAACATTGTCAACCAGTCATATACCTTTCACCCTAGCAGAAGGTTGATGAGATTTTTTTGCTGAAACTTAACCATCACTGAGAACATATATACTTATGCTGATGCTTGGGCCCCCCCCCACCCCACGATGAAACGGCCAGATGGCGGTTGTCACCTGATTACCCTTAAATGACACACACTGGCTGTTAAGACTCGGTTATTCACGCAAGCTTTAATTACCTTCCTAGGCCTCTCTTTTAAATAGAAGTGTGTAAGCAGTCTTGGGCCTCTGTGTGTTCGCGGGAGACTTCTAGAGACCAAGATAAATGTCAAAAAGACCAAAGAAATAAACAAGCAAAGAGAAGTAGGATGTTGGGAAAAAAAGAATCAAAATAGGAGTTGAAGAAAATAAAACTTTAAAAACTTGTGCCACAAAACCAATTAATATCATGAATAAAAAATGGGAAAAGTACCTATCAGTATAAAAATCAGAGACACAATTAGATAGAAATATTAAGACAAAATATATGTGAATTGGAAGGCAGATCCAAGAAAAATAATTCTTATAATGCCCTAAAGGAGTAAAACTGGATGGAGATGCAAGAATTAACAAGCAGTAAAAAATTATTTTTTGTGGATAAAGAAAAATGTGTTTTTGAATTAAAAAGTGACAGTGAATTGCAGAGGAAATAAATTTTACAAATAGTCTGGATATATTGATATACCCAAAAATCCTGAAGATGGAGTCAGAATCACATGCGCTGCCAGATTGTACAAGTAGACAGAATACAAAAGAGAGTCACACTGATACCACCTCTCCTCCACAGTCCTGGAGGCTTGGCACAGTCATCAGTGTCTTTAAGCTACTCAGGCAAATGAAATGTCTTCAAAACCTAGAGAACTCAGGCTACATGGTAAGAGAAAGACTTTTGTCGACGTACCACTTCCCAGGCACTATCCGCATCCCTGTACCCAACCTGAGAAAAGGTTTGAAGTATCCTAAATGTCAGTTAAATCAAATTAGATATCTGTAAGAGAAAATAAAAACAATAACAACAATAACAAAATGGTAAGAAAGAATATTGCAATTTGGGGTTCTCTAACAGTGTGCCCATGCATCGACTATAAAATAGGCATTGTATTAGACCATTTTCATGCTGCTGATAAAGACATACCCGAGACTGGGTAACTGATAAAGGAAAAGAGGTTTCACTGACTCACAGTTCCACGTGGCTGGGGAGACCTCACCATCATGGTGGAAGGGGAACGGCACAAGATACATCTTATATGGCAGCAGAGAAAATAAGAACCAAGCGAAAAGGGTTTCCCCTTATAAAACTCTCAGATCTCGTGAGACTTATTCACTACCAGGAGAAGAGTATGGGGGGAAAATGCCCCCGTGATTCAATTATCTCCAACCAGGTCCCTCCCATGACACATAGGAATTGTGGGAGCTACAATTCACGATGAGATTTGGGTGGAGACACAGCAAAACCATATCAAGCATTTATCAGAAAGTGAAGAAACTTAGGGTTAGAGGACATTCTAGCAATAGCCAAAAACTGATTAAATCTTCTGCAGTACCTTTGAAACATCCCAGAAGTTTATGTGTCTTCAATGCCTTATGGAAATATAATCAGTAGAATTTTAAAGCGTTGTAACAATTTCAAAATGTAATGAAGAAACAAGAAGGTGAAGAGTCAAAATAAGAAAATGGCATAAAACTGCAACATATAGAAAACAAAGCTGAAATAGATATTATGAAACCAAGCAGATCACTTATCAAAAATACATGTAAATGGCTTAATTTGGCCATGAAAAGACCAAGATGATCACATTATTTCAGCTGGTAACTCAATTTTTGATGCGGAGTAGTGGCAACATAGGAACCACTTAGAAAGATACATTTGGCAGCTGGATATAGAAAGAATTAGAGAGGAGAGGTGATCCTTTAGGAGACAGATAAGTTGTTTTGAAGGTGCGTGATGATTAATTTGAAAGAATCCTAGCACCACTGACAGAAATACTAGTCAGTGACAAGAAGGTGAAATGACGCGTTGGATTTTGGACGTGCTGGGCACTGAGGGTAATCGTGTATATTTAGGGCGCTGAAGGTGTGCATATTTTTCATGATTCGGTCTTGGATACCCTCACATATTTCCACACTGCATCTTTTCAACCTTAGCAGGCAAAATGACCTCAATAGAGCCCGGAACCGGAATCCAGAGGACACGGGATGGTCCAGCTCCCACCAGTCTGCTTCTGGGCTGCGCATTTGCTATTACTATGGCACATGTTTATTGTGGAACATTTAAGTGGGAAAATACTTACTGGAGTGTTATTTTTTTCAATTTTAAGACTTTATAAAGTTGTGTGCCATTATCATAATCATGATCATCATCATCATCACCAGTATCTATTCCCCAGCCTCAGCTGGTCCTTCTCTGTTGATAGCTACCGACCAAGATGGTGTCCACCTGTCCCTCAGCCAGTCTCAATGTTAGATGATTTCTTTCTGACCTCCCTTTATGGAGAGCATTTACTTTAGAACACTGCTCATGATGAATTCTTTCTCTGTCCTTTGAGATGTAAATCTTTGTCCAGTCTCTGGCCAGTTTTACAGCTCGGAGCGACTTTTCCAAGGCTATGGGCACCATCCTTCTGGAATGCAATCATCAAGGTAGGGGCCCCTTTCCAGTCTCTGCTGGAGTCCAAGTTGTAAAACTACCTTTCTGTCATAAACACAGGAGAAAATCTACCTTTACTTTGGGGAAAGCAATTAGCAAATGCAGGTGACCTGTGATTCCCCCACTCAGCTCTTGAAACTCTCCATTCTTTTGTTTCAAGGAAGCTGGATTTCCAGACCATATCTGTCTGTGAGCGCTTCCCTATTGCTGGTAAAAGTGTAGGAATAAAATAAATATATAAAATAAAATTTGTTTGCTCATCTTGTACAGTGCAATTTTTCTTTTAAACTACCTAATCTATATCTTGTATTATATGTGTATATACATTTTCTATATTCTGTGTGTGTGTGTGTGTGTGTGTGTGTGTGTGTGTGTGTATGTATTTTGAGAAGGAGTCTTGCTCTGTTTCCAGAGTGGACTGCAGTGGCATGATCTCAGCTCACTGCAACCTCCATCTCCTGGGTTCAAGCAATTCTCCTGCCTCAGCCTCCCGAGTAGATGGAGTTACAGGTGCATGCAACCATGCCCGGTAATTTTTCATATTTGTAGTAGAGACAGGGTTTCACCATGTTGGCCAGCCTGGTCTCAAACTCCTGACCTCAACTGATCTGCCCGCCTCGGCCTCCCAAAGTGCTGGGATTACAGGCACGAGCCACCAGCTCCGGCCCCACATATATATTTTTAACGTCTGATTGACATTGCTACCTAAGTTATTCCTGTTTCTAATAAACTCTAAATGCAGTTTCGTAACACAAAGCCTTTAAAAAGCAGGCTTCTGTTCTCCTTTATTTCCCATGGACACAGTTTAAGATAACTCAATCTTACACAAAGAAAGTAGCATAAGGCTGACAGTACTCAAGTCTGCCTTTAAAGACTTTTATGATTGCTTCCCGCGTTTCTATTAGATTTCTCTGCATTCTTGGTCTTACTGGGCATCTGCCTCACATAATTCTGCAAACATAATGAGTTACATGGTTTAGGAGGTTTCAGTGGCAAGCAGCACATCCATTAACTAGGAAACCCTCCTGAAAAATTTTGGTTAGGATAAGCGACTTCTGAAAGGTAGGGTCCATGTGCGTTTTAAAAATGCTTAGTGAAGTATTTTTGGGGGAGGAGTTAAATTATTTAGATAATTTAAAAATTCTTCTACCTAGTTGCATATGCACCTGTTGCAATCAGGGTCTTAATCACCATTGATTCCTTGGTTCTCTGCATCTCTCTATCACACAGACATGCTACAGGGCGCGTATGGATACCTCACCCCTCTTCTCTACTTTCCACTTTTTTTCCAGAACCTGTCTTCTTTCGGTGTTTCCATCCTGGGGACTCTTTATATTCTTGCATAGATTCTCATTCATCTTTAAATGTTGCTTGACCAGAACAACATGAGGTCAACGTGCATCTCAGGTCCCACACACCTACCAGTGTCCTGGACCTGGGGCTCACTGTGCCCTTTCTCACCTCATACATCCTACGTCATGTTCGTTGTCCTCAACCTGTTCCAGCAATTATCAGACCGGAGTCAGAATCTTACCCCTTGCTTAGTTCAGTGATGATTTCCTCCCTAGCAGGCAGGACTTTTGTGTTCTCTTCTTTATGGAACTAAATTGTTGGACAAACCCAGACGGATAGAGCACCGACCAGGGTTGTCACGTGCGCCTGCCAATGTGTGTTCTCCTAATCAGCACTTCGTCTCCCCCTGATGCTGGTGCTGAGAAGCAGGAACCCACAGACACCGACAAAGACTCCCTGGTCCCCGTCTGACTAGGACATCGATGCCAACTGGCGAGAGTGGGTTAGCATCTGCAATACATCTGAGTCTAGAATACCTTAGAAATTAATTTGCTTCTACCCGGCTTCCTTTTGAGAACTACTGCCATTGCCGCATCCCTAAATAAAGTGATCTGAAAATAAAAAATAAAAAAAAAAAAGGGAAGCCATCTTGTATTTCTAGGCAAAATTAACCTCCCCAAAACTCTAAGGTAAAATTGACCAGGGCGATCTGCATAGACCCACAATTCTCAGCATATGCATATCACACAAGATGAGTCTTTTCATATCACCCTTAGATGCCCTTTGTATAGATTCATTATATACACACAATGTATTATTTTCCAAAACAATGGGATAATCTTGGGAGATTTTTGGAAGCACTAAGAATATGAGTGCTGTATTCCAAGTACTTTTGAGGATGAATTTCAGCTGTACAAAAAGGATGACTGCTTTTTTCCTTTCTTAATTCCTTTAAAATTTTTATTTTTATTTTAAGTTCTGGGGTACATGTGCGGGATGTGCATGTTTGTCACATAAGTGAATGTGTGCCATGGTGGTTTGCTGCACCTATCAAGCCATCACCTAGGTATTAAGTCCAGCATACATCAGCTATGTTTTCCAATGCTCCCCAGGCCCCAGTGTGTGATGTTCCCCTCACCGTGTCCATGTGTTCTCATTGTCCGGCTCCCACTTATAAGTGAGAACATGTGGTGTTTGGTTTTCTGTGCCTGCATTAGTTTGCTGAGGATAATGGCTTCCAGCTCCATCCATGTTCCTGCAAAGAACATGACTATGTTCCTTTTTATGGCTGCATAGTATTTCATAGTGTATATGTACCATACTTTCTTTATCCAGTCTATCATTGATGGGCACTTGTGTTGATTCCATGTCTTTGCTATTGGGAATAGTAATGCAGTGAACACATGCATGCATGTATCTTTGTAATAAAATGATGTATATTCCTTTGGGTATATATGCAGTAATGGGATTGCTGGGTCAAATGGTATTTCTGGTTCTAGATCTTTGCAGATGACTGTTTATTAAGCTACACTCTGAAAACTGTGCAGTAGATATAATTAAATGTAAGATTTTATGTTCCAGAATGGTGCTGCTGAGAAATTGACTCCTAGGCCATCACAGCTGCCAAGCAGGGAGCCCCTTGTCTTTTTTAACAGTCACAGCAGGAAGTGCAGCACTAAATGTGTCCTCTGTGATGTGTATATATTGGTCGGTGTGTAAAAACTGTGCAGAGTAGGAATTTATACATCATAGGGTTAAAAGTATTTTGAACCACGAGGATATGAATATAGAGCCAGCTGTTTGGTGGTTTGAGCCCAGCTGAACAGTTGGTAGCTATTGATTCTGTCTATCAAAACACAGAAACATTGATTGTGTATAAAAACAGTCCTCTTTTCAGAGACCACAAGTCTCCTAGCGATGACTCCACAGGAATGCTGATGAAGGTTCTTAATAATTCCTACAAATATTTGTTTTTTTATAGCATGTTACATTGTGCAAAGTGCTTTCAACTCATGATTTAAATATTGCAATGACCTTATCACTCTGGGTGACCTCGGAATTGCCTTCCAGATTTTTAAACTGTAGGACTATGGATTCAAAGTAGTTTAGTAGAGGAACTGACCTTTAGGCTGATCCATGAAACATGAGTCACTTTGGCATCCAGGAGAATGTGTGTTCCATGATCATAATTTGAAAACTCAGTAGAAGCATGATTCCCACTGCAGGCTCTCTCTGGATGCTGTGGTCAGAAGCTGAACACAGGCTACATGAACTCTTGCTTTATTTCAGCACAGGGCTTCTGATATTGCAATTTATACCATGTTTGTTTCTAGCCATTTTCTTTTAGAGAGTTTTTATTGAGTCTTGCCAAGACTACACAATGTTCACATTAGAAAACCTAAGAGAGCCTTGTGAATAACGGCCCATAAACCTGGGCATATGTGTGTTCCTGAATGTACCCAGCTCGGGGACCAAAAATCAGTAACACTCAACACCTACTGACTATATAAAGATCAGACCAGGGACGTGGTCACACAGATACGTCTATGTGGAGGGGTATTTCAGAAATTAACAAGACAACCTAGAGTGGTAAAACTCAACACCTACTGACCGTATAAAGATCAGACCAGGCATGCGGTCACACAGATAGATGTATGTGGAGGGGTACTTCAGAAATTAACAAGACAACCCAGAGTGCAGGTTAGGTCTGCAACATGAGGCGAATCTCCAGCGATCCTAGGAGGAGTGCAAGCTGGATGGGTGGTACCGTGACGGAGAGAAGCACGTGCCTAATACTTAGAAGAAGAAATTCCAAGTGGAAGTCAAGCTGCCAGTGCTACCTGAGGCCCCTTAATTATGATCAAAATGACACCTACTAATGTTTAATTCTTAATTACAGCTTGTACATATCTTCAAGGTAATTTAAATCAATATGCTAATATTTAAATCAATATGCCACATCCCTTATATCATCATTCTCTCTCTCTGATATCTAAAGGACTTCTTTTCCCCTTTTTTCTCTCATTATCCAGGGCATTCCATTTCACAATTAAGCCTTCTGCTCAGGGAGAGCTTGTCCAGAGAGAGAACGGATGCTGGTAGTGATGAAGGGAGAAACCTGGGGAGGGTCGCATCTCTCAAGATGGAGGGTTATTTGGAGCCAGCACCACATGCTTAAAAACATTTGAGCATTTAAATCATAGATTATTAAAGGAAAAAGGTTATATATCTGAAATGTGGCTAACAAAATTGAATTCTCAAAGACATGCATGTTAAGTTTTAGAAAACGTATCCGTTGGTATTCTTGTTTTGATTTTTCTGTTTTCACCATTTTCCTAGTAGCTTGAGGAGGAGGGATAGCCACAGGGAATAAAACACTTTTTATAACTTTTAACCTAAAAATAATATGTATTTTTCCAGTGCAAGAAACATTATATCATCCTGGGAAATCATAGCTGACCGGGGACCCAGGGAAAACATTATTCTTTGAAAATAGAGTGTACTCAGCTGTTCAGCACCTTTAAAAAGATATCAGAAATCATATTTATTTTCATAGAATTCCGTATCTTGATTTTAATCCAGATTTTAATCCTCCCATGACTTTACCTTTATATCACTATTAAGTTTATTCGCAGATTGGTAAGTATGTCTGATTTTTAAAAAATTTTTCCTGGGAGAACTTGTACTGACGAGAATAGCCCTCTTACTTTAAAATTGCTAAAATCTACTCTCAATGTATCAGCAAAAACAGAGGAACAAAAAAGAAGAAAGAACCTAAAAGATAAAATTATTTTGGGGGGGAGAAAAAGGTTTCCAGATTTGTAGTTATCATAGTTTAGCAGAACTCACCAAAAGTTTAATCTTGTTATAAAATGTTGTAAAAATAATTAGAATGTATTCATAGCGAATCTTAAATCTCTTTTCCCACTTAATTTAGATTCTATAAAATATTGACTTTTTGAAAGAAAAATGTCATTGGGTGCTAAAGAGCTCTTAATAATAATGTTGGCCTCTAATGGACCTAAATATTTGGCTTTAGAATAAGAAGTAAATGAACCTAGAGTGACATTCAATCATTGTAAACGTTGGTGATACAGAAGTGGCCCAGAGTCAAGGAAAGATGAAAACAAACCAAGAATCTAAACTGGTTCTAAAGCTGCAGCTTCTTCCACTCTAGCTCAGGTATCACATTTTAGGAACCTATATACCCAATTTATCTTGCATGATTTTCTCTACTTCTCTTTTTACTGGCATTCATACAATGCTTAACTCAGACAAGATAATAATTTACTTTCTTAATTATCAGCAATTAAGTTAGAAAATGAATAGCCAGAAAAATTTGGAAAATTCCCATATGTTTTGAAATATGTTTTTGAAATACACTGCTAAACATTCTTTTTATCACAAATATATGGTCAAATGTAGAAAATTTTTTGAACTGAATGAAATAATGAATGGAATATAATACCCTTCATATACTAAGAAGGACTCACAAAACATCTGAATGCAAATATCAACAGGGAACAACAAAATATCTTCCTCTGAAAGTAGAAATAAGGCAAGAATGCCCACTCACAGTTCTTCTTAACGCCATGCTGAAATTTGTGCCCACTGAAAAAGGAAAGAGGAACAAAAACAACCTCTAAAATATGTAGCTTAGAAAAGAAGAGTAAAATAGTCATTCTCAAATGACATAATTAAATACATAAAAATCTAAGAGAGATATACATATAAAACATATATATCAAAAAATTTTAAAAACTTTTCTGTATACCAGCAACAAAAAATTCAACAAAATATAATTCATAATAACATCAAAGGTGTGAAATAACTGGAAATAATTACAACAGATTACCATATGTTGTATGGTACCAGAACCATATGTTGGAACTTATACAATTTTATTGGATTATTAAAGGAGATATTTAAAACTGTAGACATAACAGGCTCATGGTTTGGAAGATTTAATATTAAAATATGTCATTTAGGCTGGGCATGGTGGCTCATGCGTGTAATCTCAGCACTTTGGGAGGCCAAAGTAGGACGAAAACTAGAACCCAGGAGTCTGAGACGGCAGTGAGCTATGGTCATGCCACTGCACTCCAGCACTGGCAACAGAGCAAGACCGTGTCTCAACTTTAAAAAAAAAATGTCAATTATTCTCCAATTCATTTTTGGGGTAAGATGCAATTTTAATCAAAAGCAAAAATGTACTGAAACTAACAAGCTGATTCTGAAATTAATGTGGAGATGGAACGATTGAAAGATATCTTAGATATTCTTGAAGATGAACAGGAAAGAGAGCTTGCTACGCAAGAATTCAAGTTTCTACTAAAGCTATGGCAATTTAGGCAGAAAGCTGGTAGTGCCAGGAATGACATCAACCGGTAGAACAAAACAAAGAGCCCCAAAAGAGACGTACACGTGTAGAAGTCCTGTAAGAGGAGACACTCTGGAGCTCTGTGGATGAAGAGAGACCACTCAACAAATGATGCTGGAGCAACTGGATCTCAACTGTGGAAAACCTTCCAAAGGTAACACACAACAGGTCTCCAATCTTAATTAAAAAAAAGGGGGAAAGAACAATTGAAGTCCACACTCTTATAGCAGGAACCATCTCATAACTTGTCAATAATTTTAAAAGCCTGGAATTTTAAGACTGAGTTGAACATGGAGCAATAAAACCCCCATACATTATTATTAAAGTGTGATATTTACACACACGTGTACACACTCATGCTCACTTTGACATGCAGTTTCACACACCTTTATCTAAAATGAGTTTTATAATTTAGAAACCTTTGGAAATTATGCGGCTAATACAGTGGACCTGCCATGTATTAAGAAATCTAAGGTTTGGGCCATCCCCTGCAGTCCAATGTATTTCTGTTTTTCCAGTGACGCATGCAGTGCTCACCCTGAGAGGGACCCCTGCACACTACACAGAGCCGGGAGTTTATTTTACTGCCAATTTTCTCAAATTTAAATAACCATTTTATACTTCCTGGTTTCATAATTGAAGAAATAGAATTCTGTCCTGCATCTTTAAGTGTTTAAGTTACCCGCATTCTATGACCTCCACTTCCCTCCAGCACACCTGCCCTTAAGAGGCTGGCCCTGACGGGCACTAGTGTAAACACACCCCAATGCTCGTAGGTGTGCACCATGCCACGTGCAAGGGCGTTCAGAGCAGCATTGTGTGCGAACCGTGCTGAAAACAGTCAAAATGGCTGTCAACAATGAAATGGATACATCAGTTGAGATACTTGTATACCGTAGAACACTGTGTTGCAATGAAAATGAAGAACTTTATAGCGATGTGTAACTGCGTATAACTGCATGGGGGTGTGTGGTGTTTCCTACCTTCTGTATCCACTCCCACTCTCTTGGTAATGTCTCCAATTATGTGGCTTATCATATGATTTTCTGATGATGCCCAGGTGTTTATTCCTAGCCCGTACCCTTCTCCTCACCTTCCCATTACCTGTATATCCCGTTACCTTCTTGAAATGCCCACTTAGCTGACTACCTTCCAGCGTTAAGCCACAAACAGCCTACATTCAAATCAATTGGAGAAGATGTCTACATTAAAGTAGGTGAAAATCCAACAAATCACTTTCAGCTATCATTTACTTTTGATCATTTGACAACCAAACACTTTTTATATGATTCTTCAGTCATAACCTTTGCAATGTTAGCTACTCCTCTATATTTAACACAAAGAAAACAAAGTGATTTATTTTCTTTTAAGATAATGTTTTATATATGATGATGATTTTTAGTCAAAATAGGATCGTTAAAGAAATAAATGTAAAATAATCGATTGACTTACGATATAATGTTTCATGAAAATGAAGTTTGTTTAAAGATGGGATCGAATTTACTAAAACTCAGCTGGGTGCAGTGGCTCACGCCTGTAATCCCAGCACTTTGGGAGTGGATATGGTTTGGTTCTGTGTCCCCTCCCAGATCTCATGTGGAATTGTAATCCCCAAGTGTCAGGGCAGGGGCCTGGTGGGAGGTGGTAGGTTATGGGGGTGGATTTCCCTGTGCTGTTCTCGTGATAGTGAGTGAATCCTCATGAGATGGATCTTATGGTTTCATGTGTTGGCACCTCCCCTTTTCTCTCTTGCTCTCTCTTTTGCTTTGCTATGGTAAGGTGTGCTTGTGCCCCTTTGCCTTCCGCCATAGTTGTAAGCTTCCTGAGGCCTCGCAGCCATGCTTTCTGTACAGCCTGCAGAACTGGGAGTCACTTTAACCTCTTTTCTTCATAAATTCCCCAGTTTCAGGTAGTTCTTTATAACAGTGTGGAACCAGACTAACACAGGGAAGCTGAGGTGGAAGGAACACTTGAGCCAGGAGTTTGAGACCAGCCTGGTAAACATAGTAAAACCCTGTCTCTATTTCAAAAAATTAAAAATTAGCCAGATGTAATGACACACACCTGTAGTCCCACCTACTCACCTACTCAGGAGGCTGATGTGGGAGGCTTGCTTGACTCCAGGAAGTTGAGGCTGCAGTGAGCTATGATCACACCACTGCACTTCAGCCTGGGCGACTGAGCAAGACCTTGTCTCAAGGAAAAGAAAAGAAGAAATATTGAAGTTACTAATACTAAAATAATATATAGGGAGCCCACTAGAGAAAAGCATTGACATAAAATATATTTAAGTAAAAAATGGAATTTCATTGTAATGTAAAAAAAAACGATATGTTCCTTGCTGCTGAAATCCGCCTTATGGAATAATGAGATCAATACTCACAGAACTGCAGACAATGAAGAACAGTAACCCAAATACTCCTTCCGGAACTGACAGGACTCCTCGCTGCTCACTTCCTCTCACAGGTAACAAGGCATCATTCATCTAAAGATGGTTTCATGGACCCGAAACATGAGCTGAGTGTTGTGAAATCTCTTTAGAAAGATTTTCTAGGGTCACGCTGAATGTTTCTCTTGTCTCTTGATCGGAAACATCTGGTGTCTTTTCTTCCCTGTGGTCTCAAGGTAAAAAAGATGAAGGTTTTCAGTTCTCTTATTTGTTTCTAAATTTTTTTTCTAGAGTGTCCTGCAACCAGTAAGACTATCAAGAAAAACAATTAATATTTGGATAACGTCTTACAAAAGTCTTCCTACATTATCACATTTGATATCAGTATATTAATATACTGGTTAATTAATATATTGGTTTAGCTATTTACTACTTACTATTTTCATCTTTACTACCACCTTCCTAAGGAGGAAAATCAGCCCCAAAGAGGTTGAAGTGACTTGCCTAAAAGTGGACTAAAAAGCAAAGATAGTCCCATCCTGGCCTACTTGCTCAAGATCGATTAAAGCTTCCCAGTCCTGATGAGATCAGAAAACTTCATTTTTGACACACAATTCACATCACAGACATTATACTTTGTGAATTCTTTTAATATGACTTTGTTTCTCTTACTTGAGAATTGGCTCATAAAAGGTCCATTCAGTTCAAAATATTTTCACTTTGTCCTTTCCCATTATCTCCTGAACTTGTCCTGTGAAATTTGTTCTCATCCTTTAGGGTGAAATTAAATACCCACTTCCCTAAAGAGAACTTCTGGAACTCCCAACTTAATGAGGCGCTACTTCCAGGAGTTCTGAGCAAACAAAACAGGCCTGCAGGTCTTGGCATGGCACTTGAGGGTCTGTGCTGGGATTGCTGACTTCTGGGTGTGATTCCCATTACAGATGAGACAGGTGCATGTTATGCAAGAAATGGTGAGACTTTGGAAACGTTTACCTGTTAATCCAGAACTCCATGAGTCTCGGTCATGTAATCTACAAAATGAGGGAAATGTTTCCAATTCCTATGGACTTCAGATAATAATTCAGTTATAAATTAGATTCCTATTTCAGTGATTGTCTGTGTTTAGCAAAGCATGATTATATCCTCTTCCCCTTCAGGGTCAACACTGGCTCTGACTTCCTGGGCCAGCTTCTGTTGACGGCATCTCCAAGTCTAGGCAACTGCCTTGGTCTTGCTGTGGATCTAAATTGGCTGGTTGAATCTAAAGTTTAGGAAAAGGCTTCAGGGCCTGTGGACCTGTGAAGAAGCCTTTCTGTGAATTTCCCTCAAATACCGTCGAGAATGGCTAAGTCTGGATGCGGCTGATCACTTCGCCTCGTGGTCAGGCATCCCCAGAATTGATTTGCTTTGGTGGTGTCCCCATACTGGGGACAGACATTTCACATAAGAGATGGAGGAACTGAAAGTTGTTTCATTTGGGTCATAGAATGATGTTTCCTTTTAATTTCTCTGTAGAAATGTACTTCTTCTCAGGCCTTTTCCTTTTGGTTTTCTCTTATTTTCTTCCATATCCAGGTGAGGTAAGACTGGCCTCTCTGGGGACCCCAAAAATTAGAAGTCAGGAGAGTTACAATGTACTCTTCTCTAGGAAAGAGACTGTCATGCTCACCTGTGATCTAATACAAGTTCCAGACATTTGAAGCAGGGATCTCAGGCAGCATATTTGGAGGTGACACGCCTAGCAATTGATGAACACTATTTACTTGAAAATATTGCTTTGTGTGATTCAAAGAGAAGTGACGAAAAGCATCAAACTGACAATTCAGTGCTACTGGAATTACCTTTAAGAAGGATAGAGGAATTAACTATATTTCATAGATAATACCCAGATGGATTTATGTGCTGACATTTGAATAGGATTATACTAGCATCTGACACTTCCAACTCAGCATCTATCGCTGCGTTCTTCTGTATCAGGAAGTGCTGCTGCCTCTGTTGAAACAGGAATGCACTTACATTCACCAGGTGTGTTTTCTTTTCAAATAGTGAATGCACTCAGTCAGAGCTCCCCAAACCCTCTCCATCTTCAGCCTTGAAATTCTATCAGGCCTCTGTTGTTGAGATCTGTCCTTGGGCAGCTATTAAGGTCACACCACTTTCCCACAGGCAGTGCCACTCCAGGCCATTTTCCATCTCCCCACAGTCTCCAGACTCTTGGCCTTGGTGGTCAACTTTTGCCTTGCCTTGCAGTACATCAGCCATCGTCTCAGTGGGATTCCTAATTCCAGCTGCTCAGCTGATCCCTCCTGACATATGGTCCCTCTTACCCTGAGTCCAGCCCATCTCCGAAGCCACCCTCCTCCCCACAGACTCACGGTCTGTCTCCTTTTTCATCTCATCTGTGTTCTTTCTTATTTAGCACAGTTTTTATGTTCATCTTGCACAATGCTGTCTCTTCCTGAAGACCTGATGCACGTCTCAGAACCTGTGGCCGCCCTGGCTGTGTGTGAAACATTTGGAGATACCTGGAGTACGGACAGTCACCTCTGACTCCCCACTCAGAATCACCAATACTACAGCTCTGGACGGCACGTCTGAGCCATCCAGCCACAACTCTGCAGGAGCTCCCACTGGAGGGTACATTTCCTTTTTCGGCTTTTGTCTAAAGTCAGGCCCTCTGTTTTTGACTCAAAACGGTTAAACAAAAGTTATGGGAGGCCATTGATTTGGACTGAGCTCCTGCACTAGACTCCAACAAACCAGAACAAACCAAAATTAAAGAACTCATAACAGAACAGAAACTTTAAGGAAGCAGATAGTTCACAAATCAGACCAGTTTTTCTTAAAGACAAGAGATTCCAGTGTACTTGAATCAGTGTCATAAGAAAGACCCCTATGCTTTTATCTTTTAAGAAAAGTGACTGGAGGTAACCGATGTTAACCCACCATTTTTTTTTTCTTTTGTGTCTTTCTTGTTCCCACCTTACAAATCTCACTGTCTACCATTGCCCAGGGGAGCTGTCATTCTGTTTTGCAGAAGAGAGACTGCCTCATTCATGAAGCACAGAGAAAAGCCAATTAGGTCTATAAATTTGTTGTAATTGTGTCTTTTTTGTCCTACATTTTGGACCCTGTGTCAAACAGGAAAATCAAACTGATCTGCCCTGATTTCTACTGCCTATGAATCTTCTCTGCCTTAGAATTTTCTACCTCTTTTTCCTTCCAAAAAATCAATAGCTATTTGCAGGGCCTTATAAACCTCTATTCTGCAGTTTTCATTCAAATTAGTGAATACAAAGTAAATCACTTTCAGAAAAAATAAATTCCCATTTTTTGTCGACACGGTAACAGCAGTTTTTTTTTTTTTTTTTTTTTTATGGTACACAGGCTGAAGTGATGTTCCACTGGGAGAAACACTTAAAGTGGTTAGTTCTTGGATGGAAACATATGAAGACCTAATTCTCATGTAATTTCACTTGGTGAATCGAAATTGTAAGATCTGAGAGATTACCTACAAAAAGCAAGTTGATTTTGGATTGTGCAGTGAGTACCATTTGACAGAAGTATTTTAACTCCTATTTTCATTTTATTCCCTTTCTAAAACTAGCTCAGATCATAGTCAGGCGATTGCTTCATTCTCAGCTTTGTGGAGAGTGATATACACAGATTCCAATCCATTCTTCTAATTGCAACTCACTATTCAAAACTTGAAGGCAACAAGGGACTCTCTAAGGGTTATTGGGTGAGTACTACCAAGAGGCTGTGTAGTTTGGCGACAGATGCTCAAAATCACACTGCAGTGTCCTAGTGTTGGACCTGAGACAGGGAAGGTGTCCCTCCCAGTGAAGCATTCAATTTGGAACATAATTACCGCCATGCCATCCCTACTTGATTATCATCAGTTTTCATTAGAGATGGGCTTTCCTCGATCTTAGGATACTTTTATAACATGCAGAAATAGCTTTTGCTCACAAAAAGGATGTACTATCCATTATGAGGAATTTTTCTTCCAGCACAGAAAGAATCACAAATTGCTAAGCTTTCAGATCTGAAGGAGACAACAGGAAAGGATCTCCGCATTGAACAGAATGTGGTTTATAGGAGCCAGAGGTCCAGATAACAGGGGATTATTTTAAAAATCTAGCACCTTCTGAAATTCTATTCCGCCCTCCTTATTCTGCATTCAGAAGAGATCTTTTGGAATTGTAAGACAATTTCGTACAGGAAATACAAAGACTGATGTGATCAGTTTTACCTTTCTGGCGTCTTTTATATTATTTTCTCTCTTTCCATTACTCCTATTTCCCCCCCCTTTTTTTTTTTGTAAGAAATAGAATTATCCAGTGTAGTCATGACAGAGCCTTGTGTCATTGGGTCCTAAAACACACTGAAACAAATGCCATCAGGCTCCAGAGTCAAAACGCCGCAAAGAATATTCACCTTAGAACCAAAGTATCAAAATACTGCAATAAAATACATGTTCTCAGAATCATGCTCCACATTTTTCTAAATCAGATTATTTCACTTCTATCCCTTCAGAATTGTCAATCACCAAACTACGCCTTTGAAGTTGGCTGGGAGGTCACAGGTTTCTTCTCTGTTCGCTCACATAAGGTTTTCTCCTGTTGATGATTTTGAACACTGGCATCTCAGCCAGTGAAGCTGAAAGAAGAGGAAATTTCATTTTCCAGATGTTTTTCTCTAAGAAGATAAGACTATCAGAACTATCTGTCCTCCTTTCATTTTCTCTCATGGTTTTTGATCATAAAATAGAGTATGAATCACTTTGTGATTTCTTTGTGGTTTCTCCCTTTCTTTTCAACCATTTCCCACGTCTAAGCTCAGTGCTGACAATAATGTGGACAATTGACATTTACAAAGCACCCAGCAGGAATCCGTGTCCCTCACGGTGGACATCAGCATCAGCCCCATTTCACAGATGGGAAAGAAAACTTGATAATAAAAGTGTAGTGAATTGTGCAAGACCAGTCAAGTAGTAGGCGGACAGTCTCTTCTTCTCTAATCCAGTAGCTTGTAATTATTCGTTTCTATAATGTCGTGCAAACAATAGCTTATTTAAAACATAGAATAATGTTGCCAAACTTTTAAAAATGGCAACAGAATAGTTTTCTCTCTGTTGCTTGGGAATCAGATTTGACAAAGTTTGTGGACCTGGATAGTTCCAGCTGAGAAATTCTGCCTTTGAACTCAGCAGGTTGGAAGGGATGGAGTGGGGGAAGAGTTTTCTCTTCTTCCTTGATTCTCAGGTGTCGTTACTGAGAGTCTCTGAGAAGGCAAGGACACAGGATGGGGCATGACCAGGACCAAGCAGAGGCTTCCTCAAGCCCCCGACAGAGCTGCTTCACTGCTTCCTGCCCAGGTGCTTCTGTGCCCATCCACCCACCCTCCCCAGAATGGGTCTGGAGCCGGTCACCTGCCAAGTCCTAACACAGCCATCAATCTGCTGAGGTTCCAGCCCATTCCAGTCACTTGTTTTGAATTTGTTTGGAATGAACTTGTATCACTTCAACATTTATATTTTAAGCACTTTAAAACTTGCTTTTTTTGAAATGGAGTCTTACTCTGTCGCCCAAGCTGAAGTGTGGTGGCATGATCTCGGCTTACTACAACCTCCATCTCTGGGGTTCAAACGAATCTCCCTGCCTCAGCCTCCTGAGTAGCTGGGACTACAGGCATGAGCCACCATATCTGACTCATTTTTGTATTTTTAGTAGAGACGGGTTTTCACCAGGATGGCCAGGCTGGTCTCTAAACTCCTGATCGCAGGTGATCTGCCTGCCTCAGCCTCCCAAAGTTCTGGGATTACAGGCTTGCGCCACCATTCCTGGGCTAAAAGGTGTTTTGTTTGTTTGTTTTAGTTGTTTCCTTAAATTGGCTATGTCATGAGATGATGCTCCGTGGAACACTGGGTTGGGTAAAAGTGAAACAGTGAAGCAAGACAGGAATAATTTTTGGAAAGTTAATGTCAGTATGAGGGGTAACTTTTACCATGTATTTTCTTTTTCCTTGTCTTTTTGCACTTAGAATCTTTCCCTATCAGCTTTCTGAATAAATATCTAGTCTCCTGCAATTGATGTCCGTTAAACTGAGATTTTTTATTTACATATGTAAATAAATGGCTCAGGTAATGAAAAAACACAGCATTGTAATCACAAGAATGGACTAAATCCTTCACGGAGGAAAAGACTCAAGTGGTTCATGGAAAATGACACCAGGCTTCAAGCTCCCTGTCTTACTTGTAGGTTAGAACAAGGCCCTGAAACTTGTCTTTTCTAAAATATTTAAAACACGCTCATCCAACAGGCCACATGCTGCCCAGGGTGGCTTTGAATGTGGCTTAACACAAATTCATAAACTTTCTTAAAACGTTATGAGATTTTTTTTTTCTCATCAGCTATCATTAGTGTTAGTGTAGTTTATGTGTGGCCCAGTGAATTCTTCTTCTTCCAGTGTGGCCCAGGGAAGCCAGGATATTAGACGCCCCTGCCTTAAAAGCTGAAATGCAATTAAGAATCAGGGAAATCCCATCTTCCAGTCTGCATCATCTGGTTTTCCGTGGAGATTCCTGTTGAACGATTCCCTCGTTATCTCCTCACGATGCCCCACGGCACTGGCAATATGCATTTCAAAATGCCAGTAGGTGGTTTTGTTGGTTGATCCTTGAGCATGTACAGTTGTTGGTGGATTAGAAAGCGCAGACGAGCTTTGAATTTCTGTAGATTGGGGTTGAAATTTTGTGTTATTAGCTGTGAGACTGTGGGACACACACAGGGATGGCAGCACCTCTCTAATCCAATGTTTTTAACAACTAAATAATACATGCCATGCGTTAGCATGTACCAGCTATGCAACAAACATTGGATTGCTTTCTACTTCTACCTACTTATCTTATTATTTTATATTTTATTCATTTATTTATTTATTTTTGAGGCAGAGACTCGCTCTACTGCCTGGGCTGGAGTGCAATGGTGTGATCTCGGCTCACTGCAACCTTTGCCTCCTGGACTCAAGCAATTCTCCTTCCTCAGCCTCCTGAGTAGCTGGGGTTATAGGCACCTACCCCTATGCCCAGCTAATTTTTGTATTTTTAGTAGAGATGGGGTTCCACTACATTGGCCAGGCTAGTCTCAAACTCCTAAGCTCAAATGATCCACCCAGCTTAGCCTACCAAAGTGCTGGGATTACAGGCGTGAGCTACTGCACCCGGCCTACTTATTTCTTAAATTTAAAAACAGAAATTCCAAGGAAACGTTAAATAAACTTCTGAATAAACAATTACTAGAAGCTACTTTTATTTTTCACAATTTATAGAAATAAGTATAAAATAACCAAGTCATTACAAGCTTAAAGCAATGTTTCTCAATCCTGTTTTTGGGTCGCAAAGTCCTCTGAGTGCAAAGGACGGCTGTTTCCTCACCCCCAGTGCACTGTGCGTGTGGATACAACCACAGATGTTTCTATGCCATGTGGGGGTTCCCCCATGTCTTTTTTCTTTTCTTTTGTTTTTTTTTTTTTTTGAGACGGAGTCTCGCTGTCTCCCAGGCTGGAGTGCAGTGGCGCGATCTCGGCTCACTTCAATCTCCGCCTCCCAGGTTGACGCCATTCTCCTGCCTCAGCCTCCCGAGTAGCTGGGACTACAGGCGCCCGCCACCACGCCCGGCTAATTTTTTTTTGTATTTTTAGTAGAGACGGGTTTTTGCCGTGTTCACCACGCTGGTCTCGATCTCCTGACCTCGTGATCCGCCCGCCTCAACCTCCCAAAATGCTGGGATTACAGGCGTGAGCCACCGCGCCCGGCCTCCCCCATGTCTTAAAGTCTGTGCATGGGTCTTCAGTTTTAAAATTTCTGTATTGTGGAATCATTTAGACTTTTTTTGATAAATCAGGCAAGCACGTCTATATTTCTATATAATAGCAAAAGAGAAATTTGCATTCATCAGCCTGCACGCTCAGAAAGAAGTCTTTGATTTCTTCCCGAAAGTGTGGTTCTCCAAGCTGCAATAGCGACAGTGACGCAGGCACAATGACAGAGACAGTCCTATGCCCGGGCCCTTCATGCCCAGAGCCCTGCAAAGACGCTGGCAGGACAGGCAGTCGCCTCATGTTCTGACTTGCAATGGCCATGCCTTCTCGACCATCATGGTTTTTCTCATTGCCTTTCTCCCTCCCACTCAGAGCGGATGCACACCTGGCCTTCAGGCCCTTCTGTGCAGGCTTCGGTCCCACTGACCCACGCCTTCCTCCCTAAGGACTCCGTGAGGAGGATCTTGTCTCAAGAGGCAACAATTTAAATATGAATTTTTTAGGGGAAATTAAAATACGGATTTTCAAATTTCTCTTTCTTGCTAAACAGAAATATTAAGGTGAACTTTTAAAAATAAAGTGCTGGCCAGGCACAGTGGCTCACACCTGTAATCCCAGCACTTTGGGAGGCCGAGGTGGGCGGATCACGAGGTCAGGAGATCGATACCATCCTGGCTAACACGGTGAAAACCAGTCTCTACCAAAAATGCAAAAAAATAGCCGGGCGTGGTGGCGGGCACCTGTAGTCCCAGCTACTCGGGAGGCTGAGGCAGGAGAATGGCGTGAACTCGGGAGGCGGAGTTTGCAGTGAGACTAGATCGCGCCACTGCACTCCAGCCTGGGCGACAGGGCGAGACTCCATCTCAAAAAAATTAAAAAATGAAATAAAGTGCAGCTGACCAAGGAACAATTTGAGGGTTCGAGGCGCCCAACTCCCCATGCCGTCAAAAAATCCATGTATAACTTTGGACCCCCTCACAACTTAACTATTAATATAACCCACTGTTGGCCAGAAACCCTGCCAACAACATAAATGGTTGAATAACACATATTCTGTATGTTACATGTATTATATACTGTATTCTTTCAGTAGCATAAGCCACAGAAAAGAAAATGCAATTAAGAAAATCCTAAGAAAGAGAAAACAGATTTCCTATTTGTGAAGTGCAAGTGGATCATCATAAAGGTCCTCATGCTCATTGTCTTCTTTTCCTGTCAGCTGAGGAGGGGGAGGAAGGCGAGGGGCTGGTCTTGCTGTCTCGGGGGTGGCGGAGGCAGAAGAAAACCCACAGGTAAGTGTACCCACAGGTAAGTGTACACACGCAGCTCTAACCTGTGTTATTCAAAGGTCAACTGTGTAGTTCGTGTTCTATTTCTTACAACTGTGTGATTTTAGGAAAATTACACTCATTGAGCCTCAGTTTTGTCATCTCTAAACTGGGAGTAATAGTGTCTATTTTAAGGATATACTGAAAGTCTAAATAAGACAACAGTAGAAATGGATTTGGCTGTCAGCACTCAGGAGGAAGACATTTCAGGTTTCTTTATTTCTTATTTAGGAAACATCTATCTCCCAGCTCCCACTCACTGGGACAGAAGATAATTCCAACAGCTGCTTTGCCAACTACCATCAAACTGTATAGGATTTCCTGGCCAGGCTGGTGCTGAGGAGAAGTGGTCAGCAGGCAATGGTTGGGGCCATCATTTTAGCTGTGACGTGTGTGTGCCAAGCAGGGCTGATAACACCTCTGCACATTCCTGCCATGGAATCAACAGAGTCCTGCGAGATGGCTCTCTCCTGTTGATTAGAGACTCACGCTTCAGGGCCTGCCTCTGTGCTCTGAAGGAGACAGTTCTTACCATCCAGAGGCAGCAAGAATCCCAGCAGTCACCATCCAGCACAGGCTAGGCTCTCTCCTATTATAAAAACCTACGGCTCCCTGTCATAGCCCTCCCTGTCTGCCCTGCCTCCCAGTTAGCTGTGGAATCCAGTCCTCCATCTACAACTTCAGCCCTAAAAATGCCCAGGCCTCTGTCCTTATTGTCTAAGGGACTGCTCAGCTCTATCCTCCTGTCAGCGTTACAAAACAGTATCTGTTTACTATCCTGATAGAGGAAAAGGGCAGCGTAGAATAAAGTCCATTATATTTTTGAATGCTCCAGAATTGTTATGCAGAACATAGCAAACATTAATATTACATAGTTTGTCCTTTCTCTTACGTGAGCACATGGTCACAATGTTTGACAGACATTCAGAGCTGAGTAAGTGTCAGGTTCCATCCTTTACTATGAGCTAATATGCTTTAGGAGAGCTAATGTGGGCCGGGTGTGGTGGCTCACGCCTGTAATCCCAACACTTTGGGAAGCTGAGGCGGATGGATCAGCTGAGGTCAGGAGTTCCAGACCAGCCTGGCCAACATGGTGAAACCCTGTCTCTACTAAAAACAC
Organism: Homo sapiens; assembly: GCF_000001405.40. Classification (NCBI taxonomy): domain Eukaryota; kingdom Metazoa; phylum Chordata; class Mammalia; order Primates; family Hominidae; genus Homo; species Homo sapiens. Next base: position 2,824,296 of record NC_000008.11, on the reverse strand, counting down.
AAAAATTAGCCGGGCATGGTGGCGCGCGCCTGTAATTGTAACTACTCAGGAGGCTGAGGCAGGAGAATGGCTTGAACCCAGGAGGCAGAGGTTGCAGTGAGCCCAGATCGCGCCACTGCACTCCAGCCTGGGCGATAGAGTGAGAATCCGTCTCAAAAAAAAAAAAAAAAAAAAAAAAGAGAGAGAGAGAGAGCTAATGTGCCAGAGTTTTCTGATAGCAAGCTTTTCAAAAGAATGCAACGAGTAAAAAAAAAAAAAAAAAAAATCACTTAAAATGAAGGCCATATATGTTACGTAGTGTTTTTTTTTAAACCAATTATTCATCTACTAGAATTGGAATAACAGGCATTTAAGATCAGCACATATAACAAGGAGAAAAAGCATTTGTAGTTACATTATTCTTCATACTCGCTCTGAAAAAGTTGTCTAAATTCAGACAACTAATTAATTGCGAACTGTAACTTATTTTCTTTGTAAGGACATATTTTTAAAAGTATAAAGCCAAACATATAAATTAGGTAATATAATGCTTTATATTTCTTTCTATTCAGTAATGTTTTCAAAATTCCTAAAGGTTTTCCAACACCATTTTATTGACAATTATCCTCCTAGCAACCATAATTTAAATATTGAGTGTTTTCTGAAAAGTTTGCATGGACTGTGTAATTTAATGCCCCGCAAAGCATCATGATGTAAGATAATTATTATCTCTGTTTCATAGATGAGAAAATGGATCACTCGGTTGCAAGTAATTTGCCGTATTTATGTTCACAGAATAAGGGGGTGGCAGAAGAGAAACGGAAATCCTTTATGTTTGCTATAGAAGCCAAAATAATTAAAAGTTAAATTAGATTTTTTGAAACAAAAGCACATACTGTGTTTTTAAAATATAATACTAAACTCATTTTAGACTTTTCCTGATGATATTAATACTGTTTCTAGCATACATGGTAAAATATATGTGTCTAATTTGAAATTTGGTATGAGTAGTATGTTCTTTTTTGTTTGATTTTCTTTATTTCGAAATCCGAAGTTAGACAAAAGCAGATAGTAGGCTGTAGACTAATTACATGCACAAAGATTCTAAGAATTTTCTGCACTTACTCTGTCATCTCAGCTGTTTTCCCGCCTCCTCGCCTTTCCCTGTTCTGTTCAAGTAAGTTCTATACCATTTGAACTGGGTGCCATGTTCTAGATAAGTGGAATCCAAACACATCCAGAATGACAGGCCGCTCTCTTCTCTGTTTAGGGGAAAGCAATTTCCTTACCACTTCCTAGTTATAAGATCAATAGCTCAGAGAGGAGCTAATAGAGTCACTGTTGTTTCCAGGAGGCTAATGTCCATTTGGAAGAGATTTGTGCCATGATACTTAGGTGGACCTATTGTTTGCCTCTTCTCTGTGGGGTTTTGGGAGGAGAGTTGTGTTCTGTGTGCATATCCATCACTGTCACAGCTGGCTCAAACCCCCATAGCAACTTCCTTCTCTCTGTCTCCTCTCTCTCCACCTGGAGACACGGTCTCGAGCTTCAACAATGGATTCAAGCCAGGCTGAGTAAGGTCACAGGAAAAGATGTCAAGAAAACCAGACTGTCAATACCAGAACCAGATGAACAAACTTCTTTTTTTTTTTTTGAGATGGAGTTTCACTCTGTTGCTCAGGCTGGAGCACCATCTTGGCTCACTGCAACCTCTGCCTCCTTGCTTTAAGCAATTCTCCTGCCTCAGCCTCCTGAGTAGCTGAAATTACAGGCATGTGTCACCATGCCAGGCTAAGGTTTGTAGTTTTTTAGTAGAGATGGGGTTTCACCATGTCGGCCAGGCTGGTCTTGAATCCCTGACCTCAGGTGATCTACCTGCCTTTGTCTCCCAAAGTGCTGGGATTACAGGTGTGAGATGCTGCACCTGGGTAAGAAACTTAGTATCACTAAAAATGAGTGAACCAAAGAGTTAGTGCCTCCTGATATGACATAACAGAAAGGACATAGCAACATCCATAAAACCGAGTCAAGTCTTTAGTCAAAAAACTGAGTCAAGTCTAGAGAATATGGATAAAGGAACTAGTTTTAAAAACACCAGCAAGAAGGCAACAAATAACAAAATGAAAAATATTCTACAAAATAACTAACTTGATTTTTTCAACAAGTTAGGGCACTAAAATATAATGTTGCACGTGGAAGTGTACTATGCATTAAAACAGCTTCAGAGTTTACAAAGCATCCAAACCTAATGTGTGTTCTTGTTTGGATCCTGGTCCAAAACAACCAATACATTAAAATCATTTGGAGACAGGAAAATTGGAGTTACCTGTAGGTACCTGATGATACTGAGGAACTACTGTTATTTTTATCAAGCGTGATAATTTCATTTTGGTTATGTATCTTAAAAAGTCCATAATTTTCATGAATACATGTAGAGAAATTATGGCACCATGTCTTGGATTTGCTTTAAAAGTTTCAGCTGGGTGCAGCGAATCCCATCTATGATCCCAGCACTTTGGGAGGCTGGGGCAGGTGGATTGCTTGAGGCCAGGAGTTCAAACCACCCTGGGTAACATATTGAGACCCTGTCTCTATAAAACAGAAAAATTAGCTGAGTGTGGTGGCATGTGCCTGTAGTACCAGCTACTCAGGAGGCTGAGGTGAGAGGATCACCTGGGCCTGGGGAAGCTGAGGCTGCAGTGAGCTGTCATTATGCCATTGCACTCCAGCCTGGGCAACAGAGTGAGACCCTGCCTCAAAAAAAAAAAAAAGTTTCAATAAATAAGCGAACAGAGAATTAGATGAAGATGGTAAAACAATAAGATGGTAAAATCTTCATAATTTCAATCTGGATGGTTGATATGTGATGCACATATACAATTTATAACATTTAGGGTGTGTTTGAAAGTTCTCATCAAATTTTAAAATATATATTGATTAATAATTCAGAGAAAGAAGGATTAATATGTAAGAACTTTCAAATTATGGGTTAAGTGGCAGACATTTTAGTTAATTTAACTTGCATCATTCAAAAGTGAATAAATTGTGGTACATATTTTACCTATAGATTATTTGTGTTTTTATCCTAATTTCACATTTGAACTTATTTTTCATTAACATTCTCAAAAGCAAGCTAGGTATAAAATGCAAATAAAAATAAACCCAGAAAAGGTTAACTTTGGAATTTTGTGGGTAGCAGTAAAATATTTTGGAAACTGAAAAGCAATTTTCTATAAAGATTAAAATAACTAAATGGAGATTTATTTCATTTACTTAGCTTTTGCATCAAAATAAATGTGTATTCATAAAAATAAGCTGAAATGAATACTTTGTAAGAAATAATAATAAAATTTCAGGTCATATCCTACTTAATTACTCAAAATATGAAGCTGGTTAAAAAAACAGACTTTCTTTTACATCTAGATGCAGAAATTTTAAGAATTTATTACAATACATTAATATTTAAAAATGATAATTTTACAGCTCAACCTAGTATAATGTGCACTTAGACTATTCTCAATACAATATGCTTGATTCATTTACATACTTATAGATGTAAAATACTTTCCTTTAATAAGAACTACTTTATTATCTAAACAATTGGCACCTGCCATATTTTGAAGGATATTCATCTATTATATAAAAAATATCATATTAAAGTTTAGTGGGAACTATAGTTTTTGTATTAAGTTGAAAACCTATTATTTAAAAAGAAAAAAAAGATGTTACCTTTTCTGGCATTTAGAAAAGTAACAGACTTTTTTTTTTTTTTTTTTTTTTTGAGATGGAGTCTCAATCTGTCGCCCAGGCTGGAGTACAGTGGCACAGTCTCAGTTCACTGCAACCTCTGCCTCCTGAGTTCAAGCAATTCTCCTGCCTCAGCCTCCCAAGTAGCTGGGATTACAGGTGTGCGCCACCACACCCGGCTAATTTTTGTATTTTTAGTAGAGATGGGGTTTCAGCATGTTGGCCAGGCTGGTCTCAAACTCCTGACCTCAAGTGATCTGCATGCCTCAGCCTCCCAAAATGCTGGGATTATAGGCATGAACCACTGCGCCAGGCCGTAACAGAGTATTTTTAAGTTGAATTCTATTTTCCTTAATGAAGAGACCTGTGTGGCTTATTTTTCACAGATGCACATATTTGTTTTAACCTGATTTTTATTTGTTTTCTTATTTGTGAGCCCAAATGAAATTATTGTGTCTTTACTGTGAGATAAGTCTTCTTTTTGAAATTCTGCAGACATACATAGTATGCTAAATAGTTAGTAACTGCTGATGATAAGAAATAAGCATGTTAGGTAGTTGTCATCTTGTATCAGTCACTATCTTATAATTATTAGATATCACAGAAGATTGTTTTCAAATTTTGGCATTAAAAAATTTGTAATTCACTTCCAGAAATGGAAAAGTGTGTATTTAGCCATGCATGCATTTACATATGAATGCTGAAAATGTTTGTTACTCCTTTATATGCCTATTGTAAGAGAAATACAGAAACAAACAATATTAATTTTAAAAAGTAGAATGTTCAAGTACTGTGCAGATCCCAACCCGTTCCACAGAAGACCTCCAAGTTTCCTGTTTCTTTTTTTTTTTCTTTTTTTGTCTTCATGTTTTTCTACTTGTGCTTGGTGCCTGAGACAAAATCACTTACGAAAGACTGGCACAACTTGTAATTTCTTGTCCTTAATTTTTGTTCACAATTTACTTTTTCTGCTTTGCGAAGGTTTTTCTATTATCCGTCAAAGCTGGGATGAAAGCCACCTTGTTGAATATTAACCCAATTATATCTTTAAAAATGGTATGTTTTGATTCAAAATATTTAAAGGAACTTGGTGTGAAATGTCTTCACCAATGTATGGCTTTGTGTTGTCACCATTTCTGCAAACGTCTTACCTTTCTAATAGCAAAAGACTAGCCAGACATTGTGTCTTAGATACACTGTTGGTGGCAAACACTTGGTACCTCAGAAAAAAAGGAAAGCCAGCTGTGTGTGAAGCAGTGTGTCTCTGTCACCATCAGTGATGCTGGCTGTAGAAACCCCAAATCCTAGAAGACATCGAAATATTTTCTAAGTCATCAAAGAGTGATTACATATAATGCAATGCAGTTTTGGTTAAATGCACATTGTGGCATTATCCTTCAAAAGTTGGTCGTTTATATAATAAATACTAACAAGGTTATACCTATTAAAATGGACTTTTAAAAATCAAATTTGGTTAGAAAAAATGCTTTTCTATGAAAGCTGAATGTTAAAAATCTCATTGCAGTCTACCTCACGGATTACAATGTGACTATCGTTGACTTCAGAAGTGTACCCTGCTATGTAAACGCTAATTAACAAACGCAGCAACAATAGACAAGCACCGTTGCATTCTGACAGTTCGTTTCTAGATGAGAAGTCACTATATCATCGTCAATCCCAAATCTAAGACGGCAATTTGAGTTTCCTGCATGATGGTCTGCTGGCTTCCATCACTCTAGTAATATGACTCAAACGTGTTTTCTCAGCTGATAGAAAGTGACAAGCACTTAGCTCAGTCATTCGTTACAGAGCTGCACACAGGGGAAGCAGCACTGTCATTTTAGAGGCTGACAATGATAACTGGAAGGGTTAATTTGTGCCCAGCCAAGAAAAGAGCAGGATTTCTGATTTCACAGAAAGCAACTTGCCCCTTCACCAGGAGCTTTACATAGTCACATGGGCTTCTTACGGCCAAATGGGTGAGTTCAGAACAGATTTATGTACATTTAAGTTACAGACGTTGCCCAGAGAACGTGGCATGCAGTAATTTTGCCCTTAAAAACAAAAATGCTATGAAGAAACCAGGCTCTGTGAAGAGGTTACATCTTTTTTTTTAGTGATAGATATAAAATGTAAATTAATTTCTACAGCTATTCTGAGAATATCGATTAGAAGCTCTTTTTTTCCATAAATTATTTTGTGTTATAAAATAGCAACAGTGACATCCAGTGTTTAGTAAAATTAATGGCAGGTTGTCCCTGAGGACCATTAAAGACATTAATGCTTTTGAATAAAGACGTATGTGCTTATTTTTACATAAGAACTGTATTAGTCTGTTTTCACAGACTAATCGGGTATGTCTATGCAGATCTAGACATACCCGAGACTGGGCAATTTACAAAAGAAACTGGTTAAATGGACTCACAGTTCCACGTGGCTGGGAGGCCTCACAATCATGGCAGAAGGTAAAAGGCACATCTCTCATGGCAGCAGTCGAGAGAAGAGAAGGAACCCCAAGTGAGAGGGGTTTCCCCTTATAAAACCACCAGGTCTCCTGAGACTTATTCACTACCACGAGAACAGTATGGGCGAAGCCGCCTCCATGATTCAGTGATCTCCCACAGGGTCCCTCCTACAACACGAGGGAATTATGGGAGCTACAATTCAAGATGAGATTTGGGTGGGGACACAGCCAAACCATATCAAGAACCTAGAAATATGATAATTGTCTAAACTTGCTTGATGAGTTTGGAAATATTGTCAGCGTGTCCCTTCTGGATAGGCATGCAGATTGCACTAGCTCAGTTCTCAGTAATATGGCTGTCGTTCTCACTACGGTTTTGTTAAGGAGATTCGCTGAACTGAGTGTTCCACATTTGCATTGTCGCTGCATCTTCTGACTCATGAACCTGAAAGCAGTTGAATAGTGGTGAAGAGAGTTCACTGTGTTCTCCCATGGGTTTGGTTGAACCTGGTCCCTTTCGTGCTCTTCAGCTCCTCTTTGCACTTTAGGATCAACTTGGAGCTTCCAGCGTCTGGAGAGTTATTTTGCGGTGAAAGAGAACATGGGTGCTCTATCCGTGTGTAGATTGCTTGGGTCTCTGCCCTGATCGATGGCTTCTTTTCTGTTGAATTCCTGTCACCACTTTTCCAGAGGTAGACTGGCCATAGTTTTCTGCTGTTTCTAAAATTTAACCTGTATTCCAGTAACATGTATTTATTCTCTAACCAAATTATGCCATATCAATTTTCCAGTCCCCATGTCTTTCTGCTGCTTCTTGGTGTTGTCTTTGGGTAATGCCTATCTAGTCACTTAGAATTTTTTTTGCCTTAGTTTCTTTTTTGTAAAATCGGAATAAGCGATTCATTACCTGCCTTTTCACAAGGCTGATATAAAGGAAAAGCTAGAAAATGTATCCAAGTGAATTAGTCATACAATGTTCAAGGAAAATGGATACTGAGTAAAGCATTCTTCATTTACGTATTTTCAAAAGTTTCTGAGTCATGTAAACAATCGATGGGATGGTTGAAAGAATTCTGAAAAATTTATTTTACAAAAATATATCTATAATTTCTTATCTAAATTATTCAGAAAATATATTACCCCCCAACTAGTTTTACGAGACCAGAGTAATCTTAATACCAAAGCTGGGTAAAAATTTTAAGGAAAGAAAATTCACAAATACAGAAACAATAATTCTTTGGAAATAATCAACAAATTGAATTAAGCTCTCTAAAGAATGATGGTACATCATGAGCAGATGGGTGTTAACCAATAAATACAAAGTTTATTTTGCATTCAAAGTTAATCAGTATAATTCACCATGTTAACAGAGTAAAGGAATAAAAGAAAGATTATCTCAATAAGTGTAGAAAAAGCTTTTGGCAGCATTTAATACTCATTGATGGTAACATCTTAGCAACCAATATCATCTTGAAAAGGGAATCTTCAAAGACCTGTTGCTAGCACCTTTCTTTACTATAAACATTGGATGATATCCCCATAATATTGGAAACAAGAGAGGAATACCTATTCTCATGACTTTTACTTATAATTGTACAGGAAGTCCTAGGCAATGCAATAAGCAAGAAAAGTAAATAGAAACATAAACGTGAAAAAGAAAACAGTAATTATTTAGAGAAGACATATATATGTAGAAAACCCTCTCAAGTCTATTAAAAATAAACAACAAATCAAGTGAGATCATGGAATATAGGTTCTACTGATAAAAATCAGTTATATTTCTATGTACTAGCCAATATTTGAAAAGTGGGCTTATTAAAAAAACCTACCAATTTATATAGCATAAAAATTGATATCCTAGAAATTACTCTAAATACATTTCTAAGATAAATTAGAGAAGATCTAAATGGATAGAAAGATAAACTATATTCAGTTTGGAAGAAAAAATGTTTTCAAGATATCAGTTCTTCCCAATTTGTTAAACAGATTCAAAGTGCTCCTAGGCATAACTCCCGAAGATCTTCCTGAGAAACTGATGAGTCTAGAATGTATGTTTGGTTTTCATAGCTGGGGGAGGAGGCCATGCTGCAGGGAGCCGGTGGGTTGGGACCAGGCACACTGCAAAACATCCGAGAAGGCACAAGACAGTCCCTCCCCACATCAAAAACCTGCTCTAAAATGCCAACAGTGGCATGCTTTTCCCAAGGATTTCTTCTACTGCCCTTTAAGATGGAAAGTCGTTACCTTCTAAAGGTTAATTTTAAAACATGTATTAACCTGACGGTTGACTTCTAACATTTAACTCTGTAATCAATATGCATAGAGAGCTGGGATCATCAGGAGATAAAGCCTGCCGCTGGTTGCCAGCCTCTCTCCCACCATGTGTAGCCAATTGCTCTAACACTACTTCTCAGGTGAATTATTTTGTCTCACTGAGTAGAGATGCCAACATTTGATAGATATTAAACTATAACATTGTAGGATATGTTTCTGAAGTCTGCTGTTTTTTTTTAACCAAAGTTACCTGTGCCACACTTTTTAGAAAGTTGTACCTTTTTCAATGTTTTAATATCCACTAGCGAATTGCTTATTTATGTTTTCCAATAGCCTTCAAACACCATAAAACTTAGGGCTGTGTTATTAATGTTTAAATCCTAGTTTTATCCTAGTACATAGTTTGTAATTTATCTGGTATCCTATTGTTTAAAAGATTCTTCTAAAATTTTCTTAACTTTTAAATATTTCATTCTTCCAGATAAATTTTAAATTTTTGTCTCATAATATCAAGAATTAACAGAAATGCAAGCGTCTTTTAGTTCACTGACTGCATTAAAAACAAACAAAAAAAAAACTTGCACAGGATTTATGTGAAAATGACCAAACCTAAGAATGCTTTCAAACATTCATCCTAGGTACTTGGAACATTTTCCTTGTGAGAGCTTATTCATTTGCTTAGGACTCACTTTGCTTTTACAGATAATGCCATGTTAATTCAGCTGCTGTCTAAGTGATTGTTATTACTGGACTCAAAATAAATGCTGTAATCGAATTTGAGGAGGAACTATATTTAAAATATTTCTTTCTGGTTTTATTGATAAATCCATTTAATTGGATGTCTTTTGTTTTGCTTTTGAAGCTCACTAACTTGTTGTCAAATCGTATGTGTAGTTAGAGTAGCCTATGCAGAAATTCTCAAAGGCTAGTAATTAGTTGGCAAAATACTGCTCAAAAGAGAATTTGCGTGCAAATGGGATAGACTGTTCCCCAAACTGATTATGGAATATGAATATATCTTTTAACTTTTGTAGTTAATTATGAGCATATCCAGGATCGCCCCCTCAAATTGTCCCCAGAGCAAGGTCCTTCTATTACAAACCTGTCAAGAACTGGGCTGTCAATCTGCTGGTGCTGTTCCTGGCTTCGCCACCAGGTGTCGGTGTTTAATGGAGAATTTTGCTCCAGGCTTTGCAGGTGCTTAATGGGCTAACACAGCTCTGGAGATGCGATGGTCCCTTTCTTCTTGGTAGGCTTGGCCAAAGGCACACCCCACTTGGGATCCAAAATGCACAGATGTCTTTGATTAGCTCTTTAATTTCCTAGACCAACAGTGCTGAGCCGGGACAGTCTAGCTCTGTCCAGTTAGCAGTTCCCCCACTAAGTATTCTCCCTGGAACAGGCATCAGTGCCCATGAGGCAGGGCTCCTTTTTCTATGAAACTCTCAACACACGAAAAGTCCATCCACCTCCCTCTGCAGAAACATTCAGGATCACAGCCAGCTTCCCATGCGACGTCTCCAAAGTGATTGATGTGCCCGACGGAGGTCACTCCCAGTGACTCTAAAAGCCCAACTCTTAGCCTTCAATTAGAAATTTAGCTTAGTGACTCATGGTGAACGTCCACTTCGTCACATACCTAGGAGCATCTGCCAGACTCTCCTGCTAATAAACGAGGAAACTCAGCAGGGGCCTTTCTCCTGTAAGGTGCACATTCCAACCTCCGCATGTCCCACACCATTCGTATTCTATGAAAAGGGAACAAGGGGATTTGAAGCAATATGGAGTTCTGCATCTAGGAGTGTTAAAAACATCCTTTTGGAGATGTTAATATGAAGGAAGGAGGCATAATGTGACCACTCCAGTTGTGAGAATGAACAGAGACCAACCAAATGAGAACAGGCAAGAGCTATTTATTCAGAGCTTGCTAGACAGATGGAGCCACCACCACACTTTGGGCTTGGCAGAGACTCAGGAGGCAGGGAGCGGGGAGAGCGGCTCGGGGAGCCCCGGCGGAGGCTGTGGTGGTAGTGGGGACATCTCATGGAATTGACTAGGGGAACACTTGGCTTTCTCCACCTGGTCCTAGGTTGGAATTGGGGACAACGTTACAGAATCTGTCAGTCATTAATTACATCCTGGCCCTTTGGCACTGATTGCCTCAGGGTGAACTGTTTGGCCTTCTGGGCCGTTGCTTGACACCCCGGCCTTCCTTTCTGGACTCTGACTTGCAGCAGGTGGCTTCCGAACTGGCTCCTGCAGACAAGCGCTGGCTCCCGGGGCTGCTCGCGGCAAATCGTGGGTCAGAGTTCTGCTTTTATATGTGGCGTGGTAATTGATCATTTACAAACTCAGTCTCCCAAAGTCATATTCTCTTAGCAAAAAATAAAATTTTAATGAATGGCTAATATATGTGACTTTGAGAAAATCCTCAATTGTTATCATTACTTTGATTATTTTTGAATTTTACCCTTAGAAATGTAGCTTTTTAGTTTTGGGAATTAATAGTAGAAAAATAGAAACTTAAGTCCTATACTTATATTTAATCATAGTTAATCATAGAGATGAATAACACCCAACACTGATACAACCGTTTTTTATTAGCAACTTAATGTATGAAAGAATGAGGAGCACAGATCGACTCCTCTCACTTTGAGAGTCTTTTCTTTCCTAATACACTTTTCATGGCAAGGTTTTCATGTGCCTCTTAATGACTTCTATTCCCATGTGATAGTGTGACCTGGCAAGTAAAGTATTAAACAATAATTGAAAAAGAGTTTGATCTTAACACTACATTTTCAAGATCTTAACGACTTTATTATAAAATCCGTGTACAAAAGCATCTGCATTTATTTCCAACAGAGAAAACATGAAAAGCAAAAGGTTTCAGTCACCGAATCTTTCCCAACAGGAGGTAGGAGAGGGCCTGGGAGTGCAGGCAAGGACAGAAAGAGCGGTTTCCCCATAAAAATGCCTGTGGCGTCTGCGGTACTGCGTTCCAGGAATCAAAGCCGCAGGCTGCAGAGGGGAGCATGAGCTTCCGCAGCTGCGGTGAAGGTGAAGCTGGTGGAGAGAGGCCGCCTTCCAGGGGTCCCTGAGCGGCAATGAGCTGCAGTCTCGCCGACTGCGCTCTGCGTTGGAAGCTGGAGGAGGAGCTGCTGGTCTTCGCTCTGTCTCTTGAACTCCTCCGGTCAGGTTAGACACTTCTTTTGTGCTTTCATGGGAGCTTCATGGTGTGTGTGATGGACTCTCCCAAAAGTCCCCGCTATGGTTTCTCACACGTTGAACCAGGTGCTGGGTTTTCTTCTGATGGGGATTCGAAGCTGTCATCAGGCCGTCCTGAATTTCACCACTCTGTCTTCCGGGAGGGCTCCTATGGCATGGCTTGGACTTAACTCCTTGTGCTATGCATTGTTTAGGTCAGATGGGTGCCCGTGTGATATATGTTTTATTTTCTGTTTATTTATTTTTGAGATGAGTCTTGCTCTGTTGCCCAGGCTGGAGTGCAGTGGTGTGATCTCAGCTCACTGTAACCTCCACCAGCTGGGTTCAAGTGATTTTCCTGCCTCCCAAGTAGCTGGGACGACAGGTGCGTGCCAGCACGCCGGCTACTTTTTGTATTTTCAGTAGAGACAGGGTTTCACCATGTTGGACAGGCTGGTCTCCTACATACTCCTGATCTCAAGTGATCCGCCCACCTCAGCTTCCCAAAGTACCGAGATTACAGGCATGAGCCACTGCCTCGGGCCATGTGCTGGTGTGATATAAACGTGCAGTAATTACCTGACTTTGTGTTTACCTTTGTGCCTGGGAAAACACCTGATAGAGGCGTTCCCATGTTAAGATGCTCTCAGGGACCACGCTAGTAGCAGCCGTCAGAGCCTTGACAAATTTAGGGCCCAGGAACCGTGCTTCTGTGCACATTCGTGGAACGCTGTTTGTGCGCCGGATGAACAGCAAACGCTGGAGCCCAGTTTGGCACGTGCCAAGCATTCAGAGACCTCGTTTGCTTTTCAGAGTTCGGGATATGAATGAGATCGGCCTCAGGGCAACTGCAGCATCTCCTACGGGAAGCCCTCATCTCCCACGCTGCTCCGTCCCGTGTCTCCTACCCTCCCTTGCCTGCCTAGGCCCTGAGGGAGGGTTGCTCCTCCAGCAAGCCTCCGGTTGATCCTCCAGATGTTTCCTTTCTAATTTTTCATATTAGCTGAATTGGGATCCACTTTTTCACGGACTCTTCAAGACAATCGATGGCGGATATTATCAACCCCTTCATTTAGTAAACACTTAGATCAGGATTTGTTTGCTAATCATTAGCTAGCCAGTCCTTGAAATTACTGACGTAACGTTTTTCAGCAAAGGCCCTTCTGCAAGTGTCTCTGTGGGGATGTCGGGGCCGATGTTCACGCTGCCTGAATCCATTTATCCCCAAGATGCTCTCTATGGGATGTTCTCGCAGCTTCCAGAAGCCAACTGAGCTCACCCCATCGTTCAGTTGTGTGAATTTCCATATCAGATATAAATTAACCAAACGTTGACTTTGTCAGTTCTCAAGGGAGATCTCAGGATGCTGGGAGCAGGCACCTAGAGTTTGTCGTGACCCGTGCCCCTCACCCGGGTGCTTTCTGACAAACTCCACCCTTTCAGGAGATGGCTGGAGGCTGCGAGGGCACCGCATGGTGGTGAATGGCAGACCAGGAAGGCATTGGTGGGGAGGGTTACGCTCCCATGGCTGTGTTCACTGTTACTAGTTGGATCCCTGCTGCCCTCTTTGTACTCATGGATGAGAGTCAGAAATAGAGTGGGCTCTGCACTCATTAACCAGACCAGATGAGTCACTGCAAATCAGCACCAGATTTTGCTTATCTTTTGCTTGAGAAGCTGTCAGCTGCTGATATGGTTTGGGTCTGTGTCCCCACCCAAATCTCATCTTGAATTGTACTCCCATAATTCCCACATGATGTGGGAGGGACCCAATAGGAGGTAATTTAAATTATGGGGACAGTTTCCTCCATACTGTTCTCAAGGTAGTGAATAAGTCTCATGAGATCTGATGGTTTAATAAGGGGTTTCCGCTTTTGCTTTTTCCTCATTTTCTCTTGCCGCCGCCATGTAGGAAGTGTCTTTTGCCTCCCACCATGATTCTGAGGCCTCCCAGCCATGTAGAACTGTAAGTCGAATTCAACCTCTTTTTCTTCCCAGTCTCAGGTAAGTCTTTATCAGCAGCATGAAAATCGACTAATATAGTAATATAGCTGTCCATGTCCCTTCAAATGAAAGTTCATTCAAGGATAGGCATCTTCATTTGAACTCTTCCTCCCATTTCCACTTCCTTGGCTGCTGTTTTATTGATTCTCCCATTTGGCAGCATGTCCTGGGCATCTCCAGTGTGCCAGGTGTGTTGGTGCCCTCAAGTTAGAGGGATGGGCAACAGAAACAGCCTCAGCAAAACATTGATTTTGAGGGAACAGGAATACATACAGACTTAAAAATTGTCATCATTTCTACAAAAGAAAGAACAGGATGTGAAGACACAGAATACACCAGAAGAAATGGCACAGTTTAGATGGGGGAGTAGGAAAAGACCCCTGAGGAAGGGCGTTTGGATGGAGGCATGCAGGATGGGTAAGAGTTCACTGGAGCATTCTTGGGGATGAGCCTTCTGGGTAGTGGACATGGGCTGTGCAAATGGCCCAAGGTGGTTTCGCGGAGCGCAGCAGGCATGGAAAAGAATGACGCAATCTGTTTTCAGAGACGTGGCTGGGTGTGGGGCTGGGTGATGCCCCACGATACAGGCATGTGATGGGGCTTGTGATTCTTTAAAGTGAAATGCACCATTGCCAGCTTTGAGCAGAGCTGTAATGTTACCCAATTTGTGTTGTGAAGAATTACTCCTACAACAAGGATGTTCCGGCAGCTGGTGGAGAGGGGAACACTCACACATGGCCCCAGTAGGGTGGTGTGAATTCTCCCAGGGGTGGTATGGCCAGAAGTGGGGAGGGAGCCAAGGGAGGAACTTGAAAACAGCATGGGAGGGAGGAGCAAGACCGCAATGGATCTGAAATGGAGAGTGTGAGAAGGCAAAGTCCAAAGAGGATGTGGAGATGCTAATGTGAACAGAGGTGCTGATACCTGAGAAGGAAGAACCCAGAGGAGGAACAGAGATGAGGGGTGAGGTTCATGGCTGCATGTTTTCATGTTTGTGGCAGTGCTTCTAAGCTGTTTGGTTTAATTCTTAAGTTTGTTGTAGGACTTGGACGTTCAAAGATGATGAACAGAGTCCAGTCTTGAGCATTAAAGATTTCGTAATCTAAAGTTGATACAGACTTTGGAACTAACAGAATGATATGGTTTGGCTGTGTCCCCACCCAAATCTCATCTTGAACTGTAGCTCCTATAATCCCCACCTGTTGTGGGAGGGACCCAGTTGGGGGTAACTGAATCATGAGTGGGTTTTCCCATGCCGTTCTCTTGACCTTGAATAAGTCTCATGAGATCTGATGGTTTTATAAAGGGCAGTTCCCCTGCACAAACTCTCTTGCCTGCCACCACATAAGATGTGGCTTTGCTCCTCCATCCTCTTCCGCCATAAGCATGAGGCCTCCCCAGCCATGTGGAACTGTGAGTCCATTAGACCTCTCTTTCTTTACCAGAAATACCAGTCCTGGGTATTTCTTCATAGCAGTATGAAAATGGATGAATACAGACAGGAATAGAGATAAATGAACACCTGACCCTGTGCCCAGGCAGAATGGGACCACAGTGGAGGGAGGCTGGTTGGTAGTTGCAGGAGGGCTCAGCCCAGATGGATGCATTTGGGGCTTATTGCTGCTAAATTTTTGGAGCTTTTTGAGGTCAAATGCTATGTCATGTGCCTCTCAGTTTCCTCTGTAGCTCCCCAGCTGTTGTGGCTTACTCATAGAAGAGTTCAGTAAACATCCTTGCCTTGATTAGCACCGAACAGAACCACTCTCTTGTGATCCATATAAAATCCTCTTGAGCAATTACTAGGTAATTTCCACTGTCTTATAGGAGCATAATCATAGCAATATTGAGGTGAGATATCTTTTCTTTTTTAATAAAAGAACTCTAAAATGAAAACTTCAGTGCAAAGGAATAGTGAGTCAGAGGTCTGGTGGGGATGGTTTTAGAAATGCCAGTAACAGAACAGTAAATAACTTGATCATTTAGTGCACTGAGTAGAAAAAAAACCCTCATAGATGACTCTTCTATATACTTCTTGTGATTTTAACACCTACATTTAGCTCCTAGGCATGAGTTTGAAGTCAAATATGTAACCATTAAATCTCACCTTTACCTGAAGCTGTTGAAATATCCTTAGAAATTAAAGGAAAAAATAGAGACTGGCAGTTTTTCATAGATTAAACTCTTTCATACCTGTCTTGATTGAGTACTGTGGTGGCTCCAGTGCTCAGGTGGCAGGCAGTTAAATCTGTTAGCAGACACTGAAAAGAACTTACGTAAGAAATGAAATAGTGAATTATTTGATAACTGTCCTGCACTAAATTTTTCTTTAAACAGCTGCAGGAATATTGCCAACCGTTTCCGTTTTTACGAGTAACACTGTCTTACTTGCTGTCATTGAACCAGTTGGAAACAAATGCGAAAATAAAAACCATGAGAATATTTGATATTTCCATCTTTTCAGAAAACAGCCTCAGAAAATGTGCCCTAATAAGTCAATGAACTGAATATGCTTCACACTCACACATGCCTAATTCAATTATTGTTCAATTAGAGAAAAACAACAACTTCTGTTCTTATTCCTAAGTGTACTCTTCATATCATCTCTTCATTATTTCTGATCATTCCTCTGTTCTGATTTAGTTTTACTGCCAGGTCTGCATATTTCCAATTGTTAAGCATCTTCCCCTTGGTGGCCAGTCTCAGTCTCCCCATAGCTGAGAGTAATTTCCTGCTGTCAGGAAGGCCCATCTTGGCTCCCAGAGGGCCGGGTCCCATCCTATCCCTCAGACAGTTATGCGCATGCATTTTCGTCCTCCTTACATAAAGTAGGGAGGCTTTGCTGAGTCAGGAGACTCCATCATAAAACATGGCGCTTGGTATATGATTGTATTTTACTTGTCATGAATCAAAACGTAATTGAAGATATTGTTTGAATAAATGAATAGATATATTGTCAGACTGAGTTCAGACAAAATAATAATGAGTGATGATAAAGTACTAAGAGGTTTTGAACTTATGCAAGGAGAGAACAAAGGAAAAGTTTTAAAAAGAAAATATAAAGTATTCAAATTACTCTTATTGTTTTTATTTCAGTAATGTTATTTGCAGTGTAGGAAGAAGTCTGAAACATTAATTACCCAGAGTAATAGCTTAAAATTCTAAGATCTCTCTCTCTGTCTCTTTCTCTCAAAATGCATATATACACACACATATATATATTTATTTATTTTCATTGAATCTCAACCACAGAATTTTGGTAACAGAGTTGTTACAGTTCTAACACACATACTATTTTCTTGCTATCAAGATTCCTCTTTGTACAAACATAAAAACAGTGTGTGGAATTATATCAATAATAAAGTAATAATTTTTGCATCCCTGGAATAAATTCTGTTAGGTTGGTGCAAAAATAATTTCATCAACGTAATACTTGATCATGGTCAATGATACTTTTAATATGCTGTTGAAAATCATTTGCTAGTATTTTGTGGAAGAGTTTTCCATCTATGTTCATCAAGAATATTGGTCTGTAGTTTTCTTTTCTGATAGTGTCAGTGTCCTTGTCTGGCTTTTACATCAGGGTAATGTGGCCTCGAAAATGAGTTTGAATGTACTTCCTTTTCGTCAGTTTTTGGAAGAGTTTGAGGATAATCGGCATTAATTGGTAGAATTCACCATGAAACAATCTCATCGTAAACTTTTCTTTGTTGAAAGGGTTTAAAAATTATTACTAATTCAATATTCTCGTTATTGGTTGTTCAGGTTTTTTTTATTTCTTGATAATTTGGTCTCGAAGATTGTATGTTTCTAGGAATTTATCAGTTTCTTCTAGGTTTTCCAATCATTGGTGTATAATTGCTCATAGCAGTCTTGAATGAACCCTTGTATTTCTGTGGTGTCAGTTGGAATGACTCCACATTAATTTGTAATTTTATTTGAGTCTTTTCTCTGTCTTAGCTAGTCTAGCTAAAGATTTGTCAGTTTTGTTTATCTTTTAACAAAAAACACTCTCAGCTTCATTGATCTTTTCTATTGCCTTTCTTCTCAATCTGTTTTTGCTCCAATCTTTATTATTTCTTTCCTTCTACCAACTTTGGGCTTACTTTGTTCTTCATTTTCTAGTTCCAAGAGTTGTCAAATTGGATTATTTGAGATCTTTCTTTTTTCTTAATGTAGAAATTAAGAAAAAATTCATTTATGGTAGTAAAAATTTACTTAGGAATAAATTTATCCACAGATGTGAAAGATCTGTACATTGAAATCTATAAAATACTGATGTAAAGAATTAAAATAGACAAAAAATGAAAACCAGAACAATGTTAAAAAACCAGAAGAATAAATATTGTCAAAATATTCATACTACCGAATGTGATCTACAGATTCAGTGCAATCCATTTCAAAACTCCAATGGCATTTTTTACAGAAATAGAAAAAAAAATCCTTAAATTCATATGGACTCACAGAATATCCCGAATACCTAAAGCAATCTTGCACAAGACGAACAAAGCTGAAAGAATTACATTCCCTGGTTTCAAATTACATTGCAAAGCTGTAGTAATCAAAACAGCATGATATGGGCATAAAACAGATACACAGTCCAATGAAACAAAATAGCCCAGAAATAAACCCATGCATCTATTATCAACTAATTTTAAACAAGGGCATTAATAAAACACAATGTGGAAAGAATAGTCTCTCCAGTAAATGCTGCTGGGGAAACTGGATAGCCACATGCAGAAGAATGAAATTGGACCCTTACCTCACATCACATAAAAAATCAACCAAAACATATTAGAGACTTGAACCTTAGACTGGAAACTGTAAAAGGCTGAACTCAGGGCTAATGCTCAAGGCATCCTCTGAGTCTTTTTTCAGCCACATGCGAGCCTGGCTCCAAGCCTAGTACCCTGGCTAAGGCCAAGCAGATGCCCATTATTAGCCATAGGTTGAGGTTCTCTAATTGGCAGATTCTAGAATAAAATACCATAAGGCTTCTGAATAAGGGGAAAGGTTTTTCCATATCTCTATATAACTCCCACTCTCAATTCCTTTTTTTTCTTGCCTCAGGATTGGCCTCCCTCAGAAAGTGACAATACAAACAATTTCCTTCAGGGCCACCCCCAAGCTACCCCACACATGGTGACACCAATATACACCCTTTGACCTCCCAAAGACATCAGACCTCAGTCCTAAACAATGGAGCACTTCCTGGGGTTGAGTGATTTAGTTCCATGTGATTCTACTGCAAGAGTAGTCTAGGGTGGCCTGCATTAAACTACTTTAAGATCTTTTGGGTTTTTTTTTCTATGACCTGGGGGAAAGACATCAGATATCTATCTATCTTACAGTGTTTGTCACCTCTGTTTCTAATCTCCAGTGGGATCAAATACTCCAACAAAAATAAATACAGTTTTTTCTATGACCTGAGTAGAGGAGATCAGATCGATCTATCTATATACCTATGTATCTCTTACAGTGTTTGTCATCTCTGTTTCTAATCTCCAGTGGGATCCAATATTCAAACAAAAATAAATACAGTTTTCCCAAAACTATTACAGACTGGCACATAATAGCCTGAGTTCAAACTTAAACGAGATTATCTCCTTGAAGAAACCCCATAAGTCTTGAGTGACATACATTTTTCTATAGGAATTGTTCAGTTTACAAGATCACTTTATCACATTTGATAGGAAGCATTTACTCTGAGGCTTATCACTGGATTCCCAACCTTGCTGGTCATGCATTGCCTCACATAGGAGGTGTTCACAGCACTGCAGAGGACATGTGACTATAGCAAAGGGCAATCTATCCCAAAGCTGATTAAAATCCCTAGCTTCCACGATTGAGGAAGACAGGGATGCGCCTGCTATACCCACTGGGATTTTTAAAAACAATCACAAAACCTCTCTCCTTACCCCACAGCCATTGACCTAGGTCAGTCCTGCAGCTCTGCCAACACCTTCTAGGACTTGAACAGATTATATGGTTGTATGGTCTCATTGTGATGCTTCCTCTCCACGTGTGACTCTGGATATTAACCTATAGGCAAGAGAGCAAAAACAACAGCAAATATTAATCCAACTCACATTCCACCCAAGCACCATTCTTAGTGCCTTACATGCCTTAATTTATTTTATCCCAACAAAAATCTTATGACTTATATGCTATTATTATCTATACTCTCACTGATGGGCACAGAGGCTGAGTAACTTCCTTCAGGACACACAGCAAAGAAGTGCAGACCTTGGGTTTGAACCCTCGAGGTAGACTTGACTTCTTGCTCTAAAAATCTGTATTGGGAGAAAAAACTTGCTTGAAGTAGTTACCTGAGTTTTACTTGGAAGTAGGTATACATATTTGTTGCAGATCTGAAAATGTATTCCAAGAGTAAAGTAGAGTCACAATGTAATTTGATGTAATATATACAAGATATGAGATAATATACAACTTACACTACTAAGGGTGGTTTTGAGAGAAAAAAAAAAAGGCTTTTGGTAAAACACTAAATTCTGTGCCTCAAGGAAAATATATACCAAAATCAAACAAGCAAACGATACCGGTAAAAATACAATAATTTTCAGACGAAATGTGTTTTGTTATTTTAGTGATTGCAAAGGAAATTTACGAAGATAATATGACTGATTATATCACAGTAAAGTAGCAAAGGACAAAATTTCTTGAAGTGGGATGTTAAAACTTGCTACTGACATAATAAATACTTTATGCAATTTTCTATGAGACAGTAATCACATAGCTTCCACAACATATCTTTATTATTTTTATTTTACTAATTTTTTTGGTTTGCTTGAAATTGTGATGAAACACTTTCAGCAATTCCTTTTACATACATCCAATTTGGTTTAAACTCTAGAAACTCAGGGACACATTTTCGTGTTTGTTTTGATTTCTACAGATGACCGGAAAGAAAGTAATTGGCTTTCACTAACTGTTTTTATTCAGGAGTTCTTTTTCATTAACTGTTGCCAACAGATATAAAATAACATTTTAAAAAGTTGACTATGCATTCATCCAAGTATTTAGAAATGCATCCATCTCAAAATGCATGAGTCAATGATCCAGTTCCATTGTTTTACATGTGAATATCCGGTTTTCCCAGCACCGTGTGTTGAAGAGACTTTCCTTTCCTCATTGTGCATTCCTGGCCCTCTTGTCAAAGTTCAATTTACCACGGGTTAAACACTTAAATATAAGATCTGAAACCATAAATCTCCTGAAAACAATCGGAGGGGAAAAAAATCCTTTCCATTTGTCTTGGCAATGATTTTTTGGATGTAATACCAAAAGCACAGGCAAAAAAGAAAAAGAAACAACTAAGACTAGGTAAAACCAAACAGATTCTGCACAGCAATGAAAACAACAACAACAAAATGAAAAGGTAACCTACAGAATGGGAAAAAAATTTGCAAACCATGTATTTGATAAGGTGTTCATATCCAAAATATATAAGAAACTTAACTCAGTATTAATAAATAAATAAATAACTCAGTTAGAACATGGGCTAAGAATCTAAATAGACATTTCTCCAAAAAATAAAAACGATGTACAAATGGACCACGGGTATATAAAAAGGTGGTCACTAATCATCAGGGAAAATCAAATTAAAACCATGTGAGATAACAGCTTACACCTGTTAGAATGGCGATCATTGAATAACAAATGATAACAAGTGTTACGGATGGTGTAGAAAAAGGGAACCCTCACACACTGTTGATGGGAATAAAAATTAGTATAGCTATTATGAGAAACCGTATGGAAGTGCCTCAGACAACTAAAAACAGAACTACCATATGATCCAGCATTCCCACTAATGAATATTTATCCAAAGGAAAGAAAATCAGTATATCAGATATTTGCACCTGCATATTTATTGCAACATTTTTCACAATAGCCAAGATATAGAATAAACCTCAAT
The DNA here is from genome assembly GCF_000001405.40 of Homo sapiens. NCBI lineage: Eukaryota > Metazoa > Chordata > Mammalia > Primates > Hominidae > Homo > Homo sapiens. The sequence continues at coordinate 2,802,691 of NC_000008.11, read as the reverse complement.
GTCCATCCACAAATAAACAAGAGCTAAAGGTGAGCTACAGGATGCTGCAAGCGTGCGATGTGTCTTGGTGCGTGAGCACAGATACTTTCTACATGCCTAGCATATGGAGAAGATGAGGCCCAGGGATGGCTGCAGTTAAGACCAGGAGGCAAAGCCTGTAAAGACCATGGGAAACTGAGCGGGCTCAGAGGCTGGAGCCCAGTGAAAGAAATGGCCACACCTGGATCCAGAGGAAGCACAGATGGTGAATATAAAGGCTGATAATGGTGGTTGGGGCTGAGGGCGTCCAGCATAGTCAGGGGGTCAAGACTCCTGCAGAGGAAGCTTTCCCTCATGGAAGCTTTTCCTTCTGTAATATGCCTGGGTAAATACACATCATGTATATTTGTCTTCTTCTTTACATGTAATTAATATGTGCAATATTAAACAAGTAGACACAGTCTACTGGCAGTTTACAAAGGATCTGTAGAATACTTTGATTGATTTTTATTATAGCCACAAAGAAAGAAGTTTCAGAAAACCTTTAAGATTTTTGTCTTTATGATAACTTGGAAAAGAAAATCCAATGCTCTTACGATCTTTTCCGTCACCGTAATATCAGTCTATTGGGGTTTGATATGTCTCTTGTCAAATTTCTCCTTCTACAGTAATCAAAATGCACACATGAGCTTGCGTGCGCACACACACACACACACACACACGCACAAAGAGTTCTGGCTTGTGGCAAACAACATGTCTGATTAGAACTAGAATAGCCACATAGTTTACAAGAATGGAACACCTGGTTAAAGGCAATGAGAGCTTTTAGAGCAACCAGATCTTGAGGGCCAAAATTGTAAAGAAAAGAGAACTACATAAGGTGAGTCTGTATTATAAACCTGCTTTTCACATACGGCCTCTTGTAAATTCACAGCTCTGAGTCAATACGTTTCTAAAAAGTACATACATCAGGTTGTTCAGTTTCCATGTAGTTGAGCGGTTTTGAGTGAGTTTCTTAATCCTGAGTTCTAGTTTGAGTGCACTGTGGTCTGAGAGAGAGTTTGTTATAATTTCTGTTCTTTTACATTTGCTGAGGAGAGCTTTACTTCCAACTATGTGGTCAATTTTGGAATAGGTGTGGTGTGGTGCTGAAAAAAATGTATATTCTGCTGATTTGGGGTGGAGAGTTCTGTAGATGTCTATTAGGTACACTTGGTGCAGAGCTGAGTTCAATTCCTGGGTATCCTTGTTGACTTTCTGTCTCATTGATCTGTCTAATGTTTACAGTGGGGTGTTAAAGTCTCCCATTATTAATGTGTGGGAGTCTAAGTCTCTTTGTAGGTCACTCAGGACTTGCTTTATGAATCTGGGTGCTCCTGTATTGGGTGCAAATATATTTAGCATAGTTAGCTCTTCTTGTTGAATTGATCCCTTTACCTTTATGTAATGGCCTTCTTTGTCTCTTTTGATCCTTGTTGGTTTAAAGTCTGTTTTATCACAGACTAGGACTGCAACCCCTGCCTTTTTCTGTTTTCCATTTGCTTGGTAGATCTTCCTCCGGATTCCCTATTTAACAAATGGTGCTGGGAAAACTGGCTAGCCATATGTAGAAAGCTGAAACTGGATTCCTTCCTTATACCTTATACAAAAATCAATTCAAGATGGATTAAAGACTTAAACGTTAGACCTAAAACCATAAAAACCCTAGAAGAAAACCTAGGCATTACCATTCAGGACATAGGCACGGGCAAGGACTTCATGTCTAAAACACAAAAAGCAATGGCAACAAAAGCCAAAATTGACACATGGGATCTAATTAAACTAAAGAGCTTCTGCACAGCAGAAGAAAATACCATCAGAGTGAACAGGCAACCCACAAAATGGGAGAAAATTTTCGCAACCTACTCATCTGACAAAGGGCTAATATCCAGAATCTACAATGAACTCAAACAAATTTACAAGAAAAAAACAAACAACCCCATCAAAAAGTGGGCGAAGGACATGAACAGATACTTCTCAAAAGAAGACATTTATGCAGCCAAAAATCACATGAAAAAATGCACACCATCACTGGCCATCAGAGAAATGCAAATCAAAACCACAATGAGATACCATCTCACACCAGTTACAATGGCAATCATTAAAAAGTCAGGAAACAACAGGTGCTGGAGAGGATGTGGAGAAATAGGAACACTTTTACACTCTTGGTGGGACTGTAAACTAGTTCGACCATTGTGGAAGTCAGTGTGGCAATTCCTCAGGGATCTAGAACTAGAAATACCATTTGACCCAGCCATCCCATTACTGGGTATATACCCAAAGGACTATAAATCATGCTGCTATAAAGACACATGCACATGTATGTTTACTGTGGCACTATTCACAATAGCAAAGACTTGGAACCAACCCAAATGTCCAACAATAATAGATTGGATTAAGAAAATGTGGCACATATACACCATGGAATACTATGCAGCCATAAAAAATGATAAGTTCATGTCCTTTGTAGGGACATGGATGAAATGGGAAATCATCATTCTCAGTAAACTATCGCAAGAACAAAAAACCAAACACCGCATGTTCTCACTCATAGGTGGGAATTGAACAATGAGAACACATGGACACAGGAAGGGGAACATCACACTCTGATGACAGTTGTGGGATGGGGGGAGGGGGGAGGGATAGCATTGGGAGATATACCTAATGCTAGATGACAGTTAGTGGGTGCAGCACACCAGCATGTCACATGTATACATATGTAACTAACCTGCACATTGTGCACATGTACCCTAAAACTTAAAGTATAGTAATAAAAAATAAATACATCACCTGAGCTTTAGGGAACATCTGGGGCTGCAGACATAAAGCTAGAACTTGGAACTGCCGAGGTAGGCAGGACTTGGAGGGCCAACCAGTAGCTGTGAGCCACATGCTCAGCAGTCTTGCCTTTAAGGCAAATGCTTAATATTTAAGCTCCACTGAGCTGGTGACTAAGAATTAATGTTGTTGACTAACAGAGCAGAGTTGGTGTTCTCAAGAAGCTGAGGGGCCTTCATGCTTGAGTTCAGGAACCAGGAAGGAGGAAGAGCTTTGGAAAAACCTCAGGCTCTCAGGCAGAGCCCCAGCTATGTAGGAGGGAATGAAGAACAGCATAGTAAATACAGAAGAAACTGTAAATGGATATTGAATACACAAAGTGACATCAGCAATTTAATTTTAGAATTTAAACACATGCCCATAATATTGTATGCATATATGTTACTAACAAGCTCATAAAATGAATGTGGAAAAAAAGAAAACAAATTAACTATTAATACGAAAGCAGAAAGGATGAAAAATTAAAACAGTTGAGACAAACAGATCAAATAAAATAATACTGCAAGTAAAAACCAAATATAAAAATAGTTTCACTTAATGTAAATGGATTAAACTGTACAATTAAAAGACAAAGATTGCTAGATTGAAAAAATGCAAAAGTCAGTTATGTATTATTAAAGTGATATGCCTTAATTATAAGAACCCAGCAAGTTGAAAATAAAAGTATAAAAAAAAGACCATGCAACCTCTAAACAAAACAAAGTGCGGATATTCTATTAATAGCAAACGCAATGCAAGAAGCATTTCTAAAGATTAAGAGGGGTATTTTATGACAAAAGATTTCTAAAACAATAATTTCTAAAGTTTAAGAGGGGTATTTTATGACAAAGACCTACCGGGAAGCTGTCACAATTTTAAATATATATGCATATTTTATCATAGCTTTAATATATACAGTGTACTTATATACACATTACACTGAAACTGACCTTTATGCTGTGCCATAGCTCATAAAGTTCTTTGCCTCTGTTCTAGGATTCTGTGTCTTCTGCCATCATCCATGTAACTATAACCTGGTAACTTTGTTTCCCAGCTTTATTGAGGTCTAATTGATAAATAAAACTTGTATATATTCAAGATGTACAATATGATGTTTTGATACATGTACACATTGTAAAATGACTACCACGTTAGCTAATTAACATATTCATCACCTCACATAGTAAACTTTGTTGTTGTTGTTGTAAGCACATTTAAGTGCTACACTCTTAGTAAACTTCAAGTATGCAGTACAATGGTATTAACTTTAACTACCATGCCGTACATTGGATTCCCCATAACTCATTCATCTTATAACTGAAAGTTTGTATATTTTGATCAATGCTCTCCATTGCCTCTAACATCCAGGCTCTGTCAACTGCTCTTCTATTCAGTTCCTGAGTTTAGCTTTTATAGATTCCATATGTAAGTGGGATCATGCAGTATTTGTCTTTCCCTGGCTTATTTCACTTGGTGTGATGTCCTCCAGGCTCTTCCATGGTGGGAGTGTAAATTAGCGCAGTCATCATGGAAAACAGTATGGAGATTCCCCCCAGAATTAAAAATAGATCTACCATATTATCCAGCAATCCCACTGCTGAGTATACATTAAAAAGAAATAAAATCACCACCTCAAAGAAATGTCTGCACTCTCATGTTTATTGCAATATTATTCACAATAGCAAAGATGTGGAAACAACTAAGTGTTTGCTGATGAATGAATGGATTTAAAAACATAGTATGTACAGTCACGTGCTGCTTAACAATGTTTTGGTCAGTGATGCGCCACATGTATGACAGTGATCTGAGCAATAGGCTATACCATGTAGCCCAGATGTGTAGTGGGCTACACCAACCAGGTTTACCTAAGCATGCTCTATGATGTTTGCACAACCATGAAATTACCTAACAATGCATTTCCCAATGATCCTTGTTGTTGAGGAGAAAAACGGGCTCTCTCTCTTTCTCAATCTATATATATATATATATATATATATATATATATATATATATATATGTAGAACATACCTACATATATATATATATATATATATATATATATATATACATCTTTTTCAAGGCTGCATAATATTCCACTGTATATGTATTATATATTGTACATATTATATACACATATTATATATACTGTATATATTAAAATGGTTCCAGGTACATGCAGATTATATATTCAGTATATATAATTTATATACTATATATATATATATATAATATATACTGTGGAATATTATGCAGACTTGAAAAAGAAGGAAATCTTGCCAGTTGAAACAAGGTGGGTGAACCTGGCCTGAAAACTTTTAACAGGGTATAACCTCAGACACTTCATGGTTCTTGACAAGCGTATGACTGACAATGACTAATGGATTTTTAGAAAACCTGAAGATTCTAACTTTGCAACAAATGGATAAAATTTTTCCAGAAATATAACTCTGATGTACAATACGGCCACTCGCTTCCAAACCCCCAGTGTTACTCTAGCTTATCTTGTGGATCAGACATGTTGCCAAAGAAACATTTCCAAGGCAACACTCTGTTTATGACACTTGTGACAGATTGGGTCATTGTTCCCAGTTCTTCACACTCTCCCTGCATCTAGGTCCTTTTCTGTGTGATGACGTTGTGTTATCTTTCACCCAAGTAGAGCATAATTTTCCACCCCATTTATGTTGGGCTTTGCCACATAACTTGCTTTGCACAATGGAAGTGGACAGAAGTTATGCATGCCAGTTTGCAGGCAAGGTCTGAAGAGTTATTATATATTTTGCTCATCTCTCTTGTTTCCCTTTGAGCACTTTGTTAAGGTCCGAGGAGACTGAGGAACCCTATGCACGTTCATAAATCTACATGACCTTCTGGAGCAAGCCTCCTGCTCCGAGTAGTAATGTCTGAGTTGAAGACCCAAGTAAGATAACACACACATGTTGTTGTAAGTCATTGATATTTTGAAGATGTTTTATGAGCAGCAAACACTAACACAGCACTTCGATGCTCACAAAATTTCAAGGACTTTTCATAGCCTGAAGAACAAAGATCATCATACTGATTCTCAGAGCATTCTACAATTATGCCTCACCTGTCTATTAGTTTAATCTTTTTCAATTCTCTTTCATTAACCAAGTCTTTTTTTTTTTTTTTTTTTGAGACGGAATCTTGCTCTGTCGCCCAGGCTAGAGTACAGTGGTGCAACCTCAGCTCGGCTCACTGCAAACTCTACCGCCCAGGTTCATGCCATTCTCCTGCCTCAGCCTCCCAAGTAACTGGGACTACAGGCGCCCGCCACCACGCCTGGCTAGTTTTTTGTATTTTTAGTAGAGATGGGGTTTCATCATGTTAGCCAGGGTGGTCTCGATCTCCTGACCTCGTGATCCGCCCATCTCGGCCTCCCAAGGTGCTGGGATTACAGGCGTGAGGCACTGCACCCGGCCTAACCAATTATTTTACTAAGACGACTTAGTCCATGAGCAGTTAACACTGAAAATATATTTATATGGTCAAGCTCAACATATATTTCCTTGTAGCATGTTCCACAAAACCTCTCCATTTCAACAGGCTATCTCCTTCTTGATAGGCCTTTTTTTTTTTAAATAAGAATTACTTTGCTCTCTTTTATCTTTAAATCTAGAAATACACAATTTTAATTTCACAGTCTACCCTATAAAAAAGCTCTAAACTTTTTGGTGGCAGAAACTGTACTCTTCATGCTGACATATTGAGTGGTACATTACCATATTGTTTTATACATAGTGGCATATACATAGATTTGATTAAATTAGCGAGGGAAAATATTATGGAATATATTGTGTAAACAATAGGATGGAAAATATGGGAAGGGGTTCAGTAAACAATTAGCCCTCTGTAAATGTGACTTGTTATAATTTTTCTCGGAATGAATCATAAACAGCAGATGGAAATTGATTACCACAAATGAATCCTCTGCCATAATTAACAAAGTCAGAACCTGGAGCATGGGTAGATCTCTAACCACGAGCAACCAGGCTTGTGCAGAATCACTCCAAATAACTGACAGTGACAAACAGGTGTATTAGAGTGGTAATTATCCATGCATTGGAGATTGGATCCCAGCTAGGACTCTAGTACCCTGACCAACTCCCTCTGCCCTCCCCTCCCAGGAACATAAAATAAACTCTGATTTCCTAGGAGATAAAACCTAAAGCTAGCCCAGGTCCTAGAAATGAGAGTCCTATGGTATGTTGAGGAAAGGACAATTTATCCCATTTAACTATTACCAGAGTAAAACCCTCCATCCTTTTCCTTTTCCTTTTATTTTACTTAGTTTGTTCGAGTTTTAGAATTGAAGTGAACTGAGGAACAGCTTTTCTGCCACTCACGGTCTGGCAGTGGATGGCTTTGGTCTGCTGTTCCCATAGTATGACCCACCCCTGGCTGCACTCACGGTCTGGCAGTGGATGCCTTCAATCCGCTGTTCCCATAGTATGACCCACCGTTGGCTTCAGTTGATAATTCATGGTCTGGCAGTGGATGCCTTCAGTCCGCTGTTCCCGTAGTATGACCCAGCCTTGGCTGCAGTTGATAACTCACGGTCTGGCAGTGGATGCCTTCAGTCCGCTGTTCCCATAGTATGACCCACCCTTGGCTACAGTTGATAACTTATGGTCTGGCAGTGGATGCCTTCAGTCCGCTGTTCCCGTAGTATGACCCAGCCTTGGCTGCAGTTGATAACTCACGGTCTGGCAGTGGATGCCTTCGGTCCGCTCTTCCCGTAGTATGACCCAGCCTTGGCTGCAGTTGATAACTCACGGTCTGGCAGTGGATGCCTTCAGTCCGCTGTTCCTGTAGTATGACCCAGCCTTGGCTGCAGTTGATAACTCACGGTCTGGCAGTGGATGCCTTCGGTCCGCTGTTCCCGTAGTATGACCCAGCCTTGGCTGCAGTTGATAACTCACGGTCTGGCAGTGGATGCCTTTGGTCTGCTGTTCCCATAGTATGACCCACCCTTGGCTGCAGGTGATTAGTCATGGAGTGGGTAGCTAGGGAGACAGTGTTTACCCTGGTTAGGTCACAGAATGCATGAGGTGTTTCCGACACCAATTGTTTTCCACCGTGTGTAAAGGAAATCAGAAAAGAGCCAGTCAGTGAAAGAGATAAACAACACCCGTGTGCAGGGGTGAAAGGCGGGCAGGTTGAACTTCCTGGGAAACCTGAGGGCTCCAGCTTCCTCGCCTCCCTTCAGCACTTTAATACAACTTTGTTGCCCTAAAATATACTCTTCTTTCCCTCAAGCTTGCATGAGTTAAGTTTCTTGTGACGTTCAACCAAAAACTTCTGAAATGTTTAAAGATATTGAAATGACACATTTTCATAGCTGACAGTCCTTTCTGTATAGTTAAGATATTGTTCAGTGGATTATAGTAATGTAGGTAGAGATTATTCTGCCCCAATACTCAACATTTAATATATTTTTTAAACACTCTCTTTCAACATATTCAGAGAGAACATGTAGGATTCATGAACTGGATGGGAAAATACAGTTGCTGTCTAGCAGAAAACTACTCAGAATTTCAAGGATATGAAAACAGTGGTTCCAGGTACATGCAGATTTTTCAACCACTTCGATACTGAGATGAAAGACAGTGTTGTATTGGTTGAAAATATAACTAGCAGTTTGCAGGAGAGCATGCTAGTGAAATAGCAGTGAACATTGCCAGCAGTTTCCAGCTGTTCACTGTGAATTCTTGTCTTCTGTCCCAGTTACTGCAGGTAACATCCTCCTCACTCCTCTCCTTCCGCTTTCAGGAGCAGCATCTACCATCACAGACATTCAAGAGTTTGTTGTTTTATGTTAGGAAGGAAGACCCAACCCAACAGACAGCACATGTTCCTCTTGTACAAAATGCAGCCTTGGGATAATTTTCATAATTAAGATTTTCCCTTGCATTTGAATGCAGGTAAACACCTTTATATGAACTTTATATTACTTCCCTTTCACCTGTGGCCTCCTTGGACCACATGTATTCATGTCTTTATTTCCATTCGATTACAAGTTATTTGTGGGATAACGCAACTGGGACAGATCTCAGGAATGAAGGACTGCGTTGCGTGGGAAGCCTGCATGATGAGTTCTCGATGTTCAGACTCCTACGCTGGAGCACTCCGTCCTTGACAGAGACTGGCTGGTTGCTCAGCAAACTGTGGCTTGTCCTGGGCAGACACAGTCCAACTGCATTCCCAGCCTTCCTTTCTGCGGGGTGTCTCCATGCGGTGCAGTTCTTGACTGTAGAATGAGGGAGGAAGTGACCCATGCCATTCCCAGTGGGGCACATTAACAACAAAATAAAACAAAAAATAAACAAAAATCTCACACTCCTAAAGCCCTTCTCTTCCCCTGTCTCTATAATAGGCATTTATTCCCAGAGGGATTTTTGTAGCCATGGTGGCAAATTGCACACCTCCAACAGCTTAGACCCCTGAATTACTGCCTGGAATAGACCCTTCCCCACTTCCCCAATCCTGGTGATGCTAATTTAATTTTACGGGTGGGAGAAATAAACTTCCAATCCTTAGAGTCACTGAGCTTCCAAGGTTGATCTGTTACAGCCATTATCTTCACCAACACACGTCAAAATACGTTAACGTGCTGGTAAACCTCAGCCTTTGGTGACACACACAGTTACGGAAGGGTTCTTGAATACCTATCCTGTGTCAAGCACTTCACAGAATAGGATATGACACCCACCTTGTAGAGCTCAAAATTTATTACACTGAGCTCAGTAAAAATGATCATATTTTCTTCTGGCTAATATATCTTGGGTCTAATATTTTCTTTGGCAATAGCGATATTCTTTGTTATTATCAAATACATCATAAATGGATTTATTCTTCTAAGTAAGGGCTTTATGGGGAACTTTCATATTCCTGGAGTGGGCTTTTTTTTTTTTTTTAGAATTCTGGAAATTATTCTAGCAATCCAAGTCATACTTCCATATCTAAATTTATTTTAAGCAACCATAATTACAACTAAGTATACTGATGCTTTATTATGGCTGCCCCAGGATTTGCAGTTCTCTGCTAAACTGCTTACATCTGTTTATGTCTTTGCCACTGTAAATCAATCCAAACAAACTCTATTCTGCTAATCCCCCCATCTGCCAACTCACATTCACTGTTTACCAATAGGAAAGACTCCCTATCATTCTAATGATAAGTGAATGAGCCACTTTGTTTCTTTTCTTGGGCAGCAAGAAGCCCTTCACCAGGCTTGCTAGATTCTATTTAGCAAATGAATGTTGGGAGAAGGATTTCGCAGACTGGCAGGACTCTAGATTCTGCCACAGAACAAATTTAATCAGGATTCTTTGTTCTACCCTTTTGTTTTCCTCATCTGTGCAAGGAGTTCAATATTAAAACTTCTTAATTGAGTGACTAGGGCCAAATCAATCAGGTTCTCACTCTGTTTTGCCTTCCCCAGCAGTGGTTGACGCCAGAGGAACAGAGTCAAATCTTAGCTTGTACCACACAGAGAACTGGTAGAAAGCAAAAGCAAAAAGCAGTGAGAGATTCATTTGAGAAGAATATTGGCTTATATATACATATAATATATATAATGTATATATATGTATGTATACATGTATGTATATCTACAAGGACAAATTGATTAAGGAGACAAGGACGTTTGGGTCATTCTGTAAGATGCAGAGGTCCTCAGCTGCCCAGATCAAACCTGTCTTCAGGTCCATGAGCACATGTCAGGCACGTAGCACTAACACCCAAAGCTGAGCAATGGCAAGGAGGGGAAGGAGTACCAGTGCCGCCAAATACAGGGTGGAGACAGGGATAAGTCCTTTGATCTCACATGTCCAAGGCGTAATAGAAGGTACTTAAATTCTGGAAAGTCACTCACCTCCTTTTGCTTAGCCCAGGAGGAGATGTGAGCCTGAGCTGAATTTAGATATAGTCTTTAATACGTCCTTTGCCTGCTCTGTTTCCTCAGTGTCTACAGGAAAACGTAGGTCAAATATCAATGCAAAGTAACAGCAACATTTAGTTGGAGCAAAGTTCACAGAAATAGGAACATTTTTGAAGCTGCAACTTTTTACATTACTTTTCAACTTGCAATAATTCTATTTAATAATTTTCATGTTATAAAGTAACCCCAACCTTTTGATTGATACATGGTTTTAGATATCTTCTGTTACCTATTTGAAATGACGCAGAGGAATTTTGTATATAAATATATATATATACACATATACACATATATATACACATACACACACATATATACACATACGTATATGTATATACATATATACATATATATACATACACACACACACACACACACACACACACACACACACATATATATATATATATATATATATATATATATATATATATATGAGATGAACAGTTAAGTTGGCGGACTTTGAGTAAAGCTAATTGCCCTCTAAAATCTGGATGGGTCTCATCCAGTCAGCTGAAGCCCTTGATAGAAAGAGGGCCAACTGCTGCCTTGTGAAGAAGGCAGCTTGCTTCCCTTTCGCCTTCCACCATGATTGTAAGTTTCCTGAGGCCTCCCCAGACATGCTGAACTGTGAGTCAATTAAACCTCTTTCCTTTATAAATTACCCAGTCTCAGGTGGTTATTTATAGCAGTATGAAAACAGACTAATACACACACAAACACACACACACACACACACACACACAGACACACACACACACATGCATCTTATGGTTTGGTTTCTCTGGAGAACCATGACTAATACAGTCAGTTGTGATATCTTCCTTAGCCAAAGAAACATGGTACAGCTGGTTTCCTCCGACGTTTGGGCTGAAGGCACCAAAGTCTAACACTGCCAATTGTGTCTTCACTGAGACAGGCTTCTATTTCTTTAATCTGAGGATAACATTAAGCTTTCTTTACTCCGCAGTTGCATAAATTCATTATATTTAAGGACTCTTCTATCTTGTAAAATAATGTATATTGTAGAAAAGTTTACAAAAGTTACATAAGGAACTCCAACCCTTCATTAAACTCTAAAGTGCACAGAAATCCACAAAGAATGCCCTGGCAAATAAAGTGCTCTCATGCTTTCATTTTCAGGGAGATAACCACCTGACTTCATTTAATCCAATATCCATTTTCTACCTTCTGTGTTTTTTTCCTGTGAGCATGTGTATATTTACAAGTTGTATGCATACAAATCGTAAATATAATACCATACACTTTGTGTGTCAGTAACAAGGCCACCTTGAATATAAGGTAATTGCCCACTTCCCGATGGATATATCTAAACGCATAACTGACAATTTGAATATCTAAACATTTAAGAACATAGTAGAAATAGTCAGTGTCTACGTGTATTATTTAATATTTAATTTAATCACACACATAATTTAAGTCACATTATATAAAATGAACTTAATTTATAAATATTAAATTTTTTCACTCTTAGGCTTCATGAAGCAGTTTTACTCAAAATTTCCACACACATTTCTGACATTTGTGCAGTCCTTACCTTGACAGCTAGTTTTTGAGTCTCTCAACACTGTCTTCAAGAATACATCTCTTCACTGCCTCTTAATTGTTCAAAATATAACACCTTTAGAATGCATCAGATGCTGTTGCTGGAAATTTTATCTGAGGTCCAGAGGACCCATTTGCATAACATTAGGATCTGTTCTTTTTTTTTTTTTTTCTCCTCCCCTGTTGATTACACTCAGGGTCTCGTGACCTCTGCAATGCAGCCAGTCTCATTCTGCCTTTAAAGGAGGTCTTTAAAATGCTTTCTACAGTGGCATTAAATACCTTTTATCTTGTAGTCATACAACCAAGAATATTTGCCAGATCTATGTTACTGTTTCTGCCTATTATTTTGTGTTTTGGGGATCTAACTTCAAAAGCATCTACAATTACATTCCTCACAATAATGCATCCTCCCCAAGTGGTGCTTCAGAATAAGAATGTGGTTGACAGAGCCATGTGCAGATGAGAAATGTTTTAATGGAATCAAAAGGCTACCCTCTGAAAAGTAACTCAGGGCCGTCATAGACAGCTGATATTTGGGCACAAACAGGTTTATTTATTAACCTATGTTTTACTTAATATATTTCAAGTAACTTTATGTTTTATTAAGTACTTAATTTATTTATTTATTTTGAGACAAGATCTTGTTCTGTCACCCAGGCTGGAGTGCAGTGGTACAATCTTGGCTCACTTCAGTCTCTGCCTCCCAGGTTCAAGCTATTCTTATGGCTCAGCCTCCCTAATAGCTGGGACCATAGGCTCACGCCAGCACACCTGGCTAATTTTTGTATTTTTAGTAGAGACAGGCTTTCACCATGTTGGCCAGGATGGTCTTGAACTCCTGGCCTCAAGTGATCCACCCTCCTGGACCTCCCAAAGTGCTGGGATTACAGGTGTGAGCCACCGCATCCGGTTTGATTAAGTACTTTCTACAGCAGAATTCTTAAATGACCGAGTAGTATTCTGTTGTGTAGAGATGGCAAATTTTCTTTAAGCAGCCCCCTTATTGTTTGGCCTTTGTTTTACTTTCTGAGAATTGCCTACTAGAAAAACACAGGGACAAACCCCTTATGATTATACCCTTGGGTGCTCTGTTATTTTCTTTTCTGGCATAAATTCCTAGCTATGCAAATGATCTACATTTTCCCTAGGCTTTGATGTATATTTCCAAAAACACCAGTGAGTGAGTTTATATTTATTTCAGCAGTAGGTAGAAGACGTGCTACTTCTTCAGAATCACACAAGGCATAATTCTTTTTCATCATTTTCAAATTGGTGGGATATTAACGTCTCTGTACTTTTCATTCACATTCAATTATTACATAGTGATGTTGACTTTTTCCACAAATTTACTGGTCCTGTAATTTCTGTCCCTTTTGTTTGAGGCCCCTCATGTCGTTTGTTAACTAGGGAAAAATCCAAGGGGCATCTTATTCAGAACCCACCCCTGGACACCTTGAGTCTGGTTCCTCGTCTTGATTAGAGGCCGATGTACGGTATTTGTATGTTCTGTGGGCTGACCAGGAGGCTCTTCTGTGCTAGAAAGGCTGGGCTGATCTCTGAAGGGTCTGCCTGTAGGCTTGAGGTCAGCCGGTGAGCTCTCCCAGGGCTGGCTGACCGAGGACATGCTCATGCATGTGATTAGCAGGCTGTTGGCCAGAGTGGAAGGGGAGCTGGGCCACAAGCCTTCCAGGATCCAGCAGGCTGACCTGAGCTTCTTCACATGGTGGTGACAGCAAGAAGACGGGCCCCACGGTGCCAGCACAAGCCACAGAGTCAGGTGCTGGGCGTCTCCCAAGGCGCTGGATGTAGGAGGTGTGAGCACATTTTCAACACTCTCCAGGGGTCCTGCTCTTGTGGATAAATGTGTGATGTCTGGAGCTAATCGAGGTTCAACCTCTAGCCCCGAAGCTTATGAAATGTGCAATGATAGACAAGGTACTTAAACCCACTGAACCTGTCTTCCTATCTCCAGAGCTGGCCCCATCATATCAGCAATCCTGCAGCAGTGAGGGTTAAGGCACTAACACACATAAAGCAGTTAACACAGAATCTGCCCCTTGATAAGGGCTCAAAATATTTCAGTTGCTGTTACTGAGTCAAACTCTTAGGTTTTAATTTTTCTTTCTTTGCAATGAATTATTTCTAGTTCCTTATGGACATATACCCCTGGTGTCCCCAACCCCATCCCCGCAAATGCTGGCATGTGTAAACATGTCTGAACCCAAAGATGAGAACAGGTTAGACTCAAAATGGGTTCGCAGCTGCAGAGTTAAGGACTGAATTACTTATCCTTCTGAAGTGGTGATTTTCCTCCCTCTGGCTCAGTGAGGAATTGAGAATGCAGCAGTATCCATCATGCGACCTAGTTAGCAAACAGTAATGTGCCAGCTTCACCATGGGGACATTACTCAGATCCTCTTCATTGTAAAAATGACTGAGATAATTCTTCAGCAGCACAATCTTTCATTAATAAGTTACAAGAGGCAATGTGTGTGCAATTTGTTATTATGCGTTTAGCCTTTGTTTTGAGAACTTCGCTTGCCAAAATATTATTTCTCACACGATTTTATAAAGACATTCTTAAGTTTCAGCATTCTCTCCTATCTTCCCTCTACTTAATAATCTGGCACAAATGCAGTAGCTTAATGAAGACTTTTCTTCTTCCTTCCTGTCTTGCTCTTATGGTTTATTTTCTACGCAACAACCAGAGCTTTTGGTCTTTCAAAAACAAAACTTAGATTGCATGCTGCTGAATACCTGCCTGTTTCCTCGAGCTCCAAAGTTACCCTCCTGTATGTGGCAGAAGTGTAAATTTTGCAAACGAGATTTCTTCGATGCCTTTCTGCGGGGTTCGGTCAGTGCAGGAGAGTAGGTAGAAGAAGGAGGTTATTCTTTCCTGTTTTCCTGTTCTGTAGCATGGTCCTGGGAACAGCTGTTGGTTCCAACAGTAGCCCCTCTTCAGAATCCAGTTTCCTTTTAACTTCTGGAATCTGACTCAGTGTGGAAGTCTAAGATACCCACAGAGGTCCAAGAAGCAGTTGCCGCAGTGTTTCAACTCAGACACCTGAGCACCAACCTCCCAGGACCCTTGTCCATGTTCCTGAGGAAAGAGCGGTTCACATCCTCCCTCCCAGGGTGAGCACCGAGTCTGTGGGAGCTCCTCCTCAGAGCTCTCAGGTTTTATTAATTACCACTTTCCCCCAAGCCATGAAGATTGCAGCTATTTCCTGCAGTTATTACTTTGGGATGTCTGCATGATCTCCTTTTGGCAGTCTTTTAATTTTCTAACATGTCTGAAAACAATTCCCTGTATTAACCCTCTCTGTTTGAAATACCTGATGTACTCTCTGTTTTCCTGATTGATACAGTCATGGGAGATTTCCTTGGACAGGAAACAAAATTAAAAGGCAGGATTCTGAGATCACTTTGGTTATGTTCTAGGTCTTCTTCTTTTCCTTTTTTTTTTTTTTCCTTTGTGTTTTTTTTTTTTTTTTGATAGAGTCTCATCCTGTCACCCAGGCTGGAATGCAGTGGCGTGATCTTGGCTCACTGCAACCTTTGCCTCCCAGGTTCAAGCTATTCTCCTGCCTCAGCCTCCTAAGTAGCTGAGACCACAGGAATTTGCCACCACGTCTGGTTAATTTTTGTATTTTTAGAAGAGATAAGGTTCACCATGTTGGCCAGGCTGGTCTCGAACTCCTGGCCTCAAGTGATCCACCTGTCTTGGCCTCCCAAAGTGCTGTGCTTACAGGTGTGCGCCACTGCACCAGGTCAAATGTCCTTGGTCTTTAATGTGGTTCCTGGCTTCTTGCTGCTGGAAATGCAACTCATGTATCCCATAGTGTGAAGTAACATCGCGTTGACCCACACCTGTGGCTGCTCGGGATGAGATATCACTTTTTACCTGCTGTGTGATCACTGAGACCCACAGACTTGAATCAAAATTCCATTTGTCTTTGATCCCCATTATCCCCTAATTTGACCTTGGGTCACCAGGAACTAACATCAACTTGTTTCAAGCATTTACTAATCCCCCCAAAACTGAGGAGTTTCTCTTTCTCCAATGTACAAATACCCTAGTTCCTGGAGGTAGGTTTATTTGGAGAAGACTTAAAGAAGACCTAGAGTATATATACATGACATTGTTCCGGGGTCCCAAAGTCAAACTGTGGAACTATGGTGATTAAGTATCATTTGGAAATTTGGCCCCAGCCTATGCCACAGGGATCTAAGCAGCGCTGCAGACCGTCCATGTGTAGTTTCCATAGAAGGTGGCTAATTACAATGCACGTACTTGGCAGCCAGGAGAATTCTCCTATTGGCCCCCTTATCTTTGGAGTGAAGGCAATTATATAGCAAAATTAAGTGGAACCTGATTAAACGTCTTTCTACCAGGACAGTAAACCAAAGAAATACTGCATCTTTACAGGAATTGCAGATTAGTGCCACATTCAGAGATTTCAGAGATGCAGGGATGGGGCATCTCCATTTAATTTGCTGAATATGTCACTGTAGAAGGTTGTTAAGTATTAGAGAATAACCACCATCATAAGCTAAAGCAAGGGTTACTTCTGTGTCATTGCAGTTGCTGCCTCATATGTCTTTACTTTAATGCCAGTAAGCACAGCCCCTGGTACCTAGCTTAGAGTCATCCGTATGGCAAAAACCATTTTTTTTTTTTTTTTGCCTCCAGACTAATGTGCAAGAACTACCAGAAAATATTCCTCCACTTAGAGGAGAAAAGAGTGCTCCTTTATTGTTCTGCTTAGAACAGTACCAATTCTTCCGTTCTATATCACAATATAGGCTAAGGGTTAACCAGCTTTTCTTAAAGGACCAGATTATATGTATTTCAGGCTTACAGTCCACACAATCTCTGGCTCAACTAGTCAACTCTGTAACAGCTGAAAAGTAAACATACAGAACGAATGGGATTGGCTACTTTCTAATAAAACTTTATATACAAAATCAAGCAGGCTGACTGCAGGGCATAACTGGCAGACTCCCAGTCTACAACAGAGAAATGTGGTGAGCTTAACATCCCACTGGACATCACTCTAATCCTGTACATTGAAGATCTCAAAAGTGATTCGACCTGATAAGTAGTTATTAGCAAATTATCTTAGAGAGCTCAGGAGGAATCCTCATCACAAGAGTGGAAGATCAGTCTGCAAAAATTTAGTGACTGGTTACTTGATACAAGTAATGGAAATCCAGTGGCTGGGAGTATGTTTTAGCACAAGACCTTCAATGTGAATAATACTTTGTTGCACTTTCTGTGAATTTTGTTAACAATACACACCCCATTTGAGTGGCAGCTAGTAATGAATGAAGGCTGCCAGTTTTAATAAGGTCCAGAGAAAGAAATTATCTTGTATATATCCTCTGGCAAAACTCAATAGGAAAAATAATACAGATCCTAAGGATTTTTTTAAGCCTGCTTTGTTTGAGATCATCACACGATCTCTATGCAAAGATAGTATTCTCTGGGAGAAAAAGAGCTAATTTTGCTGGCCAGGGGAACTTAAGGAAATTTGGAAGTTTAAAATTCTGTTTTTTTCTATTCAAATGTCCCATTCAATATGTCAGTGTTTCATACTTTTTTCATCATTTTTCAGCATTGACAAGGTAAACTTATTGCATGTATGCATTTAGTGTCCTTTCAGCTCTGCTACTCTTGGAATCAGATCATTGGCCTCATTTTCAACATGGGCTGATGCATTCACAAGATATATATACGTCTCCTTTAAACCTTCTGTAATGGCCATCTGGCTTTTTGGAATTTGCTTGAATTTGGTATTTTTGTGGCATGAACTTATTTCATTTTTCAAATTCTCTAGTATGATCAAGCACACTGAAAAAGTTTACTTTATAATTACCATTCTTCTTAAGTCAGTTAAGACCCCTTTTATTTCATCTCCCACCTGAACTTCTTGCTAATTAACCACAGGTGACCATCTTGTGAAATTTTTATGCCATAAAATGGCAAAGCTTATTAACATCTCATTTATAACCAGCAGTGGGTTCTTAATGCTCTCCAAATGGTCCTGCTTTGTGGAATCTCTTCCAACTCTAATTGTCTTTAATAGAGTTATCTTTAAAAAGACAGACTAGTGCATTTATTAAGTACTGATGCATTATTAGACAATTGTCAATTCTAGGCAGCAAGAATGAAGAACAAGTTTTGCAAAAAAAAAAAAGTAATGGAAATCAATACATTACTGTACTCACTACTGCTTATAAATATGTCACAGGAGACACAAAAGATTGGTCATCAAGGAAAATCCATTTCTCTGCACACACTCATGAGAGGAAAGGAAGGAGTCATGTATCTGCCTGATCCTCTCCTGTCCTTTGTTTCATATTGGTTCAAATTTGCTCCACCATAACTCTGAACCTCTAGGTTGTTTCTGGCTCTTTTGGATATAATATCCCACGTTTTACATGGAAAGTTTTATTGACATCTATTAATAGATGTGCTAAAAGGAGTCAGAAACTTCAGTACTATCCAGCTATGTGAGGGTGAGTAACTTGTTGGCCACCAGCCATGAAAGCAAGTTACTGAATGCAGGTTGACCAAGAATATCGTTGATAAGGATAAGATTTATGTTTGACACACTCACTATCCAGAAAAAAAATTATGGGAGTTGTTTTGTGTAACTCTAGTGTCATTACATGCTATTTCAATATTTTACATATTGACATATTGATTTTATGGTTTTTTTCGATCATAGATACTTATTAATTTAAAAGTATTTGTCAAGCATTATTCTAGTTATTGGAGAAAAAAATATGATTCAAGGATTGTAGTTGACCTCCATTGACACAAAGCCAAGAGGTAAATATATAAAAATATTATCTGGATGCTAAGTATTATTTTTCTACTTACAAATTATTTGATGCATACAAGACTGCCATGTTTTGGTTGGTTTTGTTAGAGGAGTTATGATATAACAAATACTGTCTATTGACAGCACTATATAAACTGTGGAATTTGCTGCATGGAAATAGTGAATATAACATAATCTATCAAATTTCAACATTAACATTGTTATTAGAATAATGGAGTATCTTCAATATCTTGACTATCTTAAATATCTTCACCCATTTTTTTCTGCTTAAAGTTTGCTATCAAAAAATCAAATATAGGTATGACTTAGTTTCCTCCTAAATGAGTTGGATTTTTTTTTTTCTGGTCTGGATGCCCAAAGTATACTGTGTTTGCTTTATTTTTATTCGCGTACAGCAATTCTCTCAGGGTCAACTTTCTCAGTTTCATTAAATAAAGTGTTAATTTGGTGGTTCAAAGTTATTTTTTCAATGTAATGTTTTGAAGGGTAGTATTTATCATTTATGCCGTTTCATTATTTTAATTCTTCTGTGGGGTCTGCTATTATACTGATACTCAAACGTCTTTGCTTGTCTTCTACGTCTAACATTTTCTCTTTTAAAGTTTTTATCTATTTTTACAGTTCTGCTTGATTTCCTTATTTTCTCCTTTCTGTTTTTTCCTCCCTGCAGTATTTCTCAGGTGTTTCACAGCTCTTGTGTTTCTTCTAGCTTACATATAATTGCTGAATTTTATTTTTAAATTTCTGATTCTGATAATCTGTCAACACTCTTTTCATGTCTTCTGGTTGCTTTATCATATTATATCTGAGCTTTTCTAATTCTTTTTTTCTGTAATGCTTGTCCTTTTACTGGTTATTTTCTCTTTCTTTTAAAATATATTTTAGCTTATTTTAAATATTGGATTTCAGTTTTTCTCTACATCATGGAAATATACCTCAGGTCGTCTTCACTTTTGTATGTAATTTTTTTTTGGAAAAATTACTTCCTTTTAAAATTTTCTTATAACGTCAATGTAATGGGTTTTATTTGTGCTTGTTCACTCTTGCTCACATATAAGTAAGACGTGTTTTCTATATTTTCGAGAAGATGGTGTGGGAGCTGTGTTGGGCAGATGTCTTTTCTAGTTTTGCAGTTCTGTGGCTCTCTATTCTGTTATTATCATGGTATATTCCAATAAATTGCCCCCTAGTTTATCCACCTCTTGAGTATTTTCTGATGTCTGCCTCTCTTGATCCTCTTCCCTATTAATGGCTGTACCTCTGCTTTTATCCCCAACAACCCTGCCCTTGCCAATTTTTGACTTATTCCTTGTAGTTTTCTTGGGTGCTGCTATTTTGGAAGGGCTGTAAGGATTCTGACCACCGCTGGCATGTCACCCAGCACTCTCCACAATGTCCCTGTACCTGCATGATTAGAGCCTTGAAGCCCCCTTTTCCTCCTCACAGTTCCCTTTAGACCCACCACCCAAGCCTTCCTCTTGGAGAAGAGACCCGTCTTGGGAGTATGAGCATCTGTTGGTAGTATTTGAATGTTCCAGCTCAGAAGAAAATAACTTCTTTTTTACTCTCCCCTTACTTGGGCACAGCGACTATTTATTCCCAAGTGGTGCTTACTGCTTTAGAAGGTTCAGCAATCCTAATTTTTTTACGGGGTTTTAGGGAATGCTTTTTCGCCTGTTTATTGCAGGAATTGTCTACGTATGCATTTTTTTTTGTGTACAGTACTTTGACATTGTAATTCCTCTCTTGTTTTATGATAGATTCTGTAGAGTTCCAAACACTTTTTAGTATGATTGCTGCTCTCATCTTCCCTTTAATAATGTATGTTTAAATCTATCACCTGATATAGAATTTCTAGATTTTTAATTGTTTAAATATATTTTAACATAGTATTGTCCAAAATGGCTCTAATAATTACATTTCCACTAACAATCATAAGAAAAAATGTTTCTTTGCATCTTTAAAGATTGTAAAAGTATTACAATCTTTTGTAAAAGTATTACAAAATTAAAAAAATATTGAAGCTTTCTATTTTGGACAATTTATTAGATACAAGGAAATATGTAATGTTTTTCCTGACCTTTCCTGAGTATGAGTCAGTATTTGTACACTTTGCATCTATTTTAAATTTTAAATTATCCGAGTGCTCATCGCTAGACTGCTCATTCTTGTTATTTGTCCACTTGCTCATTGATCCTTGACAATCTGTAAGAGCTGCTGTTTGTCTTTTATAAATTATATATTACAACAAGCTCCCGTGTTGCAATTTCCCCACTAAGTATATTTTTCCTATTTATTTAGAGGTTTTTGTTTGCTACTTTAAAACATATTGTATATTTCATGTCTCTATTTTCTTTAGCAGCTTCTGTGTTTCTGTTCTTGGATTAAAACACCAGTCTAACTCCTGGAAAGTTCACGTAGTCACCTAGATTTTCTTCCAGTTATTCTCTTACTTTATTGCTTTTCCTCTTCCATCTTTAGCATACTTCTATATTTAGTGAAATTTACTTTGTTATAAAGCGCAAGAGAGAGATCCAATATAATCATATTCTAAATAGACACCAAATTGTTTTGATTTGTATTGGGAAGAATTGGCATCCTTGAATATAATATTTTATTATCCATAAAGCTATGTCTCTTTTGTTATTTAGGTCTTTAACTATTTTGTCCTTCTAATAATCTTTTACAGGTGTTTTTTTTGCATGAAGTTTATGAAATTTTTGTTACATTTATTTCTTGCCACTGATTATGTGTACTTCTTTTCTAAAAGCATTCTTTTCAAAATTTCTAATTTTGCTCATTGATGGGTTTAGAAAACCAATTCACATTTGTACCTTGATCTATGTCATGTAACATTGATAAGGGCTCCTTATAATTTCTAATAACTTGTCTGTAAATTCTCTGTAAT